>NC_000011.10:126263333-126566364 GCF_000001405.40 Homo sapiens | reverse complement strand
GTTGCTCAGAGTCCAGAGGCCAGGAGTTCCCAAGGGTGCAAACTTATCTTCTCCCTAAGAAACATACCCTACTCCAATCCATTTTTCCTTGCACAGGTGGTATTCCTAAACCTTCCTTGTTCCTGGGACAGTGCCCTCCACTGCCCCATCTGCAGGTGACCCTGGACTTCCTTGCTATGAACTTTCCTTTTAAGCCAGGGCTGACTCCTTTCATGGTAATTATTTTTCCATAGCCAGCTTTAGAGTATCTGGGTGTTTCTGCTACTGATAAAGCCAAAGACAGCACCCCCAAAGCCTACTTGGAGAAGATCCCATCATCTTACTGTTCCAAAATGTGCATCTGTGATCTGACTCTCCCATTCATCTCCATGCTATGGGACAAGGAAGGTGACAGTCTGGTGGTGGCTGATCTACCTCACAAAGAGAGAGATTCCTGTTCTTTCTGTCATGTTCTATCATCTCTCTCCTAATAACCTAGTTAGTTTGGCTTGGTAGAGTCTCCCCAAGCCAAAGCAATTGCCTCCTGCTTCCTCCTGGTTCTCTCTGTGGTTAGTAGCTTGGACAATATTCACCTCCCCACTTGGGTTTCCAGCATCCCCTCCCTTCCCCCACTTCACTCCCTGCTGGCACACTCATGTGAACCCAATGACCTTTAATTTAGCTTTGCAAATCTCTCCAAAGGACATCCCAAATTTTCATATATGGACAATTAACTAATTCTCACTTCACTCATCCTCCAACCTGCTCGTTCTTGCAAAGATCCCAGTAGCTTCTCCCCACTTCTCTACAAAGTCTCAGTCAGAGAGCCCTCGCACTTAATAAATTTCTGCAGTGTGCTTATTAGCGCCTTGTAACGTAGCCGCCTAAATAATTAAGACTAACCCACGCGTGTCAAATTAAATGAGCCAAATACATTGAGAAATTGCCTCATTCTCAATTTCTTTTATTAATCAGGTTTTTTAAAACTTCTTTTCCTGCTCATTTGCAAAAATCAAACATAATCAGTGAGACTCTTAGTTATTATATCATAACCACTTGTCCACACAGCCTCTCCTCAAGCAGTTGCCCTGGGGGGTGTCCTAGTATGTGGCATAGGAGAGGTTGAGTTCTCTATCCAACTAAGACAATCCAGAGTCAACAGATTGCTCACACTCTCTAAATCTGTAAGAGAATTGTTCGCCCTTCCATTTGCCTGAGCGTTCAGTCACAGTCCAGAAGACCAGCTGGAACATTGGCCTAAATCCATCCAGTATCTTCTGCCCTCCCTACTCAGTGCTCCCCTGCCTCCCTCCCAAGCTCCTGGATTGAGTTTGGGCTTAGTCCAGGAGCCCAAACTCCCTTTCTCATTAGGAGCCATTGCTGATGTGCTTTAGATGGGCATACGAAGTCAATGGCAAAAATATAATAGGAATTGTCAGCAATTGTATCATTCTAATGATGAACAATGCGTGTGCAATTACAATGGGCTGGTTAACTCTGCCTGTCGTCAGCGTGTTGAGGTTTCAATACAGTCTCCCTCGAGAGGCTATTGTTCCAGGGAGCTCAGCACCTCCTCGCAGCTTGTACTTCCACTGGCCCCCTCCTGGAAGGCTGCATTCCTGCCTCTTGAAGGTGGTTGTTAGAAAGAATCCACAAATACAGTAAGTAAACATCAAAGGGGCTTTGATCCATGAGGCCTGCGACAGAGCAGGAGCCCCTGAAGAAAGGGCCAAGGCCTTGAATGAGGGAACTTAACATCGTCAATTTGGGTGCCTGAGATGTAAGACCGTTTGAAGTGAGGGCGGTTTGGCTAAGCCTTCAGACGCCAGTGTGGAGGGGAAGGAAGAGAAGTGAGTGCCTTTGGAAACAGTGCCCTCAGATCTGCTTCTCTGCTCTTTACTGATAGTCAATAAACCCCTTTAAAGAATCAGGAGATCAAAGCCAGGGACCTCCCTGGGCCGTGGCGTTCTGCCACCTCCTGCCATGTTTTGTTTTTCTCTAGGGCAAGAGCCCCTGAGCTTGACTTATCTGTGTCTCATGGGCCCTGCACTCTCTTTCATCCTGCTATGCTTGGTGGGTGGACCTGGGCTGCAGACGGTGGATGGAAGAGGAGAAAGAGGAATGACCCGCTCCGTCTATCCTCTTGAGCCTAGACACTGACTGGCTGGGTTCAGGGAGGCAGTCGGTGTCGTGGGAGAAGGTGCTGTGATGCATCACTCATTGGGACCCTCTTTCTCTGAGAAATCAAAGGAAGGAGCAGGGAGGAGCCCAGAAACCCTGGCAAGGGCCAGGAAGAGCTGCAGTCATATTCCCTCTTCCAGAAATCAAATTCCTTATCTATTTACCAAGTTTGTGGCAGCTGACACATTTGTAAGACTTCTATGCTACAAGGTGGGGTGGGGGTCTAAGACAATCGTGGGAAGTCATTTAACATGGTTGAACCTCAATTTTCCCATCTGCATAATGTCAGTTGCAGTGGCCCATATGCCCACCTCAGTGAGTTGTTTGGGGGTAGAGGGGGGTCAAAAAAATTAGTGTGCTATTGCTTCAGGATCCATAAAGTGATTAAGATGAATCAGGATAAAGCACAAATACCAGAGAGGAAAGCTTGCCTTCTTGTGAGGCAGATGGACTCCAATTTAATGCTCACACACACAATGGACACTGATTTACAAAATACTGTGCAAATAAAAAAGTTATCTCTTGCATTTGCTACCTGGAATTGTTATTCCATCTTGTTTTTCCAACTGGGTCAAAGCCCTGTGGAGTCCGTGTCTCTCAGCTATCTCGACCCCTGTGCTCTAAGTCTACATTTCATAAGTGCTTGATGATGGTGCTAAATTGGGCCTTGATATAGGAAGGCACAGGAATCTCTAGCACCAGAAACGCACCCTCTCCAAAAGGTAGAGAGAGCTCTTCTGCCTATACCTTAACCTCTGTGTCGCCCCGCTGCCCTAAACTCACGCAATCACTTCATCCTCCTGAGTCACCCACCATGTCTGGTTGCACTGTTCCATCCTAGACACGACTGGATAGATTCTGCATCATCCCTGGCAGGTCTGGCCACAGTCCCAAGTTGATCTGAGCATAGTCCCCAAGCCTGAGATACAAAGGGCCTCAATAACCCAGAGTTATGTTTATGAGCATGGACTCAGAGCCAGACTGCCTAGGTTCAAAGCTCTGGCTTTACCACCTGCTAGCTCTTTCATCCAGTGCCACTAACTTCATATATCTATAAATGGGGATGATAGAAAATGGGGAAACATCCTTCACAGGGTTGTTATGAGAATCAAAATGAAGAATTGCTGGCTTAAACTTATGCCTGGAACATAACAATTTCCATATAAATGTTGGCTAAACAAAAGCACCTCTGTTTATAAGAGCAACAAGCTCCACAGCCCCCTGCAGAGGGCCCCCCAACAATGCCTGACCTGTTCCCATTCCCAACTCACCCACCTATGCTTCTCTTCCAGAGCTGGGCCTCCAGAAGAGAGGATGCTGTCTGGTGCTGGGCTACATGGCCAAGGACAAGTTTCGGAGAATGAATGAAGGTCAGTGAGAACCTCCCCATTGTCTCGGGAGTAATCTGGAGGGAGGAAGCTCTCCCCTACAGCCACAGGACAGAGGAACCAGGAATAAGAACCTGGGACCTCTCAGAAGGGGACAGTGGGAAGACCAGTTTGGTTTCCATGAAGCCATTTGTACAATCACATGGGGAAGCATAGTGAATGCCTGAAACACAGGATGCTGATTCAGGGGCATTTTCTTTATGCAATCTTCCCTTCTCCCTTTGTGTCTCCTACTTCTCTTCCTCTCTCTTCCCTACCATTTCTTCCGCACCCCACCCCACAGCCAGCCCAATTAAATCTGCTCCTATTTTCATTTCTAATCCAGACCTCTCTACTTGCCTCCTCCATCACTCATGTTTCTTGAATGCCTGTTGAATAAACAGCACTATACAGGCACTTAGGAGAATACCAAAGAAGAATATGGCAATGTCTTTATTCCCAAAGAACTTACCCTAGGAAACCTGCCCCCTTTCCCAACTCCACTGACCCTACCCCTCCCTCTTACTCAGAGGCCATTCTGTCTTCCTCTTGCACTGGCTTCATTGGGTCACTGAAGGCTTGAGAAACGTGTTGACATTGGCATAGAGGCTGGGAGGAGGAGTGCTGTCACTTACGGGTCTGCTGTAATAAAGAACCAATCCTCTCCATCCCTAGCCATCTGTCTCCATGCAGCTAATAACCCTCTCCATCAGATGCCACAGACTATTTGTCAGGATTCAAAAGTAGATAAACAATGGCTGGGGATGCCATTTATTCATTAAAGTCAGACAAATGAAGCCTTGGCTCCCACCAGCCATGCTTGCCATGGGCTGGACCCCTCCCCTTCCAGGGCCCAGGGCCCATGTCTCCTCATTCCCATTCCAGCAAGAAGGAGGAAGCTTCTTTCTACCATCTCTATCCCCATAGCATGGTCTCAGTGCCCTCTTTCCAAGCTCCTCAGCTGTCTCTCCTCCCAACCCCGACCACGACAACCACATCCCCATGCGCTCCCCATGCCTGAGACTTTGCCAGCTGTGGACCTGTTTCCAGCACCCATCATGGTGACAATCTGACAAGAGTTAGGCCAGCACAATTAAGCACAGGAAGTGATCACCTCCCCCATTTGCTGCCTGCCTGAAGCCAACAGCATCAAAAAGCTACTTCCCATTTGTAGGAACCCCATGGCTGAGTACAACCAGAGTTGGGGGCCGCATTTTCTGTGTCCTGCTAGTCAGTTGCCTTTACTGACTTTTCTCTTTCTCAGCCTCCCCTTCCCTCCCCAACACCACTGCCTTGACAAGACTGCTAGGCAGTAACTTCTAATTTGTGGGAACTGACAGCGTGCCTCTGTCCGTGGTGCTGAATAGACATGTTCTCTTGCTGGCGATGCTCATTAGAGAAGCTCGAAAGAGGTTTGTAGGGATTGGGGAAGCCAAAAAGTCAGGAGCTGGGCTGGAATTGAAACCCATAGCTCCAGATATCTGACCTCAGCTTCTGGGTGGCTGAGGAGATGAGGGGATGGGATGCAAGCTGAGCCAACATGTGTGATGAGTTAGAAATCTCAACTAACAACTCAGAGACAGGGTAAGAGGAGGGTGAGGCAGTGGGGCAGAGGAGAGACACAGGTGGGTCAGCTTTGGCTCTGGAGAGCTGGAAGGCAGAGGTGAAGGAGAGGGAGGGCTCTGGAGGGAGGAAGCTCCTCTTCTTCCACTCCAGCCAGCCTTGCTGCCCTAAGTACCACATTATACATTTCTCTCTCTCTAAAGCTCATACGCCCAAACTCCAACATGTCTGCAGATAAGAAAGGCATCAGAAAGCATGCGGAGCTGTTTTATATTTATAATTATCTCATACCAATACTCAAAATAATTATAATTTCCACATATTAATAATTAAAATGGAATAGCAGCCATGACATACATCAAGAAATAGAAATCTCTGTCCATGCTACACAACACACCTTGGTATAAATTGAACAATTGGTAAAATAGGGAAAAACAATTATTTTTCTCCCAGTTGCTAGGATTAGTGAGATATTAGAACAATTAGCTTCTTCTTCCCTTAAAGATAAGTTGATGATCATTGTATTTCCCATTTAGAATAAATATAAAAGACCTACTTGTGCTGTATTAAAGCATATTTGTTCTGTTTAACAGTATCTAATAAGGTGCCTGTCACCCAGGGAGAAGTGCTTCCCTATTTTATTTGTTTTCCTGTTAATTTGGTGTCCTTTTATTTTCTTCTCTCTCCACTCCTCCCTCCTCACTACATTCCAAAAAATAACAGCTTGAGAAGGAGCAAGAGGAAAATAATGAATGAACAGGAGCTTTATAGATCTGGGGTTTATCATAAGTTAGAGTAATTGCAATTGGTGCCGTTAAACTACACAAAGCAATAAAAAGAAAATGCTATTCAAAGATCATTTAAGGAGGCACGTGATAGTCAATGAGAGGTTTGCTCTATTTGGGAGTGCTTAATAGCTTCGTGGATAGAATCTGCAGTCTTTGCAGGAATGGAGGTGGTTGGTAATATATGGAGAGTGTATGTGTGTGTGTGCGTGTGTGTCCTCTACTGTGTGGACCCAACACAATTGAGCCATCAAAAGGAGATACAAACAGAAATCAACAAAGGGCAGGCAAGAAAGGAGGAAGTAAAGACAGACTAGCCATAACAATATCACATTTGTTTGAGATCATTGTCTTCATGTGATTAAGCACATGTGCTTTATATAGGAACTGCTGATGAGTGATCATTCAGTTATTCATCAAACAGTCATTGAATACCATAAAAATAATACCAATTTCTTACAAGTGCCAGAATTGTTCTAAGCACTGGAGCTATAAAAATAAGACACAAGCCAGGCACGATGGCTCATGCCTGTAATCCCAGCACTCTGAGAGGCCAAGGCAGGCAGATCACTTGAGGTCAGGAGTTCAAGACCAGCCTGGCCAACATGGTGAAACCCTGTCTCTACTAAAAATACAAAAAAAAATAATAATAATCAGCCAGGGTTGGTGGTGCGCACCTGTAGCCCCAGCTACTCAGGAAGCTGAGGCAGGAGAATCGCTTGAACACAGGAGGCAGAGGCTGCAGTGAGCCAAGATCCTGCCACTGCACCCCAGCCTGAGTGACAGAGTGAGACTCCATCTAAAAAAAAAAAAGTAGAGTAAGACACATTTTCTGCCCTCAAGGAGCTCACAGTAAAAATACATCTCAGTGTATGTGTCACCTCCACAAAGAGATCCTGCCTTCCATCTACCTAAATTACACAGACACCCTCTCCCTGCACCCTGTGCTCATCACAGCAGCTGGTGTGTGTATCGAGTGGCACCTATCATGATGTGTGATTATTTATTGGTCTGCTTCCTCATGTGCTGTCAGTCCCATGTAGAGAATCAGCTGGAGGAGGGCAAAGACTCCTGTTCCTTCCTCTCCTCTCCCTGGGCCTTCGCCCAGTGTCTTGCACATAGGGAGTAGTCGCTCAACTTTCATTTAGGTAATTAACTAGGGCCCTGAGTGACAATGGAGGAATGTACAAAGTCCCCACAGGTGTCAGGTAGGTATTGAAAAGGAGCGCCTCAGATAGAGCACACAGATGTGGAACAGTCCACAAAATGGTCTCCCTGTTTTGGGTGATTCCTAGAGTCTACCTTGGTGCTCACTCTCAGGCTTTCTTCCAGTTCCAGTGCTACAGCCCCTTCCTGGGAGTAGGGTCCAGGCAAGTCGTGGAAGCAGGGCTGGGTGAGGAGGCCTTCCCCAGGGGTAGTTTCCCTTCTTTCTGTACCAGCTCTCCTTCCTCACCCCACCTACTGCCAGCCCATGCTCTCAGGACATCTTTAAGTAGATCCAGTTTACTCTCACTGGTTCCTCAGCCACATCTCCAACACACACATGAGCATGCACACACACATACACACACAATGCACACACCTGCATGCATATGTATACATGCACACATGCATGCACACACCTGCACACATGTATACACATGCACACATACACCCACATGTGTGCACACACGCACACAACCTTCACCTCCCCTTCCTGGCCCTCCCCCTTTATGACCTCTCTCTCCTGGAGATCCAGACCACTCACCTTCTCAAAGCACATGGCTTCCCCAGACCTGATCCTATTCCCAGGCAGAGTAGAAGGCTGTCACATGTATCAGGGGAGGGGCTGTGCCTGCCTCAGAGAGCTCAGGCCTCCTCTATGTTAGACCTGTCAACAACTCTAGAGATTACAGTGCAACCCAATAACACAGCATGGCCCAAGAGCATGCAGCAACTTGCCCGGGGCCCATATGAAGTGGCTGGAAGAGCCAGGACCACAGCCCAGGGCTCCAGACACCCAGGGCTCTTAGACTTCTGGAAGAGGAGGCTGAGACCATGAGCAGAGGGAAAGCCTCTAACACTTCAGCTTGGTTTCATTTTTCAGGGTGGCTGGAAAGAGAGGAAGTGGCAAGGCAGGGAGAAGAAAGGGCAGAACACAGGGAAAACTTGAGTTGATTTGCAGAAAATCAGGGGAGACCTGGAGTGAGGGACACAGACCAGAGAAGACCATTCCTGGGGGACCAGAAAAGCTGGCAGGCCACAGGACTCTTGAGAAGGGGAAATGAGGAAGAGGATATTTAAAGGAGGGAAGAAGCAGAGGCACCGAAGTTTTGACCTCCCCTTCAGCCATCCCCTTGGGGCAGAGGGGGGCCTGCACAGGAGGGTACTCCTCCCTCACACTGGTGCCTTCTTGGGCTGCCCATCAGGGTGGGTGTCGGTTTCCGTGGACTTTCAGCATTGCAATGATGTCTGCTTCAAGAGACCAAGGGAGAGCAGAAATGCCTCTGGGTGCTGTCCCTTTCATCTTTCAGGACGAAATACTTGTGAGTGATTAGCAAAGGCAGCTTTTGCTGACTGGAGACCTCTACCCTGTGTGGGAAGAGCTGGAGCACCCAGGAAGGGGAAAGCTGGTTCCATAAATAACTAGCAGCCTCTTGCATGGCCCACAGCTCCCGAACAGCACTGTGGTCCCAGTCCAGGCTCTGTGTGCAAATGCCCCTCCCCCACAGCACCTGTCCTCACTTCCCAGCCTTACAGGGGAGTCAGAGCCCTGGGAGGTTGAGAATCTCATTTCTTCGACAGCTCTAAAGTTCTTTATGATGGCGTGAGAGCCTGTTCTTTATGCACCCTCGTACACTAATAAAAAAATGAGTCTAAAGCTTCTACTGTTTCCTCGTATAGAAAGAGAGGTGCCCCACAGCTGGGATGTGTAGTGGGAGGAGCACTTAAGAGTGAGGAGCCGGCTGTGTGAGCTTGGGCAAGTCCCTAGACACTAAGATCTCAACCTTCTCATGTGCAAAATGGAATCATGTTTCATAAGATGACCTGTATGTCTCTAAAATGTGATGATTCAAAAATCTATCTTGGATCTCAACACCCAGCCCACACCCTGTTCTCACAGCCCATCCCATAATTTTAAATGTCTTGGTCACCAAAGGAACCAGTACAAAAAAGTCAATAGACTGGCTTTCCTTGGCAGCCTCTGAAGGTGGATCCGTGTTTCTTTCTCCCATCTGTCATTAAGGGTGAACTCAGGCCATATCAGCTATATGCTGGGTGGCAGGGAAAGAGTCGGGCAGGCCTGTGGGATGAGCTGTGCTTTTCTCAGGGCAGAGGGGAAGCAGCAGGCCAGGGTCCTTGGCCTGGGGACCTGACCCAGGGATGAGCAGGCCTCCCTGCTACCGGCAGCACTTCTCACTCTGTTGCAGCCGTACAGTCTGGCTCGCGCTAAGGGCCACAGTCATTTTCCTGAGCCCATTCCTCCACTGCCTGCCGAGCCCCCGGGATGTTGGCTAATACCGTCATTTTGTTAGTTGGGGCTTTGGGGTGCATTTTTTCTAAATTCATTTTTCTTACTGATGTGTTTTCTTCCACTGGGGCTGCAAAGCCCGTTATTTGTATAATATCCCTGTTTATTATTTATGGCAAGAGTCAGATTTACAGGGCACTTTATGATTGTTATTTATTTCGCTCAGTGTCTTGGAACAAGAGACCTGCCGTTTCCACTCTCCAGCCAGGATCTGAGGGAACATTCCAAAGCTTTTTCTCAGCCCATTCCTCCAGCCACCTTTCCTACCTCCTACCAGGAGTCCTGCCTCTCTTAGACTGTGGACCCCTAAGCTGCAGACCCTGCCAAGTTCCTTTTTTCTTTTTTTCACCAAAACAAGGTTTCATTCTGCTAGAGTGCAGTGGTACCATCGTGGCTCACTATAGCCTCCAATTCCTAAGCTCAAGCAATCCTACCCCAGCCTCCCAAGTAGCCAGAAGAACAAGCATGCACCACCATGCCCAGCTAATTTTTTAAATTTTCGTAGAGACAGTGCCTCACTATGTTGCCCAGACTGGTCTCAAACCCCTGGCCTCAAGCAATCCTCCCACCTGGGCCTCCCAAAGTGCTAGGATTACAGACAGGAGCCTCTGCACCCAGCCAAAGTTCCTTTATAACTTCCCTTTCCCTCACACTCATATCCAGTCCTCAGCAAGTCCTAGGGATGTTATCTCCTGAGTGCCTCCTGTACCCACCCTCCTCTCTCCATCTCATGCCACCACCCTAGACCCTGTCCCCAGCCTCTCTCCCCTGGACTGCATCAGGGCTCTCCTAACTGGCTCCTTGCATCTATCATGCCCAATCCCCATGCCCAGGTCGTTTTCCACACTTTAGCCAGAGCAGTGTTTCGAAATGCAAATTTGACCATGTCATGTTCCTTTTGAAAATATTTCAATGGCTTTAAGAAAAAAATACTGAAGGCCGGGCACGGTGGCTCACGCCTATAATCCCAGCACTTTGAAAGGCCAAGGCAGGTGGATCACCTGAGGTCAGGAGTTTGAGACCAGCCTGGCCAAAATAGTGAAACCCCACCTCTACCAAAAACACAAAAAATTAGCCAGGCGTGGTGGCACACACCTGTAATCCCAACTACTTGGGAGGCTGAGGCAGGAGAGTCACTTGAACCTGGGAGGCGGAGGTTGCAGTGAGCCGAGATCGTGCCACTGCACTCCAGCCTGAGTGATAGAGGGAGACTCCGTCTCAAAAAAAAAAAAAATGCTCACATTGTTAGCATGTTCTACAAGGTGCCACGTGATCTGGTTCCTACCTACCTCTGACTTCATCCTACCCCCTTAAACACCCTGCGCTCCAGTCACATGGGCCTTCCTGCTGCTCCTCAAGCAGGGCCCCTGTCATAGGGCCTGTGTCTACCCTGCTCCCTGTGTCTACCCTGCTTGCCACGCTCACCCCATCCCCAAACCCTTCACCTGGTAATTCCCGCTCATCCTTCAAATCACAGCTCAAGTCTCTGCTCCAGTGATGCCTCCACTGACCCATCCCTCCTCAGTCAAGATCCAGTTCCTGTGTCACATGCTCCCGTAGAACCAGATCCTTCCTTTCAGAGCTCTGAGTTCAGTTTGTACATATACATTCATATTGCAATTATTTACTAATGAGATGGGATAATTCCCTTAACCTTGACCCTCTTTGTGGGTGGGAACTGGAGTGGCTTGTTTCACTCAGCCTACCTCTGGCCACTGCTTGAGAGAGGGAGTGTGTGAGCAAGCAAGTGCAGGAACCAGAGGGAATGAACGCTGGAACCGGCCAGTCACTCATCTCTGGCAGAAGCAGGCTCTGTGCGGCCCCACAGCAGTGTCCAAGCTCCTGCCCTCTCGGCACCCAGCTTCTTGTCCAGTGTCAGGAAGAATCAGGTCACATGAACAGATTGAAGGGTAGTGTATGCGGAGGATTTTATTGGGAGATGGAAGGGGCTCTTGGCGGAATGAGGAGTTGGAAAGGGGATGGTGCAGGAAGAAGGCAATCATTCCCTGAAGCTGCACTGTCTGAAGTTAGCCTCGTCTATCCATAGTCTCCGATGCCCAGTTGCTGCCCTGCTCACCACTCAGCCACTTGTATCCCTGACGCTCAGCCGCTTGTGTTACTCTGCCAGCTGAAGTCTTTTCATGGGCACAGGATAGGGATGTGGCAGGCCAAAAAAGCAACAATTGGGAGAAAAATTGAGTCACCTGTTTTCACTAAGGGCTGCAGTTCCAGGCTTAAGGGTGGGGTTTAGCTGGGAGCCCAGTTATTTTGTGTTAATAACACCTGTCTCCCCTACCAGTCAGTTGGCTCTGTTTGGTCTCCATTAGATCCCAGGAGCCCAACACAGTGTTTGCATAGATGTTGTCAGCAAAGTGAGGACAGTGACCTTCTCTGCCCCTAGTCAGTAGCTCCAAGATGCTGGGACTGGATAATTTGACAATCATAGACTTTTAAAAGAAACATTGGCAGTCACCTGGAGAGGAGGAAACCAAGACTCAGGAAAGGGATGTGATTCATCCAGAGTAACACAGGCAGCGGGCACTTGTCTTGGTCCCCAGAAAGTTTACCTCCTCTTGGGAAGACTCCATATACTTCTATGGAGCAATTCCTGGGGCTTATGGCAAACACCTCTGAGCACCTCCCAGCAGCAACTGCTAGGACTTCGGACTAGAGAATTTCCACTTGAGGGCATTTACTGCCTTGCTATGAAACCTTAGCTGTCTTGGAAGGTGGGTGCGCAGGACCCACCTGAAATACTCATCCTGTCTTCGGTGATGTCAGAGAAACATTCTAATGGGGACAGCAGTGCCCAGAAGAGTACATAAAATGGAAATGGTTTCTAGAGGATCATGCTGCCTGTGGAATTCAAGGACAAGACACTCTCAGGCAGGGAGCTTCTTCTCCCCCTAGAACTGACTCTGGAACTGTGTGAGGTGCTGCTGGATTCGATCAACACGTGGACAGTGCATTATGAACAGCTCTTGATTGACTCAGGAGCTGTTTGGTTGACAGACAGCAGTTCCAATGTGAATGGACACCAACCTGTTTCGAAGGTTACTACTTTGATCAGACAAGGTAAATACAGGTCTGCATATGAGCTGAATTGCATGCTGTTTTCCTAATAGTGATGGAAAAAAATGAACAATGGTAGAGGCCTCTGTGTTTAGGTTTTACTGAATCATGGGCAGTGACCAATGGCCTGGCCGAGTGGCCAGGCAGAAGGGCAATGGAAACCTGGCCTTTTAATGGGATGCCCATGTGGAGCACAGCCCTATGGAAATTTGAGGGGTGCATTAAAGCAGAACAAGTCAGTTCCCATCAGAAGAACTCCCTTCAAGGTTCAGAAGGTGACGGGAATCGACACGCAGATAGCCCCAGCTGCTCCCTTGAGGTGGCCACCTGGGCTCATGAAATGGGTAGATATGGAGGCACCGCAGCAGTGTAGAGATGGGCTGAATCTGGACATGTTCCCTTTGCACCCTCTCAGGCACATAATGCCAGTAAGAGCTATTCTGTCTGCCAGCAAGAGAGACAGAGACTGCCAGTGGCTATGTGGAAGATTCCCTAGTGGGAAGGCTCTAAACACAGCTAGCAAGTGAGACTGGTGCTGCGGGTCTACAAATGGGTCTTGCCTAGAATAGACACTGACTCTGGAGTGGGCTTTCCTTACTCAGTAGAAGATAGAAGTGCTCAGAGTGTCATTTAAAAAAAAATGGAACAGAAGATATTGTATGCATTTGGACAGCTGACCATCATTTCTTCAGACCAAGGGACACACTGTAAGCCCATAATGTCCAGCAATGGTCAGAGAGATCTCCTTAGAGTAAGAATTTGATAGAGAAATACAACAGGCTATTGAAATATTGGTTGTCTAAAATGGGGACATAAAAGCATGAAGGGCTGGCTTGCACGCCTTCACGAGTGTGCTCACACACACCATGAGTGGTACTAGTGTCCCCACTAGACTTTTTCCTCTGTTTTTCTGGCTGATCTGGGGAAGAGGATGTGGGAAGGATGCTAGATAACTATGCAATTCTTGCTAAGGAAGGAGTACACTGGTATAATGACTATTTTTTTCTTTCTTTCCCAACTCAGCTAAAAAAAAAAGCTTTTCTTGGCCTGGCACGGTGGCTCACGCCTGTAATCCCAGCATTTTGGGAGGCTGAGGCGGGTGGATCACCTGAGGTCAGGAGTTTGAGACCAGCCTGGCCAACATGGCGAAACCCCGTCTCTACTAAAAATACAAAAAAATTAGCTGGGCATGGTGGCAGGTGCCTGTAATCCCAGCTACTCAGGAGGCTGAGGCAGGAGAATCACTTGAACCCGGGAGGCAGAGGTTCAGTGAGCCGAGATTGTGCCATTGCACTTCAGCCGGAGCAACAGCAAAACTCTGTCTCAAAAAAAAAAAAAAAAAAAAAAAAAAAAAAACTTTTCTCTCTCCCCTGTGTGATGCAGTGATCCCGGGACCAGGGCTGCAACTACAAGTGCTGGAAACAGAGATAACTTCTAAGCAAAAAACTGTCACTGTGTTTTTAAACCTTATGTCAGAATTCCTAGGGCCCTGATGGGGGTGGGAGGTGCCTTCACCCTGTCTAGCAAAATTAGGGCTAAGAGTAAATCCAACTAGGGGGCCTGGTGGTAAGAATAGTCCACTCGTTTGGAACTTACGTAACCTTCCCGGGTATGAATGGTAATGGACTGAGGGGAGGCACTGGCTGGACTAGTGCTGCCAGCAGCCATCTGGACCACACAGTGGCCGAACCCAATGTCCCTTCCAAAGGTGGAAAAGTGCAGGTAAAAAATAAACGACTAGTGGAGAAAATGAGGAATAATACCTGAGAGTAAAGAAACGAAAAATGGGTTATAAAATGAAGGAAATCCAATACTACATTAACAACTGGAAAGAGTCTCGAACCAAAAGAGGACATTGTCTCTTTGCTTGGTATCCCCAGATGCCTGGAAGGGGGAAGCTGTGTTTGCTGGGACCACTCCTGGTTTTGGAATCTTTTCTTCAAATCTAAAGAAAGCCTGCAGGCTGGGCACAGTGGCTCACGCCTGTAATCCCAGCACTTTGGGAGGCCAAGGCGGGTGGATCACCTGAGGTCAGGAGTTCAAGACCAGCCTGACTAACATGGTGAAACCCCATCTCTACTAAAAATACAAAAATTAGTCGGGCATGGTGGCGCATGCCTGTAATCCCAGCTACTCAGGAGGCTGAGGCAGGAGAATCGCTTGAACCCAGGAGAGGTTGCAGTGAGCCGAGGTCACACCATTGCACTCAGCCTGAGAAACAGAGCGAGACTCTGTCTCAAAAAAAAAAAAAAAAGCCTGCAAACCTGAGTGGCCTCACCCTGGGAGACATTCATGCAATACAGTGCACTGGACTAATTGTTAAATGATCATATATATTCTTTTGCTGTAAGGGATCAGTGGTTGAAAGTCAGGGCATGGCCTGAGGCGTGATGATGTATCTAGACATGTTTCTATATAGAGGCGCATGGGGTGGGGGGATTTCATCCACGGTTCCCGGCTCATAACTCCCATAGCCCTTGCTACAGTCTTTTGCCATATGTTGGGTGTGTTAGGCCTCAGGGGCAGGCCTCGGGAAACAGGATCTCTCTCCGGCCCTCCTTTCCCCTGCCCCATCGCAGGACTCTAACCTTTCACCACTTTCTGATTGTGGGTCTTAAGACCCTTCCCTGAGAGAGTCCCGCCTCACACCCTAGGGGAAGGAATGCTTCCATGAAAACCCAAAAGGACTGAGTTTCGGGAGCTTCTGGGCAGCTGAGCATGTAAAGCTTCCTGGAGGGTGGCGCACTCAGGGAGGGCGTGGAAGCTCCTGCCCCTTCCCCCCAATCTCTTCATCTGTATTCTTTGTAATATCCTTTAGAATAAACTGTAAACATAGGTAAGTGTTTCCCTGAGGTCTTCGTGCCACTCTAGCAAATTAATCAAACCCAAACAGAAGGTCTTGGGAACCCCCAACTTGCAGCGGGTCTGCCAGAAGTTCTGGAAGCCTGAACTTGTGACAGGTGCCAGGGTGTGGGGGAAGTCTTGGGGACTGAGCCCCCAGCCTGTGGGATCTGACACTATCTCCAGGTAGACAGTGTCAGAATTGAATTGGAGGACACCCAGCTGGTGTCCGCTGCTCCCACCTGTTTGGCCACAGAGGTCTCCTGTGTGGACTGTTGTGGTGAGTGTAGAGGAAAAATGCAGTTGGGGAGAGTTTTCTCCAACATTTCACACCCAGCTGTTTTTGTGGCTGTTTTGGTTCTGGTTTTCCTTTTATCATTGCGACTAATATTCTTTTTTTTTTTTTCTCTCGAGACAGAGACGGAGTTTCGCTCTTGTTGCCCAGGCTGGAATGCAATGGCATGATCTCAGCTCACTGCAAGCTCCGCCTCCCGCGTTCAAGCGATTCTCCTGCCTCAGCCTCCTGAGTAGCTGGGATTACAGGCACCCACCACCTCACTTGGCTGATTTTTTGTATGTTTAGTAGAAACAGGGTTTCGCCATGTTGGGCAGGCTGGTCTCAAACTCCTGACCTCGGGTGATCCACCCGCCTCAGCCTCCCAAAGTGCTGGGATTACAGGCGTGCGACTAATATTCTTAACGTAACCCTGTGGCTTAGGAGTAGGAGAAATCTAGATTCAAATCCCGGGTGTAGTCAGGGCAGGCTTAGACCCCTATCATTACAGATTCTCCAGGCCAGAAGGGACCAAAGGTCATCTGGTTCCATATCCCTGCCAAGTACCAGTGTGTGTAAAGACTGTGAACACGGCGGAATGCTCATTTATTCACCAACCATGTGTCCAGTACCCGCTCTGTGCCTGGCGCTGTGCATGTAAAAACACAGTCCCTGCCCCCAAGGATACCACTGTCTTGCGGGGAGAGACAAACACGTCAGCAACTACAATACAATGTCGCAGTTGCGGTAACCGGGTATGAATAAGTAGCTATTGGAAACAGAGAAGGAGAATCCAATCACACTGTAGGCCAGGAGAGGAGTGTCCAGCATGGCTTCTGGAGAAATAAGCCCTGTGAGATGTTTTATTCTAAGAGGCTGTTGCAACCTATGCTTGAATCCCTCCAAAGACAAGAAACTTGCAGCCTGCCGAGGCGGTGGGCAGCTCCTCAGCCAGGCTCTCCAAACGCCACACCGCTTCCACCCCAGGAGGCTGCAGTTTTCGCATTCTAGCTTTACTGATGACGAGGGGACCCAGTGACTTGGACAGCAGCCACTGGCAAGATCCTGGGGTCTCCACTATGTCAACTGCACCGGGGAGGCCTCCTTTCTTCTCTCTGCTTCTTCCTTCCATCCCCAGCCAGCCTCAAAGGCTTCATCACAGAATTCTTTGAGTGCTGAGACCCTCCCCCAGCCCTCTCCCCAGGGTCTGAAGAAAGCCCCAGAGAAGTTGGAATAAACGAAGGCGCTTAATGGCTTGCGGTGCCATAAAGTTTTTAGAGCCGTGCGCTGGAATGAGCAGGTTCAGGCTGAGATGAATTATCCAGGGCTTTTATCAAAGGGAGTCAATAAAAACCTGAAGGAGCTTGCCCCACCTCCACAGAGTGCTCATGTCACAGTGCCGGGCCCTGTGCTCTGGAAGTAGGAACCAGGGGGCCGCGTTTTCCCCCTAACTCCATCTGCTTTCTTCCCTGTGCCTTCCTTTCTGAAATGTATTCGTTTCTATGGAAACTGTGTTGTTACTGGTATGGGAGGAGTTTAATGACATTCAGAAGTGCCAAATCAAGTCCATTTATATAACGGTTTGAAATACACATAATGGCCTATGGAATATAGGACACGGTGACAGTTTCAGTAACTGTGTACCGAGTGTGGGACAAATAGAGCAATGGAATAGTCCCCATCTCCGAGTCAAATGCACTAGGAATAACCACTATTCTTAGTACTAAAGAGCAGCACTTCTCAACCATTATTCATAAAAGGATCTCAAAACACAACACTAACCTGTTCTCAGCTCATAGAGAAAGGACCCTGGACCTCAGCTCCTCTGTGCCTGCCAAGGTTTGACTAAACATTAGGTGGGGAAGGTACAGAGGTGTGAGTGTGGCTGTGGATGCTTCCAGATGTGGAAGGGAGCAGGTATTCTATCTCGTTGCTCCCAGGACCCACCCACGTGGTGAGCCCACTGACGTCATTGCCTTGATTGACAGTCACCCCTGCGCTGTTCCTATGGCTCATTTCTGCTGGATTCAGAGATTCATCAGCACCCACTGTGTACGCAGAGATGAATGACACCTGGAGGATGCCCTTATCTTACCTCAGGTTCCCCTGGAAGCAGGCCCTAAGCAAGAGCGCTAGTGTAGTCATTCCTCATGAAGGTGCAGAGGTGCCAGCGGGAGGGTTGGAAATTGACATGGGAAAGGAGGCATCGGCATGGGGGGACCCCAAACCTGCTACCACTATGGGCAGCCAGAGCCCAGTCCCAGTAAGAAACTCTGAGAAGTGCTATTGAACACCACCTCACAGCTAGGGCACCCAAGCGGTGGGGTATTTCTGCACCAGCTCCTGTAGGGCATGGGTGGAGTGCTGCTGGGTGAGGGTGTTGTCTCCCAGCAGGTCTGGCCTGCTCTGTGTGAGGGCACAGTGGCCTCCGCAACTAAAGAGAAAGCCCTCAAGAGAAGGGGTCCAGACACCGGCAATGGGAGGTTGGCCTGAAGACGCGGGATGGTCGGGCCTGCAGATACAAGTGGGCACTGAGAGAGTCAGCAGCAGCCTGCAGAGAACTTCAGGTCCATTGGGGAGATGGGCATATAATAAAATGGCAGAAGGCAGGGCGATGGGAGAACTAAAGAGAGGTACAGATGACAGGCTCGTGGAGGACTGGAGGTGGGAAGCTATTTGTTCTGACTGAGGGGCTCCAAAAAAGCAGGGGAAGAGAGATGGAGCTGACACACAAAGACGAGGGCCAAGGAGGGTACTTTTGCACACTTGCACCATCTAATCCTCACCACGTCACAAAGTGGGTAGTGTTATCCACATTCTGAGGAGGAAGAAACAGAGGCTCAGACAGATTAGATCATCACCTAAAGGCACACAGATGTTAGAGTAAGCCAGCTGAACGCCAAAGCCTGGCCTTCTTACTTCCACCCTGCCTCGGGAGCTTTGTGTCTGGGCGACGAGGATAGGGTGACTTCCCCACCATCGTCCAGGGCAGACTTGACTAAGCCCCTATTGTGGGTCCCTGTTGATTTTTCCCCATGGCCAAGGACTGCCGTCCCCAAATCTCCCACCATTCACTGACCACAGACCCCCCACTCCGCCACTCAGGCGGCCCCTCTGATCCTGCCCCAGATATGGGCTGGGCTGACTGTGCCTAATATTGAGTGAATTTTCTGCACTGCCCAGAGGGAAAGAGAGGACACAGCCTGAGGAGGGGAGCTTCAGCTCTAGTAGTCCCCAGCAGTGGGTCCCCTACCCCGTCCTTACCCCTGCACGCTCCTCTCCCAGCCACGCTCTAATCCTCACTGCCTCCAAACACACGGGGGAGGAGGGATCACGCGTACACACAGGCAGCATTTCTGTAGCATGTTAATAGGTTTTCCGTCAGATGCAGCCTTCGTGATTAGACACGGTGGGGAGAAGCTACATGAGACCTAACAAAATGAGAGTCTTTCCTGCAGAACTTCTCAGAGACACTAATACACCAAAGGCCATGGTAAGCCACCCAAAGGGGATATGACTCACAGAGTTCCCAAACTCATTTGACCACAAAACATTTTTCCTGCAGCATGTGTCAGGACTAGTGGTCCCTGAAATCCACTTTGGGAAATAATGTTTTAGAGCCCAGATCTGCCACTAACTGGTTGTGTGAGCTTTGTCAAACAAGAGTAAATCATACCTGCCTTGTGGGGACCCACCAAGTAACATGGGTGAACACTCTTTATAAACTTGTAAAATACTATACAGATTATTTATTTGTGTGAAGCAAACACACTCAGTGTCCCAGAGAACCTTTCCTTGGAGGTCAAACAAACAAATAACAATAATAATGTTTTTTAAAAATTAGTTCTGTTCCTGTCTCAGTATATGACTTTGACCTTGATCTCTCTTGACCTCTATGTTCTCATCTGCGAAATGGGTATACTCATGATGCTAGCCCTCTTTCCTCCACGCATTTGTTGTAAGGAGAAAATATGCATCACGATTGCGTGATGCTTTGAAAAAAAGTATAAAGCACCACAGGATGCAAGGCTTTATTATCAGAGATCCGGGTTAATAGCCCCAATTCAGTCCCATTTGTGCTGAGATCAAGACAAAAGGTGTGCTGGGGAGGGAAGGGGCTAGTGAGATAAATAAAAATGACTAATAGTCTTCATCCATATTTATGATGTTAGGAGACTTGCATGAGCATGTCACCGAGGAGAGAAAATGAATATTTTATGAGTGAATGCTGAATGTTGTATTAAGATGAAATGGACAGAAAGCGGCCCGCTTGCTTCTGCCCCCAGGTTGTGCTGGGGAGGTCAGCACAGGCTCTGTGCCTGGTCTCCAAGGAGCAGGGGCAGCTCATCAGGAAGGATGAGGTCAGTCTCCCAGCACAGATTGGGAGCTGTCCAGGGTGGACTGGTGGCAGCAACCTTGCCCTGGGAGGTAGGAGAACTAAGACCCCATTCCATCTACCAGCTGGGAAGCCTTGGGCAAGTTACCATAACCTCACTGGGCCTCCATTTCCCACTGTAAAATGAGAAGATCAACCCTGAACAATTGTGAGGTCTAAATCCAAGCTCAGCTGTTTGGAGGAGGGTTTTGTAATGCACACAAGTGGGAAGTGTTATTATTCATGGATACATTCAACATTTATTGAACATCTACTATGTGCCAATCACTGCCACAGCCCCTTATTTATCATATATCCTGTGTGCCAAACACCACAGTCATTACTTTACACACATCACTTCATTTAATCATCACCAGAATCTTGAGAGGTATCTATTATCACTCACATTTTCCACATAAAGAAAATGAAACTTAGGAAAGACAAATAACTTGCCCAAAGCCACACAGCTAGGAAATAGCAGAGCCCAGGACTGTATGAAGCCAAAACCCTGAGTTCTACATTAAATGGCCCTTGCCTCAGGTACTTCTGCAGCGCCAGTGGGGGCCCTGCCCTGCAACCCTTGAAAGCTCTTCCCTGTTCTGCTCATGCTCTGTGCTTCCTACCACCAATGCCCTCCAGAACCAGAAGAGAAAGCCTTGCCACCTTCTGTCTGGGCCCTCATGATATCCTCCTTTATTCTCCAACCCTGCTCCCTTCCTTCTCCCTGAAGGCCTGTTCTCCATAATGCAGTCATCCAGGAGTTCTTTATTTTATTTATTTTATTTTATTTTATTTTATTTTATTTTTAAAAATTGAGACAGGGTCTCACATGTTGTCAGGCTGGTCTCGAACTCCTGGGCTCAAGCAATCCTCCCTCAATGGCCTTCCAAAGTGCTGGGATTACAGGCGTGGGCCACCGTGCCTGGCCCAGGGACTCTAATTTCCATCCCTATTCATCTCTTATCCCAGGCAGGCATCAGGTGGTATAAAGACTGAACACCTCCCACCCCTGAAAGCAGCAAGGACAGATGGGGCAGTGCAGGGTGAAGCTCAGCCATGTCTCCCCGATCCAGATAGATATCTCTGGAGGCAAAGACGGCTCCCCTTGGTGCCAGCTCAAAGCTCCTGGCTCACTCCCGTCCACCACACAGCACGAGGACACCACTATCTCTGCAAATCTCTTCCCTATAGGGCAGTTTCATGTTATCTTGGCTCATTCCTTCTCCCGAGATGAAGAGATTGTTTTAAACCTGCCGCCCCACCAGTTCTGCTCTTGGCTTCCAATGCCATTAAGTTTCATTATAACAAATAAACACCACAATGACATTTATAAGTTATCACTGAGCACAGAAGCACAAATATGAAGCAGATAAACTGCATTTGATCCAAATAATTACTGCAGGCAATATTGGGCTTAGTCTGAGCTGGCAGCCGGGTACCAAGTAATTTATTAGATTGCGTAAGGCAATGTTGCACGTTGAGTTTTTCATTATTGTGTCTTCTCCCCTCTCTGTGGCCTAAATAGGTTAGAGGAGTTTAGACAGTGCATGGCCAAACAAAGACAGACTTTGCTCAAGCAGATTAAGGCCAGGAATGTCGGCCAAGTGTCCAGGAATGGCTGCTTCCCAGGCAGCAACGGACTTGCAAGAGAAGAAAGGGCTTAGGCGATTATCTTGATGCTGCCAACCAAGGACAGCTCCCTGCACTCTCCACCCACTGGCCCAGATACAAAAAGCAGCCCCGTGGAGGGAGTAAATAAATGACAGGGCCCATTTGCTGTCCTGCATGGAGCCCCCAGGACACCGACTCTGGGTTCCTGCTGCAGACTCTCAGCCAAAGACCCTCTATGGAAAGTCCCTTCCATAGCCCCAGGTAGCCCCGGGCAGTCCCACCCCCAGTCCCAGACCTATCATCCTGCAATAAATCAAGGGAAGGAAGCAGTCTGCCAGCCAACTCTGCAAAACAAAGAGAAGAGAACTGGCTGCAAGCAGCTGCCTCCCTGCCAAACCCAAACTCATAAAGTTTGATTCAAGGGGTTACAATACCTCCCATTCAGAATCCCTCCTGCCCCGTTCTTCCAGCCTTAGTAAATTACCCAATAAGCAGCAAGGACCTGCAGTTATTGTGCAGTTAAATGGTATTTGCCCCGTAAATTCTGAGCAGAGTACTAACCGTGATATACAGTAACTAATTACAGACATGAATGCTCTCCCCAAGATGCCGCATGTTACCAAATATCGTTGCGTTTAGGAGAGGGGGGTTGAAAGCTGCTCTCTTCTCTCCAGTGAAGCCATGAGTAACTCTCTTATTAGAGGAGCTGTCGCCACCTCCAGGGGCACTCCATGCTGGAAAATAGAGTTGTCCTGGGGAGCAGACAGGAGTGGGGCCACATGCCCATGTGCTGCCCCCTGACCCCGTGCCCCAGCAGAAGGGCCTAGCAGGTACCGGCTGGTCCTCCTTGGGTCATCTCACAACAAATAAGTGGCTCAGCACCACGGTGGCAGTGGCAAAGACCCAAGGCTCCAGCAGGGCAGGAAATGGAAGTCATTATTCACCCAGCCCAAGGCCGAGCAGAGAGAGCTATGGCTAGGGATCGGCCTTTGCAAAGGGCTTCTGAATAAGGCCACACAGGATTAGGATTAAAAGTGGTGCCAACGACTTTTGCCCTGAAGTATTGGTGACAGAGCTGATCTCAGCCCCAAGGGCACCATGGGAGAGGTTTCCGTGGTCTTCAGGAAGGGCAGGGGCTGTCCTATCGGCTTCCCATCAGCTTTATAGCTGTTTTTGGAGCTCAGCTGGGGGCAGGTAGGGGGCACAGTAGTGAGTCTCTGCTTTCTGAAGAGGAAACCACACAGATCAAACACCCTCTGCTGACCGGCTACTGTTGGGGGAAAAAAAGCCAGGCCTGGAGTCAAATGGCTCAAACCCTACCTCTACCACACCCTGTGACCCTGGATGTGTTAGTTAACCTCTCTGAGTTTCCTTGTCCGTAAAATGGGAAAGATTTTCTATTTCTCAGGATGGTGGATATGAGCCAGGGCTACACCTGCTTCTAAGGAGTTCTGTCCTGCTGGAAAAGCAGAAAGCTTCCCCTCCTAGGCTGGGCGTCTCCGGCAGTCCTCACACTCCCTCTCCATCCTTTCAAGGGGCTTCCAGCACAAAACCTCTCCTTGAAACATCTCTACTTCCAACAATCAGAGAGACTAGGGCAGTAATGGCAAGTTAGTTTTGCTTCGTTCTCTTTGATTGATGCAGACCAGCTGAGGCTTTGCAGGGCCTCTGTTTGGGGGGTGACAGGAGAGGCAGAGTGGAGTAGAATAGGGCAGAATTGGGAGGGTATATTCACGGGGGACATCTGGCTTGGAGCTGTGATATTCAAGTCTCTACATGGGGGCTGATGATGGGACCTGCTCCACGGGGTGCTATGAAGGTGGATTAGGTAAGATAATGTATGTGAAGTGCTTTGTATCGGAGTTAGTTGTGGTTAATATCCCAAACCCACCAGAAGACGGCCCACAATCCCAGGGCAGTGAGAAGTATCACTTTTTTAATTAGGACACATATATAGTCAGCACTCAAGTATCTGTTGGCAAATTGTCCCCATTCCTGGCAAATGCTATCACCAAGTTTGCTTAATGAAGTCCTCTGTTAACATTTCACAGCTTCTTATTTTACTCTTATTTGCATAAGGTCCAAAGGGAATAAAAGTCCTTTAAAGGCAAAATCTGTTAATATCCCCCTCCCTTCCTAGATAAGGTGTGAGCCATAAAGACAGGAGATGGGGAAGGTGGGGTGCACCTGACTGTAGCTTTGGGCCAGTCCCAGAGGTGATGTTCTCCCCTCAGCTGAGTAGGAGGCAGAGAGGGAGCCCCACCCTTGGGTTGAGTGTTTTTTTTAAGTATGAAAAATTCCTAGAACATCAAACATATCCATATTCAAATGTGAATATCAAAATGCATTCCAAAGTCGAAAATGAATGTTACTTAGGATTATTCACTGTTTTGGATTGTCCATCATTCTAGATTATACACACCCTGCTCTTCTCCACTAACAAAGATAATTAAGAGTTGATTGTATTTGGTCTCCAAGAGGGGAGAAACCCAGGACGTTGCCCCAAGATGGTCTGTGTCCAGTTGGGAACAACTCCAGGAACCATGAGAAGACTCCTCTATAAGCACCAGGTCTGAGCTGTGATTCTCCATGCAGGCTCAGAGAGCAAGACCAAGGCACCTCGTGCTTCAGACCAGCCTGCCTGAGTCACTCAGTGCACGCCGGGTGGGCCTGCTTTCACACCGTCAGTGGGATATAGCCACGTGGTCCTTCACAGGACACCTGAAGAGCATCAAAACTGCACAGGGCCTTTGGAATCCTTGAGCATTGCACAGAGGGTCCTGAGGGCCCGCTGCAGGGCTGCCGAGGGCAGGACTCGGTCCTTCCCGCGCTGCCTCAGCTCTGCCTCCACCGTTTTATACACTGGGATTCCCTGTGAGACTTCACTGACAAAAAGGGTTGCATGAACTTTCAAAAGGTGTGAAAATGCCTTCACTGTGCAGTGGGAACATCAATGCGCACCCCGAGAGAGAGACAGCCACTTAATCAAGGCCACCCAGTGACAGAGCCTGAACTAGAAATAACCCAGGCCCACAAGCCCGTGCTGTGGGCACACAACAGTGCCCTTAGGATGTGGCCCAGAAACCGCCTGCAGAAGGATGACCCAGAAGCTATTAAAATGCAGATTCCTTGACCCAGCTCAGAGCCACTATCCCAGAATCTCTGAGTTGGAGCCCAGGAAACTGTTATTTTTAGCCAGTCCCCCAGGTGATCCTCATGCACATGGAAGTTTTAGAACCGTCTCTGACTGACAAGGCTATAGCAGCATAAATGATTATTTTGTTTACTTTTTTTAATGTTTAGGATATAGATCTGAGCCCCCAAAAGGCCAAGTGTCCTTGAGAGACTTGCTTTCACTTCTTTGCACCTTGATTTTATTATTTTCAACCTTAGGACCACCCCCCACCCCCGAAATAGGATTTTGGATAAGTTAGAACATCAAGCATTAGGGTTGGGAGGAAGGCGCTTAAACCTTGCATTTTACAGATAAGGCATCTGAGTCTTAGTTAAAGAGTCAGGCCCAAGGGCACACAGCTAAGAGGTGGCAGAGGCAGCATCAACTGGTACCTTCTGGGCCCAGGACAAGGACAAAGCTTCATGTGTCCATACAGTACCCCTTAGACATGGGAGCAAGAGGTGCTGGGCATCTTGGAGTCAGCCAATCCATGACCTAGCCTCCAGCCTCTCCTGGTGGTGCCCACGCTGACGCCCTCTGAGAGGGGTTGATGGGCACTCTGTCTGCTGTAGCCGAGCCTGCCCATAGCCGAGCCTGCAGCTCCCTCTTGAGCTAATGGCATAGTTCCATCCCTGCCCCTTAGTGCCACTCTCTTCCTTCCATGCTGCTCCAACACATCCCAAGGTGCCGGCTCAGTGAGGGCACATTCCAGTCAGAAGACACAAGAGCCTGAGACTCAGAGAAGAAAGGGGGCTTAGCCAGGGTCCCATGGCTGGCCAGCAACAGGCCTGAGACCACAGCCAGGGTCTCTGCTTCATGCGCTGTCGAGCATCTCCCATCTCCACTCCCCCACCATAAACCCACTCTGCTATGCCCGTCCTGTCTCATTTAGACCTCCAGGTGACCTCGGGCAGGGATGGATGGGCTCTGCCATGGGCACTGAAGAGCCCATATTTCCAGCAGCACTTATCAGTGTCTTCGTGGCATCCAGGCCTTGGCTGGATCGATGGAAGAATCCCTCTCCCTGCCACTAATGAGTACAGTGCAGGCTTTGGCAGGGGCCGCGAGCCTGATCATCAGTAGGCAAAGGATTTATAGTGACTTTGGACTCACCCTGCCTCGGCCAGCCCGATTGCTCTTCGTTAAAGACCCACACTGTCCAGGACAACCTTGGTGGATTTTGTGTCCTGGGAGAGAAGTGCGAGGCTGGGAGAATCACAGGCTGCCCACACTGGCTCAGCCCGGGTGAGGAACAAGCATAGGGGAATGTGCCCTCAGACTTTCCACCCCCTCATCCAGCCCTGGGAAGAGCAGTCAGCCTCTTTTTTGTAAGTCCAAGTAAAATTCTAGTGCAATTTCTGTAATGTTCATGAGACTGGCAAGCTTCTCCTTACGTGTGTATCAGAATCAAGCTACCAATGGCTGCAGGTGGCGATGCTGGGATGGAAAGTGTTTCTTTGTCTCTCTCCCAGTAGAAATCAAGGAGAAACAGACAATAGAGAAAAGGCCCTGTCTTCTACCCCTGCCTGGTTCTTCTGGCTTCTCTGTTTATATTTCCAATCCCAGTCTAAAGGGAGAAGATTAGGTTAGATGATCTCTTGCCATCCCGATATGGTTCAAAACCTGTGCAAACCTCAACAAGATTTAGATGTTTCACCCAAGGCAGCTACTCCCAACACTCCCAGACTGGAGTAACCTTGTCCCTCTTAGATAGTCACAACAACATCTATAACTTTCCATATTTGGAGTTGAATTATCAGGTCAACACCAAGTGAGAGGACACCTGAAAATACTTCTCCTACTGCCTGACCCATAGGTAGTGCTCAGTCAGTGTGAGTTCTTCACACCTCCTTCCCAGCTCCAGAACCATTGACCCAACTACATCTGGGACAGCATCACCTGGGGGATTCTGGACCCCTCTCCATCAACACATTTAAAACTGAACTCACTGCCTCACCTCAAGCGCGCTTCTCCTCCTGAGCAGCAAATGGCTCCTCCATCATCCATTCACACTTTCATCTTCCTCATCCCTGGTCAAGTACTATCAGTTCTACCCCCAAATGGCTCCTAAATCCATTTCTTCTTTCCATTGATGCAGCGTTAGCCTGAGTCCTCATGACAGCAAAACCTTGCTGATCAGTCTCCCTGTCTTCAGATTATCCTCCTTCATTCATCCTCCTCCCTGTCATCACCGTGATATTTCTAAAACTCAGATCTGAGCATGTGGGTCAAAAACCTTTGATGACTTCTCATGAAGTACAAACTTCTTGGCACACGTTCAAGGGCCCACACGGTCTGACCCACCAGGACTTTCTAGATTTGCGCTGTACTAAGAGAGTCTGCACACACATGCTCCGTGCACCCAGCCTGCTAGGCTTGTAATGATACTGCCAGCTGCCATTATGGAAGGCAGGCAGGGCTCTGTGCACATCACAGAGAATGACCTATTTCATTCTCACAAACAACTCAACAAGTATTGATTGCTAAACCAATGGGGAAACTGAGGCTCAGAGGGACTAAGCAATTTGCCCAGGGACCCACAGCCATAATGGCAGGGTCAGAGATCAAGCCTAGACCATGTGGCACTGCTGCTTTTATTCCATGAACACATCTGTTCTCCACACTTGACGTAAGCTGTTCCCCATTCCAGGGAACATTCCCACCTTGTCTTCATCCTGGCCATTTCAGAAGCCAACCCTTCTGTGACTCCTTCTTTGGGACTTTGTGCCTCACTCTGACGCTTATGGTGTAGAGCTTTTTATTCTAGTTTCTTCTGCACATATTTGCCTCCCCGCAGCTCCAGAGCCTACTCAGCGGAAGACATATCAGCCCCTCCTGCACACCCCACACCCAACCTGGGGACTTGGAGATTGCTGAGGTGGCTCCTGCTCATGCCTGAGGCACCATGGCATCCTGAGAGCTGAAACAGTGACTGAAACCCCCTAGAACCTCCATAAAAATCCATTTTTATCCGTCAGTCAGTGGGTCAGAACATACTCTATCACCCCCAATCCTGTTCCCCGAGCAGGTCACCAACTGGGCATTCTGGAAATTTCTCAAAGCTGATCCTCCTGTGTTAGATGCTGGCCCTGTGCTGAGCAGCAGGAACACAGCAGAATTCAAGACTTGGGTTTCGAGGTATGAACTGAGTCACGCTGCCCTTGTCTTTCCCACCCTACCCGATATTGTTCTGATGTCACCAGGAGCCACTGAGCTGACTTCTTCTCTCCTTCCCTTCTTCCTATTTGCTTGCTTCTCTGGAGGGGCAGCTTCCCTTAATCTCATAAGAGGCAATTTACAAGCTCCAGGCTGGGAGAAAGCCGGCAATAAATAACCCCAGTATAAGTATTCTTAAGCCTTCTCCAATTGGTCACTAATAAAAGGCAGATGGTGACATTTGAGCCCTTTTTGCATGGCTGACACAACACTCCAGGAGGCTGTGAAGCCAACCCGGATGAGCAGAAGAGGCAAAGCCAATGGGAGGGCTCACCCACTGTCTCCCGCACCACCCATGCAGGTTTCTAATGGGTGCAACTTCAAATTTGCAAAGCCTCCATTCTCAGCCTTGGGACTCTGCAAGACAGGTGCTGCTCTGGCCCCTGTTTTAACAGTCCCAAGCTCAAGAAAGAGGCAGAGCCAATGGGAGGGCTCACCCACTGTCTCCTGCACCACCCATGCAGCATTCTAATGGGTGCAACTTCAGATTTGCAAAGCCTCCGTTCTCAGCTCTGGGACTCCGCAAGACAGGTGCTCCTCTGGCTCCTGTTTTAACAGTCCCAAGCTCAGGAAAGACTTGTGGATAGTGACGAAAGTAAGAATGACCCTTTGTGAAACACCTGTCTACCAAGATCATTTACATATAAAACCTCTCATGCTCACAGCAGCTTTGCCAGGGAGGCGTGTCATCCCCATTTTTCAGATAGGGAAACTGAAGCTCAGAAAGGGTGAGTCACTGGCCTCAGATCACACTGCTAGGTACAGGGCCAGAGTTCCTTCCTAGGGCTGACTGACCCTGTGTTCTTCCTACTGTCCAGGACCCAGGCTCCGACAGGTGACCCATCGGTTAGGTACTCCAGGCAGGTGACAGAGGGTGACCCATCACTCATGTTTTTGCTTATATTTTTTTTCCTACCCCAGAATGACATTTCTCCTCCATTACTTTCCCCATATTATGATTCCTCCTCCAGGATGCCTTCTCTGCTTCCTCCCCACAACTCCCTTGCTTGAAGCAAGATTCTCTTAAACCCCTGAAAAGCTTTATATGACTTCTCTATGAGACCACTTTATCCCTTGTAATCCAGTAACCTGTGGTCAAATGTGACCATCCAAGACTCTCAGCGAGTTTCACAGAATGTCCTGAGAGTTGAGGGGTGCAGGCAGGGTTTCAGCTGGGCTGCCCACACTCACAGGCATGCAGGCGGGTGTGTGCATGTGTCAGCACCAGGCTCCTTAGAAGCAAGGACAAGCATTTCCATCCTTATATTAGTGACCCTCACTTCCTGTCCAGGTCTGACTGGGTTTAATCCTAAGGGGAGTGGTCATGTCCCCTCAATCTGCTGCTGGAACAAAGGCCAGGCCAAATAACCAGTGGAGAAAGGGGAGGCAGGGATTGAGCCCACCCTTGAGCCACCTCCTGCCTGCCTCTGAGCCGCCTCCAAGCATGGATGGAAAGAGAACTGCACAGGGGTTGGGTGCAATGGCTCATGCCTGTAATCCCAACCTTTTGGGATGCTGAGAGTGGGAAGATCACTTGAGGTCAGGAGTTCGAGACTGGCCTGGTCAACTTGGTGAAACCCTGTCTCTACTAAAAATACAAAAATTAGCCAGGCATAGTGGCACATGCCTGTAGTCTCGGCTACTTTGGAGGCTAAAGCAGGAAAATCACTTGAATCCAAGAGGCGGAGGTTGCGCTGAAGCCGAGATCGCACCACTGCACTTTAGCCTGGGCGACAGAACGAGACTCAAAAAAAAAAAAAAAAAAAAAAAAAGCATTGCCCAGGGCCATGAGGGGATACTCAGCACCCCCGATCCCACATCAGGCTCCAGGGCAGAGTCTGCATCAAAGCTTTATCTCCCCTGTTACACAACCATCCCAAATCCCACACTCTTTGTACTAGTCCATGCTGCCCTGTAGATCTGTGCCTCTCACCACCACTGTGGAACCACAGTGCAGAGACATGTGCCTATGGGGTAGCAATAGACTTGGGACAGTGGAGTTCCAGAATGCATCCCTAGAAGATTTAGGGTTGGCAGTTGTGGGTGGCAGGGAGGAGTAAGCAACGGCTCCTCTGAGTCAGATCCCAGCCTCTATGGGCACCAGGATACTGGGCCACCTTCCTATCCGATACACACACACACACACACAGACACACACACCATAGTACCAAGGCCTTTGGACCCCAAAGACGAACCAGATCACTGTTCCTTCCAAAGTTCCCCAAGATGGCCCTGCCAGGGCCTATGCTTTCCAACATTCTGTAAAACTAAGAAAAATTCATTCAACCAAGATCTTTTTTTTTGAGATGGAGTCTCACTCTGTCCCCTAGGCTGGAGTGCAATGGTGCGATCTTGGCTCACTGCAACCTCCGCCTCCCAGGTTCTATGGATTCTCCTAGAAAAATTCATTCAACCAAAATCTTTTTTTTTGTGATGGAGTCTCACTCTGTCCCCTAGGCTGGAGTGCAATGGTGCGATCTTGGCTCACTGCAACCTCCGCCTCCCAGGTTCTATGGATTCTCCTGGCTCAGCCTCCTGAGTAGCTGGGATTACAGGCACGCACCACCATGTCCCGCTAATTTTTGTATTTTTAGTAGAGACGGGGTTTCACCATGTTGGTCAGGCTGGTCTCGAACCCCTGACCTCAGGTGATCCACCCGCCTCAGCTTCCCAAAGTGCTGGGATTACAGGCGTGAGCCACCGGGCCCAGCCCTCAACCAAAATCTTAAGTGCTTGATAAGGAATAGAAGCAGCAAATGTCTGGCTGGAGAAAAGGTGGGGTTGAGGCCAATTCAGTTAATCTGACAAACACACCCACGTGCACACACACACACACACACCCGACCCAGCACCCTGCAGTGCTGCCCTAAGACCATCACACCGAGTGACGTGGCCCTTGTAATCTGCGCCTTCCATGGCAAAATGACTCTTCCCCCTCAGGAAATAATTAGGGATTGAGGGGCAACCTCAGAATGGGGCCACAGGTGTGCAAGTCATAGAGAAACATGGGGTCTTCTGCATTTCAATGTTTCACTGGAAGTTGGTGGGGACTTTGGGAGCCAGATGGTGATGGTTCATTCCGTGATAATGTGTGCTGCGAGTCCCAGAAAAGAGATTAAGATGAGGGCGCTGCATCCAGGTTGGAAGCCGGGTGGGCTGACAGGAGGCAGGAGTAAGCGCAGGAGGGAAATCTAGAGGGGGCTTTTGGGAAGAGCAGTCAGGAGGAGTCCCGATGGAGGAGGGTGGGGAAACAACTGGGGAAGACATCCAGCCCCACCACTGATCTGAGGATGCCATCTGCCTGCTCCCAGCTCTGCCCCATAACCAGAGCCCCCAAAAGGCCACCAAATGCTCCACCTCCTGCCCACCTCCCTAGGCCAGGCCACACCTGTCACTGCTGCTGCCACCTCCACACTTCCTCCCACCAGCCACTCACCAGCACTGGCAACAGTGCCAGCTGTCCTGACTCAGGGACGCCACGTGGCCCATCAGGACAGGGTTCATCCAAGCCCCCCTCCCCTTTATTGTTCCCAGCCAGAAACAGCCACTGCTTCCTGCAATTTGGAGACAAGGCTGCAAAAGGCCCTGCCTGCTCAGCACCTCGACCTCCTGCTCCCACTCCTGAAGCTTCTACCTTCTCAGGTAGGGCAGAGAACTTGGCACGAGGGGGTGGCAGACCCAGGCTCTCCTCTGATTCTGCCACTCTCCTCAAAGGGAAAAGCAGCTGCCTTACCCAGTGGTCTAAAGGGCCCCCGGGACAGATGGCGCAGTGCTCTCTCGGCCCCTGCAGGTCACAACAGCCTGGGTGTGCAGGGGAGACGCACAGGCTGGGGGCAAGCATCCCAGACAGGGACTCTCACTCAGAGACAAAGGGCTTTGTCTCAGAACCCTGGGACCCTGCCCCGCAGAGCCTCCCGCTTTCAGGAACATGACCTACCTTCCAGGCGGCGAGCAGGAAGGTGCTTCTGCAGCCACCTAACCAAGCGAATGTGGGAGAGAGACCGCTGTGTTTCCCAGGCCTGCTCCTCTGCCATGCCCAGGCAGGTTCATGCACACGCAGCCTTTTTCTACTAACGGAAGCTAGTTCAGCGCCAGTCAGATGCGGAGCCAAGCCAGCCCTCATTGGCCCGGGAGACGCCCCCTACCCCTTCCACCCCAGTAGCCCCCTTGCAGCCCTGGGGGAACATTCTCCCACCTCTTCTCCCCCACAGGGCATGGCTCACAGCAGCTGGCCAAGGCTTCCAACACCTGAGCTCACCTACCACAAACACCAGCCTTGAGACCCACCTGAGAACCCATGGATGCTACACTGAGGTCCTCCTGCAAAGAGAGTACATCCTTGTCTTTAGTGAAAACTGTCTCTTCAATAAGTCATTGGATAGTAATTAAAAGTCCACCCTTGCCTCCCCCTTTCACACCAATAGAGAGCCACCTGCCATTCCAGGTCACGCTTCCCGTCGCCCAGCCCTATGGAGCTCAGCCTGCGGCCTGGTGTTCAGGACAGAGGGTGGCTTTGAGAGAAGAAGGTCGGTTTCCCCTGAGCATTTGTTGTGAGCCAGCCCCGGAGTCAAGTGGCCCAGATGCATCCTCTCTATCTCCACAAGGTGGTGGTATTATTGTCCCCATTTCACAGATAGGAAAATGGAGGCTCAGCAAGTTCATGGAAGTGCCAGGATTCAAACCCAGGTCAGTCTGATTCCTGAGCCCCATTCATTACCACTGCACTATCTGCCTTCATCCCAAGGGGCTTGTCCAGTCCAAATGGTGAAGGGAGAGAGGGGTTCTTTGGAGTGAGTGATGTGGTTGTGAGGGTCAAGGGTGACTGGAGGACCTGCAGGTCTGCGCTCACCTTCTCAGGGAGCTAAAGAAGGTGAACATAGGCTTCAGTCACTCTTGGATAGCTGGTCAACTCTGATCCACCCAGAGAACTGTGTTCATGAGGACATTATACACAGAACTGATGAAGTGAGCTAGTGTACATTATTCTTCCTGAGTTTCCTTGAGACTTTTCAGTACTGGCCAAGGGCAGTGGGAGAGGGAGGTCTAAGGTGGGTTCTATGAGTTCCTGGGGGCGAGGACTAGAGGCACAGTGGGCGAAGTCCAAATAAGGACGCAAAGAGGCTGCTCTGGAACCAGACTGCTGGGCTCATATCCCTTCTCACTGCCAGTGCTGTGGGCCCCAGACAACCTCATCTTCACGTAGGTGTGATACGGTACCTATCTCATAGGACTCTTTAGTGAGTCAATAAAATAATCCAGGTAAAGCTTTTATTATATGCTTGACATTCTGTAAAAGTTACCTATTACTAGCTGGGCATGGTAGCTCACACCTGTAATCTCAGCACTTTGGAAGGCTGAGGCACGAGGATTGCTTCAGGCCAGGAGTTTGAGACCAGCCTGGGCAACATAGCAAGACCCTGTCCCTACAAAAAGTTAAAAAATAGAAAAGTTAGCAATTACTAATTTTATAGCAATAAAAATATTTATGATACATAATTATAAGCTATATTATAATATAATTATATTAAATAGCCATTTTAAGTAATAATTATAAGTAATGGTAACTAGTACACCTCCTTTCTTTTAATCTTCCTATGGTGGCCAGTACTAAACTTTACCCTCAACCGTTTCAGTGTTACTGACCAATAGGTGAAGAGGAGCCTACACACAGAAACTGAGGGAAAAACCAAGAAATCACTTTTCATTCTAAAGATCTTCTACCTCCCTTTAGATCATCTGGGCCAGGTGTAGTGGCTCACGCTTATAATCCTAGCACTTTGGGAAGCCGAGGTGGGCAGATCACTTGAGGTCAGGAGTTCGACACCAGTCTGGCCAACATGGTGAAACCCCGTCTCTACTAAAAATACAAAAATTAGCCAGGCATGGTGGCAGGTGCCTGTAATCTCAGCTACTCAGGAGGCAGAGGCAGGAGAATCCCTTGAACCCAGGAGGGGGAGGTTGCAGTGAGCCGAGAACACACCATTGCACTCCATCCTGGGCGACAAGAGCAAGACTCCGTCTCAAAATAAATAAATAAATAAATATAAAAATAGATAAATAATCTGAGTAGGCTGCCTTGTTGGTGGAGTGAGTACTTGCTTAAGAATCAAAATCTGGGCTTGAGACCCTTGATTCAACAACCTACATCGGATAGTGGTGAGAAAATAGGGCTGTACCCAGACCATTGGGGTTTGAGTGACACCTGAGCTAATCAAGTGAACTTGTGCAAGTCCCTGCATTTCTGTGAGCCTTGGTTCATCTATAAAATGTGGTTAATTACAGCTAATCTGCATGCCAGAAACAACGTATACAGCCAAAGATGTGGCATCAAGTAAATCTTCCATGAACAGCAGTTATTTTTTTCTCCTGTCAAGCCTGATTCCTAGAGACTCCAGCCCACCCTGTGATTTCTCACCTTTCTCCTGTGTGGTGTGCTCTGAACAGTATCTGCCGGGTTAGTAGTTCATAATGCAAAAGCAATTTTCCTGTAGTGACCACCGATCTCAGCAGACCAACCAGAGCAGGCAAACTCTAAGTACAAAGGCACATGTGACAGACGTGTAACCGGTGCTCACCCACAGCTGGGAACACAAGACAGAAAAGATAGCTGTGGCCCCTGCCCTCAAGAAGTGTACACTGTTTCTTCCTTATTTCTGTTTCATCAGCATCTGACATATAGTAGGTGCTCAATAAAGGTTTGGAGAAATTGATGAAAAAGAGGCAAGATGAGAATATAGAGAGAAGACGAGAAAAAAGAAGATTCCATCTGGGTCACAGGAGCTGCCTGGGGAGAGAACTGGGCCTTCAATGATAGGTGGGGTTGCTTAGGGGGGGCCTTGGGTGGGGGAGCCTTGGGTGGGGGGATGCAGTGCATCCCAGGACAATGAAACATCGAGGAGAACTCGAGGCAGGTGACCTTAGTGACTAGCCAGCACGGGGGTGCTGTGGAGCTCCCAGGAAGAAAAGGAGCTGGATTTTGGAGATTAGAATCCAGCATGGGAAGTTGGGCGTTGTCCCGCAGAGAGTGGAGAGCCATGAGAGGTCCCACCCCTTAAAAGAGGGGAACCCTGAAGCAAGTGGTGAATTAAGACGGAAAATCCAGGTTCAGCACATTAATGGATCAGGCAAAGAGAACATTCAGAGTCTGTGGCAAGAGCCCAGGTTGAGGCAACGAGAGCTTGAACTTGGGTGCTAGCAGTGGGAATAGAGAGGAAAGGGGAAGTCTGAGAGATGTACAGCCTGCTGGGCTAGGCTCAGTGATGGTGACAGACTCAAAACAAAGCATGGGGCCGGGCATGGTGGCTCACGCTCGTAATCCCAACACTTTGGGAGGTCGAGGCAGGTGGATCATGAGGTCAGGAGTTCGAGACCAGCCTGGCCAATATGGTGAAACCCTGTCTCTACTAAAAATACAAAAATTACCAGACATGGTGGTGAGTGCCTGTAATCCCAGCTACTCAAGAGGCTGAGGCAGAAGAATCGCTTGAACCCGGGAGGCAAAGGTTGCAATGAGCGGAGATCGCACCACTGCACTCCAGCCTGGGCAACAAAGTCAGACTCCGTCTCAAAAAAAAAAGAAAAATAAAAATAAAGTATGGGAAGGGGAGATTGCACCGGCCGCCAAGGCTTCACACCAGGGGAACATCATCAGGGAAAATGCGAAGCGGAGAAGATGGAAACCCTGGGCCGGTGGAAGGTGCTGGGTGTGTCACATCTCCACTGAGAGCAGGACCTGAGCCTGTGAGGCACCTACTCTGTGCTCCATCTGAGACGCCCAGGTGTGATGGGGAGGGGGCACAGCTGCGAGCTCCTGGAGGGGTGGCCAGGCCTGTTCCCCTGCTCCTCACCAGACAGCACAGTGCCTGCCTCACAGCAGGGTCCGGTCAGTGTGTGTGTGGAAGAAACAGGTTCTCAGGAGCTCACTGTCTACTTAAGGCACTATCCAGGAGGCTGCAGAAAATGACCTTGGGCTCACTTGCATTTCACTTCTTTGGAGTAGAAAAGAAAATGGGGAAAATAAAGCAAGTAGAGGCCAGGCATGGTGGCTCATGCCTGTAATCCCAGCACTTCAGGAGGCTGAGGTGGGAGGATCACTTGAGGTCAAGAGTTCAAGACCAGCCTGGCCAACATGGTGAAACCCTGTCTCTATTAAAAATATGAAAATCAGCCGGACATGCTGGTGCATACCTGTAATCCCAGCTGCTCAGGAGGCTGAGGCAGGAGAATCACTTGAACCGGGAGGCAAAGGTTGCAGTGAGCCAAGATTGCCCCACTGAACTCCAGCCTGGGCGACAGAGTGAGACTCAGTCTCAAAAGAAAAGAAAGAGTGGGTGGGTGAGGAGCATTCTTCTGGCAATAACTTACATCCATGGCTCAAAAGCTGTGCTCTGAGGGGCTCTTGAGCCCAAAGGAGAGGCCCTAAGGTCTGTCAGATGGATGAAAAAAAAAAGTGGGTTCCATCCCTCCATCTCCACCTTCATCCAAAGCACCTCAACTTTTATCCACTCTAGATACTCAGTAACAGTTTAAGATTCATTTGAAAAAAAAAAAAAAAACTCATTGGTTTAAAAGAGAAAAGTAATTATAGTGACTCAAATGTAATGTGCAAAAATTAAAATTGGACTGAAAAGGGACATTGTCAATTAGAGTACTGTCTCCCATCCCCAAAAATAATAATTTGTAAATCATGTCCTTTGGGTGGATTTTTCCTGTGTACTCATCTTCCCCAGAAACAGTCTTTCCATAGAAAAGCCAAGTGGATCAAGCAGACAGAATGCGAGAGGCTCTAGGAAGGTCTTTTTTTTTTTTTTTTGAGACCGAGTCTCACTCTGTCACCTAGTCTGTAGTGCAGTGGGGCGATCTTGGCTCACTGCAACCTGTGGGATCCTACACCTCCAAGCCTGCTCAGATGGCATCGGGAGATGCTCCCCCTCAAAAGGCCCTCTCCCGCTCAGCCCCATCCCATCAGGCTCCTTTCCTACAGACCCCAGGTCTTATTCCAGGCATCTTGTGCCTGCTGCCACCCCTGGCTCTGAGACACCCACCAAAAGGGTCTGTGGCCACTCAGAGTCCACCTCCATGGCCTGCTTCAACTGATCCCCCTTCCCAGCGTTGCCTTCCTCCAGAGCCTGGTTTCCATGGTGATAGCCCCCTCCTCTCCCTGGGGGCTCCAGCCGGTCCACAACTTACCCTTGGCCCTCGGATGCTTCTTGCACCCCACTTCCCCGGGGGCCCTCACCCAGTACCTCCCGCGCCTTCCTCCAAGAGGACACAGGACGGGGAGAGACCGGGACGGTTACCCACTGTGGGTGCTTCCTAATAATGGACATCTCAGAGGGCTCGGGCACTGCTTCATTTAAGGGGCTCTCATTATAACCCCCTCCACGTCCACCTGACAACCTGATAATTCTCTCTGATAGCACAATCTTTGGCAGTTACTGCAGCTGCCTTGACTCTGTCCTTCTTGTAAGAAAGATTTTGAGATAAAAGGATGAGCTGTGAAATCATCATTAGAGTAAAAGGAGCCAGAGAAGGAGTCCTTTCCACCCACCCCCTCCCTCTCCATGCTGCCCCTCACCCTCCTCCCCTGCTTCCTCCTCTTCCTCTCCCTCTCCTCTTCTCTCCCACGTCCTCACTTCACTCCTTTGCTCTCTCTCCAGTCCCTCCCTCCTCTCCCCTTCTCCTCTCTCATCTCTTCCCTCCTTTTCTACCCTGTTTTGGTGCCAGAAACAGTCTAATTACAACAGAGAACTTGAAGAGACAGAGAGGAAAAAAAAAACCTACCATACATAGCTGATTAAAATGTCCTATGAAATCTAATTTGTAAAGCTCAAATCAGAATAAAAAGTGTTACTCCCACAATTCAAGGCCAATTTGATTTTTAATGAGACTCCTCGGAGACCCTGCCAAGATCTTGTCAGGTTGTGAACTCGGCCACCTTCCTGCCTGTCCCCAGCTCTCCACTGTGAATCTGCACCCCTCCTTCTGGGGAGCCTCCACCCCAAGCTCTGCTGCCATCCAAGCTCCCCTGGGTTGATACACACCAAGTGTCTCCCTCTTGGGGTCATCTGTTGCTGAGAGCTCAGTCCTAGGTGTGGCCCAAGCCTGGGGCTTTTTGTCCCCAAGATGGGCAGCAGCCAGTGTCCAGGACGTCTGTGGCTGCCCCTGACTCTCCCGGGTTGGGGAGGAGAGGCCACAGCATCAGCAGCTGGAGCGCCAGGTCCAGTTTTGCCTCGGTTAGGTCTGGGTCTGTAGAGCAGGAGGTAGGAAAAAGGGAGGGCTTGGAATGCAGATGGGCCCCTGCTCAAACCCCTGCTCTAACACTCATTAGCTGCGTGACCTTGGGCAGGTTACTGTGCCTCTCTGATCCTGGTTTCTTTGTTGTAAAGTGGGGCTTTTTCTGCCCTGAAGTATAATTAAGTGGATTACAGGAGGGGTTGTATGAAGTACTGGTTGTACTGTGGGCCAGATGCTCAGCGAATGTCAATGTTCCATTGTCCACTCAACTGTGGACTCCCAGGAGACACAGATCACATCACACCTCTTCATCAGCAACTCCCTCCAAGGCCAGGCTTGGGGATCTGCACACAGCATAGCTCAGTAGGGGAGAGCATGGTCTTCAGAGCCAGAAAGACTTGGATTCACCGCACCACCCACCCCAACTCCCACTAGACAGTTCCCTGGGCAATTCAGTTAACCCTGAGCCTCCGTTTCCCAAAGTCCTGTCAAATGGGGTTGACAATGCCCCATTCGAGTGTTGCCACGGTGATAACTAGAGTCAGGGCATGCGCCGTACTTGGTGAGCAATTCACAAGCACAGCTCCCATTACTATTTTTCACCTCCCTGTGCCTCATTTTCCCATCTGGAAAATGGGGATAAAAATAGTGCCTACTATTTTTAGGTTGTTATGACGATGAAAATATTAATGAACTAATATTTTAAAGCCTCAAAACAGAGCATGGCATCTTGTAAGCATTGTGGATGGGTTTGTTTAATAAAATAATGTCAACTGACTCTCTTCGATGATTCTGGCCATCTCGTTTTGAGGAGGCATGGTGTCCATAATGATTTTTTCCCAAGTGATTGTGAGGCTGGAGTAAGGTCTGCTGCAGAAAAGAAAGGGACAGGGAGGACACGGTAGGATGGCACGCCTCCTCAGCACACCTCCTGCCATACTGCACCACCACCCACCCCTCTGAACTTGGCCCTCAGCCCACCCCAGGAGCCACTGAAACAACAAAATGATTTCCTGAATTCTCAGGTTTAACCAAAGCCGCACCACTCTCCATCGACCCCCTTCTTAACACACAGCCACCACAGAATGTTTCTAGCTAGAGGTCTCTCTCTCTCTCTCCTGTTTCTGCCCTGGTGTGGGACTGCATGCCCAGCACATGGCATTAAGTAGGAGCTCACCAATGCATGGGAAGTGGCACGTCCCAAAGGTGGAGGGAGATGGCCCATAGGGAGCTGGGGTGTGGCTAGACCAGTCCATGTGTTAGGGACTGATGGGCAGAGGGGCTGGAGCTGGGAGCCAGGCCCCCATAGGAGGGAATAGAGCTGGGGCTGAGACCAGTTAGGAAGCTCTACCAGACCCTCAGCAGGAAAGCCAGGTGCTTCAGGAGGCTCAGTCTCCTGCGCCAGCCCTGCTCTGCTTCCATAGCTGGAGGGGAGCCTTCTCGCCCCTGTAGCCGGCAGATAACTGACCATTGTGTTTGTCTCCTTCCCAGGCCAAGTCTATTCCTTCAGCCAGCAGCCCCAGGACCAGGTGGTGGTGTCGGGACAGCCAGTGACGCTACTTTGCGCCATCCCCGAATACGATGGCTTCGTTCTGTGGATCAAGGACGGCTTGGCTCTGGGTGTGGGCAGGGACCTCTCAAGTGAGTACCTCCAGACCTCCTGGGGTGGGCCTGGGGCCATCACTTCCTTACTCACCCATCCACCTTCCTAGGGAGCACCCATCTTCACAGGTGTCTGAGTATCGAATCTCTAGCTTTCACTGCAACTCCTCAGGCAGAGTCAGGCTAGGCAAGCACTGCACCCAGCATCCCTAGACTCTGAGGGCCCCTGATGTGCATAATGAACCATAAGCAAACCCTCCTTCTAGCGGTGGGTCCTAACCTAACTCGACATTGCCCTCAAGCACCTACTCCAAAGTCAAACATGATTCATGTAAATTCCAGTTTCCAGAAATCAAGTGTTCCTGTGTCTTGGCCCAAGATGTATCCCCCATTTATTAAGGCACAATTATTAAGGAAATACAAGTCACAACCTGGTTCTTCCAGGCTTCTCACCCATTAAAGGGAACCAAGTAAACTGAAAACTCACAAAGACACCTAGTTGATCTTAGGAGCCATCATGAGATGGGAAGAAAAGACAGGAAGTATTAAAAATAAATTTCCAACTATGTTCGGCTTGGGCAGGCTGGTATTCAGCAAAGCTACCCTGGGACAGGCAGTGAGAGTTCCCATGGTTGTTGATGGCTGACACGTGAACTCACTGGCCAGTGCTGACAACAGATCATTTGTTAACTATTGTGAATAGTGATCCCATAAGACCATACAGACGCTTTTCCAATCCATCCTCTTCCCTGGAGAAAAAAAAAGAATGGCTCATCCCCCTGGTCACACACCCTTCAGCTATCATTATTCTGTCCTACAGGTAGGCAGTGGTTGTTTGCTAGGCTTGGCGTACACAGTAAAATTCACAAGCAGGGACCTCTGGGTGTCATTCCCCTGTGATTTGGGAATAGCTAAGGGTGGAGGAGGAGAGAAAAATATTATTCAGCTGAGAAGTAACTTTGCCTCTCGCATGGTGTACAGCTGCAGGAAAATAAAAATCGAAGTGCACTCAGGAACATGATGGTTGGGAAATTAATATTTTTAAATGTGAGTTATGTCTTGCCAAAAATGTATATTGAAACATTATAGCAATGGTCAATAGCAGGCACGAGGTTTGAACGCTGCAGCCCAGCTGAGCATGGAAAAAATACACAAAAACATCTCCAAAATATACTGTGCTGCCATAAAGTTTAACTGTTATGGGAACCAGCCAATTTCAGAGACTCCGAACGCCTTTACCCTAGAGAAACTCCAGGAATGATACAACCTTCCCAAACTAGAATAGTTCATGCACTGAATGGCTCCGAGCTGGGATGAGCGCTGCCGCTAGTTAAGGAGGCTGTCTGGGGTCCCGGTCAGTGGGTTTCCAACTTCCGTCAGGGACTGGGGTCTTGCTGGGTCAGTGGCCAAAAGGAGGCTCAGGTCAGCAGGGATAGTGCATACGGTGGTCATCTCAGCATGGATAACTGACCCTCTAGCATCCAGTGCCATGAATGGCTTTCTGGGATCCAGGACTGGTACCTGCTTAGGGCTGCAGAACAATGGCCTCTGACAAACTGGGGCCTGTGTCCTCTCCAGCTTGACTCGGTTTGCCTCTCCATACAGAGCCAATGACCTCAAACTCCTGATAAAATACTTGCCCTGTATTTTGTCACTTGTCCCAAAAATAGCATCATGGCAATCATGATAGATACTTACATGCTCAATTAACTCTGCTCGCTTGCCTGATGTGGAAACAGGCAGGACAGCCCTCAACTCAATTCAGCAAGTACTTGTAGAGCCCTTAACACCGCGAAAGCTCTCCTACAGGGAAACTGAGGCCCAGGGTTGTGGGATTTCAGCCTGCTACATCTCTGTCCTCTCCTACTGTACCCATGTGGCCCCCCCGAATCTCCCAGAAATGATACGCTCCTTGAAGACCTAAATGTTTTTCTAGTCACCAAAGCTGGAATAACCAGTCAAAGAAAATGATTTATAAATGCACTTCTTCATATTGATAGCACATTTTTCTTCTAAGAAGCTCAGGTACTTCGCAGACATTATCTCATAAATCTACAGCGATCCGGAGGGAGAAAAGAAGGATTTTCCCCTTTGTTTGACAGGTAAACAAAGTCACAACTGAGAAAGAAATTGACTCAACTATATAACCAATCCCAGCACATGAGACCTGCCTGTTAACCCCAAAGGGTCCAGATACTCTGTCTTCTCTCCCTTCTAAAGATAAAGACCTCTTTGGCCACCTGACCTTATGACATACCTTTCTCTTCATTTAAATTGGCATTTATAGACTACTTACAATGTGCCAGGCACTTTACATAGATTATCCTATTTAACCTTCACCATAACCTTATGAGGTACTGGTATTGTCCCCATAAAATGGGGACTGGCACATAGTAAGTAGTCTATGAGGCACAAAGAAGTTAAAGTAACTCACCCAAGACAGCAGAGCTAGGAAGTGATCCAGCTGGCATTGGAACCCAGGCAATTCGACTATAGAACCCAGACTCTAAGTAATTTTGCCTCCTTTGGGAGTAGCAAGAGAGAGTAATGATAATGTGGAAGGAGCTAGAACTTTCTCAGAATCCATGCTTCTGAGTCTGATTTTCAAAGATGCTGCCAGTCCTTGGGATAGCATCACAGCTCACTGCCTAATTAGGCAAATACAAACAAACCCATCACTGATGTTTTCAGCAGCTCGTGAGAGCAAAATCCTGCTGCTGATAGCTTGCAAGACAACAGAAACAGAAGCTCCAGCCAAGATGCCTGCAGGAGACCAGGGACTAATCACAGGATAGTGGGATCCAGAGGCTGGGCTGGAGGGGCTGGGGGTAGCCAGCCAGCTACAAGGAAGGCAGCGGCAGCAGGGAGAGGATTGGGCTAGAACCCATTTCCAGCCCCTCTCCTGGCCCTGGGGGGAGACAGCTTAACTTACCTGGGCTCATTCCCAAAGCCCAGCAGAAGGCGGGAAGTGTGGGCAGGAGGAGAGGCAGTGCTCTCAGGGGTGCAGCTGATGGCCTTGTGAGCTTTTCTGGCCAGGCCTGCACAGCTGGGGAGGACAGGGCCATTTTATTGCATGATGAGGATGGTAGCCATGAAGACATGAGTCTGAAGGGCCCAGCTGCACAGGAAGCACTCCAGAGCATGCCAGGAAGGCTGGCAGAGGATCATCACAGCTACCTCGCCTGACCAGGAACAAGTGCTGGTGGCCCGTTGTACAGCCCACCCCCAGGGAGGCCTGCCCCACCTCCAGAAGAACCTTCACTTATGGTGGTGAGAGGGGCCTTCAAGCTCCTCTAGTCTGATCTTTCACCCGGTGTAGAAATCACCTCTGCAACATCCCTGAGAGGCGATCATCCAACCTCTGCTTGAATACAGCCAGTGATGGGGACCTCACTACACTCTCTGGCATCCCAGATCCTTGTTGGATACCTCAAACAGTTGAGAATATTCTAAAGAACCTCCCCATGTGAATTCTGCCTGTTGGTGCTGGTGCTGCCCTTGGGAGCTCAGGAACATGCCCAACCCACACTGAGAGATTCTTTGAAATACTTGAGGCGAGCTCTTGCAGGTCTCCCTGCCTGTCTTTGTTCTGTCTCTCTCACTTGCTTAAGCCCTCATCTTCTCTTTAAAAGGCTGAATGTGTCCCGTCTCATCCTCCTACAGCACCCGTCTGAGAACACTCCCTGTGTGGTGAGGGTCCTTCAAAAGGAGGAGCAGCCTGGGGCTGCCAGAGGGGAGTGGAAGCCGAGGGCAGCCTCTGAGGAGAGAAGGGAACCGGGACAGAGATGAAAGACAGCGGGGATTGGAGTCCAGTTGTAAATCCACACACTGAGGGACTCGGGGGAGGGCAGACCTCAGTGAGGAGATGGATGGAAAGAGAAATAGGGAGGTGTAGGGCCCGAGACCCAGGAAAGAGAGGATCTGCCTAAGGTGGCCAGCCACAACTTCAGTTGGCATTTATATTCAACCCTACACAGCAGCAGGAACGCTGATTAATGATTTATATTCTCAAACTTTTATTTATCTATTATTCATTGCCCATGGTACAAGGGGCCCCCAATTCTTAAGCGTCCTGAGCACTTCATAAGTGCGTCACCAGGACCTGGGGCTTCTGGCGGGACAGGAGGAATGACTAGACAGGGTCCACTGTGACTCAAAGTGACCCAAGGTTCCTAGACACTGGAAGGGCGGGCCTAGATTTCTACTTCCTGTCCATCCTGAAACAAAATTTTTGCAAAGTCACTCTTGATCCTTTTCCAAACATTTCTCTTTTTCCTTCCTTCTCTCTCTGACTGTCTTCTCTCTGTAATTCTCAGCCTGGGTCTCTCTGTCTGTCTGTCTCTCTCTCTCTCCTCTCTATCTTATCAAAATGCATGTCTGCTTGGTAGACCACAGTGCTGAGCACACCACTTTCCAGAATAATAAGCCAGCGGTGTCTGTCCACGCTTAGCATTTCCATCTCTTCTCCCTCTTTCCTTTCTAACAGTGGCTCCTCCGATTTTCCTAAACTTGAAACCAACAAGACCCTTACATGGCCGGGCATGGTGGCTCATGCCTATAATCCCAGAACTTTGGGAGGTTGAGGAGGGAGAACCGCCTAAGTCCAGGAGTTCAAGACCAGTCAGGGTGACATAGTGAGATCCCATCTCTACAAAAGATAAAAAAATTAGCCGACGTGGTGGTGCATGTCTGTAGTCCCAGCTACTTGGGAGGCTGAGGTGGGAGGATCGTTTGAGTCTGGGAAGTGGAGCCTGCAGTGAGCTATGATCCTGCCACTACACTCCAATCTGAGTGACAGAGCAAGACCCTGTCTCAAAAACTAACAAACAGACCAAATGCCCTTATACACACACACACACACACACACACACACACACACACACACACACACACACACACATACAGAGAGAGAGAGAGAGAACCAACACCTTCAATGCCTTGGGAAAGCTCTTGCATTTGTGCTCCTTGCACTGAGATCAGAGCCCTGAGCAATCACCCGCTCTGCCAGCCTTGTAGAATGGCCCCTGCTTGGGTCCTCCATTCTGTGCCTCTTTGTCATGGGTGTCCCCTCCACCCCACCCCAGCTCCCTGACCTGCCTGTTGTCTCCACAGGTTACCCACAGTACCTGGTGGTAGGGAACCACCTGTCAGGGGAGCACCACCTGAAGATCCTGAGGGCAGAGCTGCAAGACGATGCGGTGTACGAGTGCCAGGCCATCCAGGCCGCCATCCGCTCCCGCCCCGCACGCCTCACAGTCCTGGGTAAGAACCATCTGCACACGGGGCTGGGACACTGCGTGAAGCACCAAGGGCTCAGCTCCAAGAGGGTATTTTTTTGGTCAGACATGGGGAGACTCCCCTCTGGGGATCATCCCACAGGGCTCCAGACACTGCTGCTTCCACAATATCCATGCCCACCTTCCCACCCAAACGGGACAAGCGAAGGCTCTTTCCCTAGTAAACCAGACAGCCAATGCCAGCGGACTCAGTCCAACCCCGGCGTGTTTGATGGTGCCTTAGGCAGCTAATGAGGGCTCCTACATGCTTATTTATTCCATCAGAAAGCATGCTCTGCACACGTTATCTAGGCTAGGCTCCGTGCCAGGAAGAATGTGGCACAGGCTGTGGGTCCCTTCTTTCTGAACTGACCCCCACTCCGGTGCTAACAAAGCCCTATCTTTCCACCTTCTCTGTAGAATCAGCCCGATTCTCCCCATGATTCTAGTATCCATGTGGACACCAGTGACCCCCGTGACTTCTCCACCCCTCATTGCTCCCTGGGAATCCTGGCTGACAGGTCCCTCCTAGGAAAATTCATTTCAGGTCCTTATTCCAAATCATACTTTTCCCCTTGATCTTTCTTCATCTTATGTTCCCAGGAGCCCAGCGTTCCTGGATCATCTTGCCTGAAGACAGGGGAATGGGCTCGGTGACCTCTTAAACCGCCTAGTTCTGATTTAGAGTTCAGTCCCGGGAGTCTCCCTCCTCTGGCCAAATGTTACCGAGGATCAAGGCTGCTGAGAACCAGGCCTTGCACATAAGTCATGAGAGCTCACATTTGCCAAGCAGTTCACCGTAGCTCTCTAGGCTCTTTCAGGCACATGACCTCCGCTGTTCCTGACGCTGCTCGGTGGGACAGGGACTGTTACCCCAGATGAGATACTAAGGCCCACAGATGCAAAGAGCTTGGCCCATGGGCTCCTGGCCAGGGCTCCAGGGCTACCTGCCCCACCTCGCTGCCCCCTTACACGTGAGTCTGTGCCAGGCACGCGTGCAGGAGGGAAGTGGGAAAGCCCAGGCCCACCCCTTAGCAGCTGTTGTGAAGGTTCGACAACAGGGTCAGCAGCTGGGGTGCTGCCTCCTCTCCTGGCAGCTAAAGCACACAGCTGCTCAGAGATGAAATATTTAAAAGCATGTCAGGTTATCTTCAGATCTACATGGCCAAAGACACCAGGGCAGATTATTCCAAGCAGTGCAGCAGACAGGCCCCGGAGGACCACTTACCAAGCTCGGAGCTTGACTTCTTGAGATGCGGGGGAGGGACTTGGGGCCAGCCTCAGAAACCTCCTGCAACCTTTGAGTCTCCCCAGGCCTGCGATGAAAGGAATGAGAAAATAAACCTGTTCCAGCGGGGGTAAATAAGTTGGGATTCCATGGCCGGGAAGCGGGCCTTCCGAGGAGTAATTGGGGTATTAAAGGCAGCAGCGCCGTTCTCATTTCTCCCAAGACGGTGACTAAAATGAGAATGAGTCTGCCATGTGGTGTGGGGGTTGTGGGAGGAGAGGAGGAGGAATTAGGGCCTCATATTGTTTCTGATTTTGAGGATTGCAAAATGCCAGAACAGATTTGCTAAGTTGTAGGCTCCTCATCTTCAGAGATGGCTCAGCCCCTCCATCCTCAGAAGAATCTGCCTCTACCGACTCATACACCTTCTAGAGGGGCCAGAGGATGCTGGAACCACAGGAACCTGAGCATTGTCCACTCCTCTGACTTCACAGGAACCAAAAATAGGTGGAGCCACATCTCATCCTTAAGGCTGTATTGACTTCCCCAGTCCTGACATGATCATTACACTTCCTTTCCTCTCAACTCTACGTTACGTAAAAAAGTCCAACGTATTAAAAGTCCAGATTATTTCGAATGTTTTACAGATGAGAGAATGGAAACTCAGAGAGGCAAAGGCACTCACAGGAGGTGACACAGCTTAATTAACCTTCAAAATCAACTCCAGATTTTTCAGCTCCAAGCTCTTTGCCTAGTCTCCTGTTCCCAGATGCCAGCAGCATCTCATCTGTCTGGCTGGTGAGGGGCCAGGCTTCTCAGAGCAGGGCCTCAGGATCCAACCTGAACAGACCCGATTTTGTCTTAGGTCATGTCTAAAAGGCATTCGCTCCCCCTTCCTCTCCGGTGGCATGGCCTGACACCGCCCTCTGGGCACAGAGCTGGGTTTGTATGGGGGAGATGTTTTATTCAAGTCTGGAGATCAGCGGAAGGAGGGCAGAGGAAGTTTCCATGATCCCCAGCAGGGTCCCCTCCGTGAAATTCCTGAGAGCCAGAAAGGGAGCCTCAGCCAGCATCTTGTCCATCAGCCTTTCAGGCAGCTCCACCAAAACCATTCATCCTGAGCAAACTAAAACCCCAGGCAAGACAGTGCTTCCCAGCACTCTGCCTGCAGTCCTCGCTGACTCCCTGGGACACTCCCAGGTCCCCAACCCAGCTGGTCTTGCAGGGCTCCGCCTGGCTGAGTGTCCTGGGGTATAGCACCCCACCTACTGCTCTGCAAGGAGGCCCCCAGTGCAGCAGCTGACCCAGCCAGCTGGAAGGGGACCCCTGGTCTGGGGAAGGGGAATGGAGAGAGTGGCTGTTCCCACAGATGGGAGAGAGGTATTTCTGCTCCTTGGCCCAGCCGCCTTCCCTACCAAGACCCCATCTGCTTTGCTGTGACATCTCAGCCCGGGAAAATGTCCCAGCCAGTTCCCCAAGGGGGGCTGCCTTCCCTGTGTTCCAGGAATGAGAGAGCTTCCTAATTTAGTCTGTATTTGCCTGAGATAGATTTTTAATTAAATAAAGTAAGAGCCTGATTAGAACCTGCGGAAGACGCGAAAGCAGAATCAGATGGTATTCCGGCAAAATTGCAAAGCAAACACTTTGGCTAGAACAGAGGGAGGCCCCCGGGGGTCTTCCATCGAAGTACCAAGTGAGGAGGGCAAATACGAGAGATTATATAGCCAACAGATGTGCATTGTTAAAATATGCATCTGCCGGCAGCGTGCTCAGATGAAGCCAGAGGGCCAGCTCGCAGAGCCGCTGGGCCCTAGGGAAGGCATGGGGACTCGGCCTGGCAGCCAAGCCTAGAGTCACAGACACATTAATTAGCGTTGTGTTTCCAGCTCTCAGATGCAATCAGGCAAGGAGCAACTTCGGAGCTGAGCATTTGTACCTCGGGAGGCAGAAGGAGGGAGCCAGGAAATGAGGAGGGAAAGACGGGGGAAGGCCTGAGTTTGCAAAGCTGAGAGAGGCAAAGACTGGGGATTTTAGGTCAGGTCAATCAGTGGTCAGGCTGCGTGCCCTCTGTGGCCCAGCCAGCTGCCAAGGACTATGGCTTGACTCAGCCCAGGGTCAAGACAGGCGTCTTTTCACCTGCAGAACATCTGGAGAATCACAGCGTCACGGAAACAGCATTAGACTTAGAGGCAGTGGTCTTGGTTTTACCAGTGTCCAGCTGTGTGACAGTGGCCCTGTTTCTCAACCTGGGTCTCAGTTTCCTCATCTGTAAAATGAGAGGTGGTGATAAATAAGATGATCGCTGAGAACTGTCTCGCTCCCAAAAGGCCATGACTTCCACTGTAAGGAGTCCAACATGCTGTACCAACTATTTTAGGAAATTGGGCCATCCCTCCCTGGAACCAAGATTGGCGCAGTGACCGAGGCTTAGAAGAAAACTGATTAGGGTGGCTTAAACAGCATCCCACTTTGAGGCTGGGAGATAGGACCTCTCCAAGTCCTGTTCAGCCCTGGGGTCCTGGCCTTGGCTGTGGACCTCAAACCCTGGTCCTCCCTGCAAAGGATCCCCCCCAACCACCCCTCTGTAGCCAGCTTCCACATAGACCTAGCCCTCTCCGAAGACTCAGTTTGGTTGGGCTTCAGAGGACCCCCATGCACATGTGCAGAGAGAGCTGTCATGGGGTAGGAAGAGCCCTGGGCCAGGAAGTAGAATATGCTCTTGCTGCTCACTAACTGGGTGACCTTGGGCAAGGTCCTTAAGGCTGGAACTGGGCCTCTTTGGCTCAAGCCTCTATAACCAGCGTGAATGAATGAATGAATGACGTTTCTGGTTCTTCATCTATAAAATAGAGGGTTAAAAATACCAATGTCATAGAATTGTTGTAAACATTAAACACTCTGTCTCTCTCTCTCTCTCTCTCTCTCTCTCTCTCTCTTTCTCTCTCTCTCTCTCAATCTCTAACAGTGAAGTGTCATACACTTTTTTGGTTTGTTTTTTGTTTTTTGAGATGGAGCCTGGCTCTGTCGCCCAGGCTGGAGAGCAGAGGCACGATCTCAGCTCACCGCAACCTCCGCCTTCTGGGTCCTCCTGCTCCAGCCTCCTGAGTAGCTGGGATTACAGGCACGTGCCACCACGCCTGGCTAATTTTTGTATTTTTAGCCATGCTGCCCAGGCTGGTCTCGAACACTTGACCTCAAGTGATCCACCCATCTTGGCCTCCCAAAGTGCTGGGATTACAAGCGTGAGCCACCCCGCCTGTATTTTAAAGTTGTGTACACATATACATGCAGACTGCTCCTTCTTCCACCTACAGGAATCCCAGGGTTGAAAAATATTGAAACTGTCCCAGGGTCAGAGTTGTAAGGGTGGCATTACACTTGATCTCTTCAACTTCCTGGAAACTTGGGAAGCAAGGTGTTGGGACATCCAGGGCAGGGAGGAAATGGTACCAAGGATTTGATCAACAAATGTTTACTGAGCACCTGTTATATGCCAAGCACTAGTCTAGACACGTGGGATTCATCAGGAAACGAAAGAGAAAACCATCCTTGCCCTGGTGGAGCTTGCATTCTGGCAGAGAGAAGGCGGTCGATAAGTGATGCACGGATTAAACCATAAATTGCATTGCTGTACAGGATGTGAGGTGGTAATAAATGCTACGGAAAGGAAAAAGTAGAGCAGGATGGGGGGATCAGAAGTGGGAGGAGGGGATGTTGGCATCAGATTAATTATTAAGAGGGGCATTTTTCCCAGTCTCCCTCCTCATTTCCCTCTTCTTCCTGGCCCGTTCTAATATTAACTCTGCTGTCTTGTGGCTCCCGTTAGAAATAAAGCTTCCTAAATCAACATGAATTATTTAAGAGGGAGACTAAGTCAATTCAAATAAAGAGGGCATCTTTTTAAATGATGTCAAGCCCCAAATACTGAGAGAGGAAAACAGATAAGGTCCAATCTGTGACGTGTCCTTAACTAGTTTGTTTTTCAAAACCACAAGCTCCCTTTGCCACAGCTCTACCAGCAGAGCTGCAGGGCCTCCTCAGCCCACCGCGTTGGCAGCCTCCCCCAATCTCCCATCCATGAATCTTCTGGGGAGATGGGTCCAGAGAACAGTGGTGAATAACTCAGAGTCTGCCAGCAAAGGAAGGCAGAGCTGGAACAGACCTCGAGGGTGCTGGCTTCTAAACCATTCTTCCAGAAACTGGTTGCAAGAAACCCATCCATAGTCACCCTGACATAAAAAGGCAAATCAGTAGGTGACAGTCTGAGGGGTTCTTCAGGGGCGAGAAAGTGTCCCCACAGAACAAAACCCAAGCTCCCTGCCAGGCCACACAAGGCCCCCCGAGGCCAGCCCCCAGCTGTGTCCCCAGCCTCAGACCCACCGCCAACCTGCTCCCGCACTAACAAGCAGCTGGCATCTCCTTCCGCTCACCAAGCCTCTGGGCCCTCATTCACACTGTGTTTCTTCCTGGAGTGCCCTTCCTACCTTTCTTCCCTTGGCTAACTTGTGTTCAGCTGTCAAGATTCACCTCAGACAACTCCTCCTCCAGGAAGCCTTCTCTGGAGCCCACATGGCCTGACTGTCCCCCTGTGGTCCTTTTCACTTCCTTAGGCATCTTTTTTTTGAGTCAGGGTCTTGCTCTGTCATCCAGACTGAAGTGCAGTGGCACTATTATGGCTCACTGCAGCCTCGACCTCCCTGGCTCAAGCGATCCTCCCACCTCAGCCTCCCGAGTAGCTGAGACCACAGGCATGCACCACCTCACCCAGCTAATTTTTGTTTGTTTGTTTTTTTGTTTTGTTCTGTTTTGTTTTTGTAGAGACCGGGTTTTGCCATGTTGCTAATGCTTGTCTTGAACTTCTGGGCTCAAGGGATCCACCCAACTCAGCCTCCTAAAATGCTGAGATTACAGGCGTGAGCCATCGCGCCCAGCCTCCTTATGCACCTTGATTACAGGTCTCGACACGCTATGTTGAGAGTAACTGTTTTCATGTCTGTTTCCCCCACCGGGTCTCCTGGGAGCATCTTTCATCCTTCATGCCTAGCACAGCCTAGAATCACATACTGGGTGTTCAGTAAATGTTCCTCATGGCAATTGAAATAACAAGGCTTAGGGAAAATTTAGGGGGAGTTTACACTGAATCTGACGACAGAGAACAGAGTCTGGCAGATAGTAAGCCCCAAACACGGATGACAATTGTGTTTTGTTGTGTTGTGTTGTGTTGTGTTGTGTTGTGTTGTGTTGTGTTGTGTTGTGTTGGAGAGGCAATGTGGCTAAGCGCCTGGCCTCTGGAAGCCAGATTGCCCGCACTTGAAACCTAGCTGTATCATTTTGCCACTGGTGTGACCGTGAGCAAGTTATTTAACCACTCTGTGCCTGTTTCTTTCTGTGTAAAATGAGGGAAATAATCATAACTGCTTTCATGGGGTTGAAGAGAGGATTTAATGAAATAATATATGTAAAACATGTCTCAGAATAGCGCCTGTTATGCAGCAAGGCATAGCAGCATTGGCTGCTAGTATTATAACTGTTTTCATCATTGCTATTATTGCACAATGTTATGAGACACCAACAAGCAACCCCTGCATCCCGGGGGATCAGACTTTGCTTCCTAGAGAAGCTTTCCCATGTATCAAGCAAGGCAGGAAGATATGATTCCTGCAGGCCCCTCCCAGCAGGCTGCACACCTGGGAAGAAAGGCAGAATTGATTTCCTTATCTGCTTATTAAGCGTGTTTTGCCTGGGCCCTGGCCTGGTCTTAGTGCCGTATCTCATTTGTGCTATGTGGCTGTTTCCTGCAACATTCATTACCCTGCAATCACCCCCAAATAGCGGTAGCAAACGAGCCAGAGACGGAAGACAGGAGCAGAAAACATCCTTATCTCCTGAGGTTCCACATGGGAGCTGTGTCGGAGCTATTGTACATCTCGCTCCCCCTACACACACCCCACCCCTGCCACCAGCTCGCTCCCAGCTCCCTTCCTGGTAGCCCAGACTACCCCCATGTCCCCTGGGCCAGAAGCAGATTCCCCTCCTCTTTCTCCCTTTGGCCACTGACACCACCTTAGCCTCCCATCTAACTCGGAGCTCACCTGCTGGGCAGGTGATAAAGTGAGCAGAGCTGGGGGCCATGAAGGGTATCTGAGGCTGACATATAGTCTCTCACCTCTAAGTTATATTATAGCTCCCTGAGGTCCACCCTGTGGGTTCAATGCCATAATGCCACGCTGAGTAGTTGCTGTTGGGGGCCAGATGAGATAGAAGGTCTCCCTGGAGGTCTTGCAGCCATTGAGTTGAGGTGTGCGGGTCGCCCCAGCCCTGCCCTCCTGCTGCACTCCAAGGTCGCCCCCCACAATCTCCCTGCCCCCATAATCTGCATGTTACCATGGGCAGGCATGGCCTCTGTCTCTTTACCCACTCCATCTCCCATCCTCATCACAGCCTGGCTGGATGTCAAAACTCTCCCCCAGCCTGGGGTCGTCCCTCATGTTGGGAAATGAGGTGGGGGCAGGACACTCAAGCATTAAACGACTTCCAAGGCCCGGAGGAAGAGAGGATCCCTCAGGGATGGAGGCAAACTCAGCGCATCTTTTCCCTTCCCTGCCTGAGTGTGGAGAAGGGCAGGCAGGAGCCTCTCCAAGAAGGAGAAGACCTGATGCAAGGAATGCACAGCCCCACCCTACCCCAGCCAGTGCCACCATGAGCGATTTCTGGAGGGGCCCAGAAGCTCGACACTGCCTATCCAAGTGCCCACTCGCCACTGAAATCTGGGGGTAGCTTCCCAAATGACCATGCCCAGGGCCAGCCCCCATACCCCCCAGCATCTTTTGCTCCCAACACCAGGACAAGGGAAGCTGGGGAGGTTCTTAGGAGCCCACTCATGGTCTACTGCTTATGGTAGGGGTTCAGCCTCCTGCTGTTGCCTGGCCCCAGTGGCTGCACCCCCATCACCAAGAGACAGGCTCTTCAGGGCAGCCCTGGGAAGTTCTGGAGTGTGTCACCACCATCCCCAGGGCATTGGAAACTCTCCAGACCCAAGCAGGACAAACGGCCCTCACTGGGGAGCTGGGACGCATTCACTCCTGCCCCAGTCCTGCCACCATCCAGCTGTGAGACAGGGGCTGATGATGCTTAATCTCTCAGGGCCCGCCCTCTCCATGGTGGAGCCAGTAGCAGGAGAGATGAAGTGTTAAACCCACTTCACGGGTTGACTGTGATTCTCTCTCATTTGCTCATGGTTTGGGGTTGGGGCATGAGAGGCATTGTTCCCTGAGTTCCTCTTCCCTTCCTCCTGAGAGCAAGGATAATATACCCTTCAGCTGCTGGAACCAAGCGTGACCCTGGGAGATGCTGAGCAGGCTCAACTGCTCAGCAAAAAGTGAGCTCAGACTGTGGAGATTTGCAAAAGTCAGGACCTCGATCCTCGGGTGTCTGCCATTTGACATGGAATCATCAGCTCCAGGGCTGCAAGTGAAATCTAAGCCCCTTCCTATAACATGCGGGGGGCAGCTGCCTGGAGGAGGCCCCTCACCCACTTACCCCTCATACGGCTGCTCCTCAGGCCTGGGTATCTCTTTCAGCATCCCCACAAGCCTGCAAAAGCACAGCAAGAGCCCACCTCTGTCCTGGTGCCCTACTGGGATCCTCAGTCTGGAAGCCCCGCTGGCCACTGGCCATTGACAGGATTCCCCATTTATGTGCCAATCATAAGGATACACACATGGACAGCTTCGCCTCAAGGACAAATGCGCTGGTGCACGCAGGTACTTAACACACACACCTCAGAGCCAAATCATCAGTGTCGCCCTGATAGAAAGACACAAGAACATCCGGTCAGGGGATCAGTCACTGTTAGGAAATGGACACATTCTTGGAGGCCTGAAGTACTGACCCTCACTCCTTGTCAGGCCCAGGAAAGAGGGGGGTAATGGAAGCACAGACTCATCGGCATGAGGCCCTGTTTCTCTACTGATTCCCCCTCATCTCATGAAATGGAGGAGGAACAGAGCCAGAGCCAACTGAGGGAGGGGCAGGCCAGCCAGTCCCACGTGTGTGTTTACCCCTGTCCCAGCTCCAGCTTCCTGGGCATCCTGGGTGTCAAACCCAGGACGCTGTCTGAGGCCCGCCCTGGGGGAAGCCCAGGGGAGCTGCAGCTGCACAGGGAGCCCTCTGAGGGCTAAAAATAACCCGCCGCTTCTCCGTTCCGACCTCAGCCCAGGCCCAAAACAAGGGTTTCACAGCAAATTATGGATTTAAAACTGGCAATGAATCTCCATTACAGCATGAAATGAGAAAGGAAAATGCCACTAAATGGAAGCCTTCCCCCCGGCAGCCAGTGGGGTGACGGAGGGGTGTCATCCTCAGAGGGAGTTTAGGGACAAAGTCACACAACCCAAGGCAGACTCGCGGAGGCCAAGCCTGGAGAGAAAGAGAGGTCCTGGAAGATTGGCAGGGGCCAGAGCCTAAGGGAGCCCCCACTGTTTCGGGGCAGGATAGGACACCACAGAAGCAGAAGACGCAATGCCCATGAGCCGGGAGCCAAGACTAACAGCTATGGTCAGTGTCCTGCAGAGGAAAGATGCATTGCTGCCTTTGGAGTGGGAATGGCCACAGCTTTGTTATCTTGCTGCTGTGAGGGGACCTGTGTTGTAGGTCCAGTGGAGAGAGGTGTTTGGGGACCCATGACCGACTGCCTCTCCAGGCAGCCTGGGGGGTCCACTCTTTGTATAGCTCTTTTTTTTTTTTCTTTGAGATGGAGTCTCCCTCTGTCGCCCAACCTGGAGTGCAGTGGCGTGATCTCAGCTCACTGCAACCTCTGCCTCCCAGGTTCAAGCAATTATCTTGCCTCAGCCTCCCAAGTAGCTGGGACTACAGGCGTGAGCCACTGCGCCTGGCCTGTGTAGCTCTTGAAACCACTCCTCATCATGGCATACCTGGTGACATCCCTGCAGACTCTAGAGATGGAGGCACAACCAACAACTCTCTGTTCTGCTCCAACACACACACACACACACACACACACACAGCACTGCAGATCTCCAGGGAGCCCAGCCACTGGCCCTTGTGTGTTCCTCTCCTCCCAATTTCAGCCATTTACTTCCCTATGTGCACTAGCCCTGGAGGCACCAGGACAACTGTCATGATTTAACTCAGGCCATGGGAGATGGGAGTAGATGAAGAGGAGCAACAGCAGAGAGAGAGTTGAGCAGTCAGTATCTCCAGCAGCACCAGACCCAATCCTTGGCCTGGGCAGCCTGTGATTGGTCAGCACCATGGCCAGTGCAAAGTCCCTGAAGTCTAACAGGGACGCAGTGCCTGTAAAAGACATAAGAGAGATACTGTGTACACAATTTTTAAAAATGAGGAGGTTCAGCTCACTAGAGAGAAGATGTAGGGGAATAGGGTCCCTCCCAAATATCTAAAGAAGCACAATAGATTTACTCTGGAGCTCCGGAGGATGGAAACAGAGCCAGGGTAGCTGGGCACAGTGGCTCACACCTGTAATCCCAGCACTTTGAGAGGCTGAGGCAGGTGGATTGCCTAAACCCAAGAGGCAAAGGGTGCAGTGTCTGGTCAACAGTGAGACCCCTATCTCAAAAAAAAGGAAGGAAGGAAGGAAGGAAGGAAGGAAGGAAGGAAGGAAGGAAGGAAACAACGTCAGGGAGGACATTTCTTATCTCAACAATTAAAACTAACAGAGTTCAGTTAAGTAGTAAGCTTCCTGTCTCTGGGAGTATTCAAGCAGAAGCTGAGTTTTCTTGCATGCTGTTTCTATAGGAAGGAAATAGATTCATCTCCAGAGATGAGATGATGGCAGCAAATCTGCCAGTTCTGGAGCTGAGTGAAGTCATGGGCTGGCCCAAGAGAGGGGAAGATTCAGAGAGAAGAGAGCCAGAACCATTTAAGGATGTTCCTTTCCTATCCAGCTGTCCCCAGAGCAGTTTGTTGCAGGCTCTGCCCAGACAATTTCAGCCCCAGGTGAAATATTAGCCCAGATCCAAAGTTCTCAATTTGAGCAGTGTGTGTTTTCTTTTTTTTCTTTTTTTCTTTTTTCTTTTTTTTTTTTTTTTTTTTTTTTTTTGAGACGGAGTCTTGCTCTGTTGTCCAGTCCAGGCTGGAGTGCAGTGGCACAATCTCGGCTCACTGCAACCTCTGCCTCCCAGGTTCAAGTGATTCTCCTGCGAATCTCCTGGGATTACAGATGTGCACCACCACGCCCAGCTAATTTTCTGTATTTTTAGTAGAGACAGGGTTTCACCATGCTGGCCAGGCTGGTCTTGAACTCCTGACCTCAGGTGATTCCCCCGCCTTGGCCTCCCAAAGTGCTGGGATTACAAGTGTGAGCTACCACGCTGGGCCCAATTTGAGTGCTGAGATATGTTGGTGCCTCTGTGGTGGCAGGATGCCACAAGGCAGGAAAGTGACAGATAGTTGGAAGCTGTTGACTTTAATTCAAAACTTTACCATTCTGCAAACTGCTGGCAAAATCTGGGTCCATCATGGGAATGTCACATTTATGAACACACACAGAATGGCTGGGGAAAAAAAGGAAAAAAGAGGATGGAGAACCTGATATGTTCTTCCTAATGTCAACCTCATGACCTACATACCAGCTAAAATAATGTCTCAGAGTTTGGACAGAACGTGAAAAGGTCAGGCAGTGAGTGTTCAACACAGCTACCTTCCTGGAGGAACTCCACCTGAAGCCAAGCTTGGAGGGTGGCAGAGACGTGATTGAGTATGAAGGAGGGGTGAGGGCATTCCAAGACTGAGAGTTCACCTGGGTGAAAGAGCAAGGTGAGAATCAGTCCAGGCAGAACAGGGCTTGTGAGTGAGGGTCCCCAGCAGGAGCAGAAGGTATATCCCATGAAATGATGAGAAACGGTGGCATGATGTCAGAGCAAAAAGCTGGGGGGTTCATCAGAGATAAGATGCTCATGCCTAGGAGACTGGCTTTCACTCATGAGAAGTTCTGATAGGTACTAGGAAAGACAGGGACTGGACACAGCTTCAAAGCCCCCATTCAGAGGTCCTGATGGTCCCAGACTCCGGGAGCTGCACCCTGCATGTGCCCCACTAGGCAGGGATGAGGAGATCTAAGTTCAGCCACACCTTCTATGCACAGAAAGGGCAGCTTGTGAGTTGCTCGAGTGGAGAGAAGAGAGAAGGGCAAGGGTGACGCTGGTGAGCTGCCACTCTATGACAGGCACTGTGCTGAGGAACCCACTCGCATGCCTTCATCTGCCCTCTGACCAGCTCTGCCAGGCAGGTCCCGTGTCCCCTTTTACGGACGAGGAAGCTGAGACATAGAGGCTCATTACCTTGCCCAAGGTCACACACAAGAAAGGTAAAGAACGAGAATCTGAATGCAGTCGCTTCTGGCTCTGAAACCCTGGCCCTTTATGCTCAATTATGCCCCTCCTCTTTTCCAAACTCCACTCTCTCTGCTGCCTGACTCCCCCTAAAATCATCACTATGAAACAGGTTTCTTCCTAGCCCCTGGGAACTCCAGGAGCCCTGCTTGAACCCTTCCACCATCCCAGGGCTCATGGAATCGGGGAGTCGGCTCGAAGAGCAAACCCAAGGCTTCCAAAAACCCTTCCTGGCAGCCCCTCCTCCTCAGATGGACCTGGGGAGCCCCGAGACCCGCAGCATTCATTTGCCATCCCATTCAGTATCATCCTCTGGGCGGCCACCTGCCGCGTCTTTCTCCATCACTCTGAGCCTCTAAATTGTTCTGTCCGTGTGAAGGAGGTTTTTCCAAGGGGGAGGTTCATAGGCACCCAGAAGCCTCCATCTCACAAAAATAAATAGCTGAGTCCCACAACCCGAAAAAACTGGCTTCCAAAAAATGTGTCACACTTTCACAAGTCGATCCAGGTGTTTATAAATGTTTATATAAAGGAAGAGGTTTTCATGTGAAAATATGTCAGAAACAATGTTAGCAGCTGAGAGATCACCCAGCAGCTTCAGTGGTGCAGGCAAGAAAGGGAGGAGAAGGCTGATGGCCACACAGCCACCCCCCAGGAAGGACTATCTCTGCCCTACCCCCAATCCCACTGCTCCCTTCCCCTTTGTCGCACACAAACGAAGTCACTAGGCTGCTGGAGAGAACTCATTTTAAAGATGCGTCAACTAAGGTCAACAAAGGAAATAGCTAGAGGCAGCACGAGGCATGGGCAAGGGAGAGCTGGTCCTCTTACTCTTCCAGACAACGCTGAGCCCTAGCCAGGGTCCCCCGGGACTTCCCCGTCTCACGTCCAGGTTCAGCCCAAAATGCCAACATGGCCTGGGCAACAGGTCTGCTAAGAAACACAAGAAGATGCCAGAAAGACCCTCAAAAACCTTTGATTAGATAATTTTAGAGATGAAGGAGCCCTTTAATCCAGAATTCTTCATTCATTTCATCTTTCAGCATCTGTATATGTGCCTTCCACATGCCAGGTACTGTTCTAGACCCTGAGAATATACATTAGCGATGAAAACAGACTTGAAACTCCTACCTCCGCGAACCATATTGTAGCGGAGGGAGTTAGACGAAAAACATAACAAGAAAACTTTATAGTGTATTAGAAGGTGATCAATGCTATTCAAAAAAAGTAGAGCAGAGTGTGAGGGGTTGGGTTTCCTAGGGAAAGGAGGTGTTGAGAGGTTGGAATAGACCTCATGGGGAAGTGGCCTTTTTCTTTCCCCTTATTTTTTAACAGCTTTATTTGGGTAAACTCTACATTATCATTAAATTCATCCATTTTAAGTGTACAACTCAATTATTTTTAATAAATTTATAGAGTTGTGCAACCACCCCCACAATCCAGTATTAGAACATTTTCATCACCCTAAAACGATCCCTTGTCAATCCTCACTCCCACCCAGTCTCAGGCAACCAATGCAGTGCTTCTTGGATTTGGCTTTTCTGGATATATGGTATGAGTAGAATCATATCATATGTGGCCTTGTGTGTCTAGCCCCTTTCTCTTGGAAAAATGTGTTTGAGATTTGTCTGTATTGTAGCATGTATCTGTAGTTCACTTCTTTTTATTGCTGAATAGTATTCCATTATATGGATATACCACATTCTGTTTATCCATTCGCCAGTCGGCAGACAGTCGGATTGTTTCCAGTTTGGGGCTATTATAAAGAATGCTGCTGGCCAGGTGTGGTGGTTTACACCTGTAATCCCAGCACTCTGGGAGGCTGAGACACGTGGATCACTTGAGGCCAGGAGTTCAAGACCAGTTTGGCCAACATGGCAAAATCCAATCTCTACTAAAAATACCAAAAACAAAAAAAAAAAATTGTTGCTATGAACATTCACAAACAAGTCTGTGTGTGGCTATATGTTTTCACTTTTCATGAGTAGATTCCTAGTAGTGGAATGGCTACATAATATGGAAAGTTTATGCTCAACTTGTTAAGAAACTGCCATGCTGTTTTCCAAAGTGGCTGTATCCATTCCCACCAGCAATAAATGAGCATTCCAGTTTCTCTACATCCTTGCCAACACTGTTACAGGTTTCAAGTGGTATCCATTATGGTTTTAATTTGCATTCCCCTAATGAATAAGGATGTTGAGCATGTTTTGATGTGATAATTATCCATTTGTGTATCTTCTTTGGTAAAATGTCTATTCAAATATTTTGCCTATTTTTAAATAGAATCATTTGTCTTACTATGTTATAGGAGTTCTTTATAGCCAGGATACAAGTCCTTTACCAGATATACGACTTGCAAATATTTTCTCTCAGTTTGTAGTTTGCCTTTTCGTTTACTTAATGGTGTCTTATGAAGCACAAAAACTTTTAATTTTAATCAAGTTCAGTTTGATAATTTTTTCTTATAGATTGTGTTTTTGATATTGTCTCTAAGAACTCTGCCTAATCAAAGGTCACAAAGATTTACTACTGTATTTTCTCCCATAAGTTTTACAAGTTTAGTTTTTATATTTAATCTTGGTGCATTTTAAGTTTTAGTGATTTGTGAAGGCCCTAAATTCATTTTTGCATACAGATATCCAATTGTTCCGACATCATTTGTTTAAAAAGACTATCCTTTCCCACAGTGAATTTCAAAATGGTTCCAGCTATTTTAGGTCCTTTGCATTTTCATATGAATTTTAGGACTAGTCTGTCAACATCTGCAAAAAAATGGTTGCTGGAATTTTGATAGGAATTGCGTGAAAGCTATAGATCAATTTAGAATTAATTGCCACCTTAACAATATTGAGTATTCCCATCCATGAACATGGAATGCCTCTTTATTTTTTTACGTCTTCAATTTTTCTCAGCAGTGTTTTCTAGTTCTCAGTGTACATCTTGTACTTCCTTTGATAAATTTATCCCTAAGCATTTTATTATTTTTGATGCTACTGTGAATGAAATTTTCTTAATTTCATTTTTGGATTGTTCATTGCTAAGATTATATATAGATGGTGTATCTATATATACACACAATTAATTTTTGTGTATGACTGTTGGATCTTGCTAAACTCATTTTTTTTTAAAGAGATGGAGTTACACTCTTGTTGCCCAGGCTGAAGTGCAATGGCACAATCTCAGCTCACTGCAACTTCTGCCTCCTGGGTTCAAGCAATTCTTCTGCCTCAGCCTCCTGAGTAGCTGGGATTACAGGCATCCACCACCACGCCTGGCTAATTTTTCATATTTTTAGTAGAAATGGGGTTTCACCATGTTGGCCAGGCTGGTCTCGAACTCCTGGCCTCAAGTGATCCACCGGCCTCAGCCTCCCAGAGTGCTGGAATTACAAGTGTGAGCCACTGTGCCTGGCTGATAAACACATTTTTTAAACCTAATAGTTATTTGTAAATTTAAGATTTTCTGCATACAGGAGCATTTTGTCTGTGAAGAAAGATAGTTTTACTTTGTCTTTTCCAACCTAATGCATTTTTGTCTTATTGCACTGGCTAGAACTTACAGTACAATGCTGAATAGAAATGGTGAGAGCAGACATTCTGGCTTTGTTTCCAATCTTAGGGGAAAGCATCCAATCTTTCACTATTTTAAAGTATAATGTTAGCAGAAAATGTTTCACTGGTGACCTATATCAGGTTGAGGAAGTTTTCATCTGTTCCTACTTTGTTGAGAGTTTTTACTACACATCGTGTTGGGTTTTGTGAAATGTTTTTTTCTGCATCTATTGAGATGATAATATAGTTTTATTTATTACTCTATTAATATAGTGTATTACAGTAATTGATTTTCAGATGTTAAGCCAACCTTGAATTCCTGGGATAAAAATCCCATGTGGTCATGGCATATAATCTTTTTTTATATGTTGCTGGATTCAGTTTGCTAATATCTTAAAGGGTTTTTATCTAAATTCATGATGGACAATAGTCTATAGTTCTCTTTTCTTATTATGTCTGTCTGGCTTTAGTATCAGGTAACACTGGTTTTGTAGGATGAGTAGGGAAGTGTTTATTCCTCCTCTATTTTCTAGAAGATTTCACAAAGGATTGATATTATTTGATAGAATTCACCAATGATGCCATCTGGGTCTAGGGCTTTCTTTATGGGAAGATTTTTATTAGTCCAATCTCTTTACTTGATATAGGTCAATTCATATTTTTCCTCTAGAAGCTGACTTTGTGTAAACAAAGACTCATAGAAGTGACGAAGTCAGCTGTGGATCTTAGAGCCAAATTTCTATTTGAAGAGAAAATCACTCATGGAAGGGTTCTCAATAGAGGATCGATGGGATCTGAGTGATATTTTAAAAGACTCACCCTGGCTGCTAGGTTGAGAAGAGACCATAAGAGGACAAGGGAAGACAAGAGCCTCTGTTAAGAGGCTCTTGCAGTAATACAGAGAAGAGATGAGGGACTCAGGCTGGAATAGCAGCAGCAGAGATAGTGGACAGTTACTATGAGAGAAAGAGAGGGGTCACAGATGATGCCAAGGTTTTTGGTGTGGGGCCTTTTATCCCTACAAAGCTTGGACGCAATATTCAGAATATATGTGCACATTTCTGGGGAGTGGTTTCACATTCTCAAAGGAGTCATTCAGTAAGTCCCCAAAAGTTTAAAGTTTAAAATTTAAGATAATCCAGACCAATGTCTTAGCTCAGGCTGCTATAACAAATACTATAGACTGGGTGGCTTAAACAACAAGCATTTATTTCTCCAGACTGTGTCTGGAGCCTGGAAGTTTGAGTTAAGGGTTCCAGCATGGGAGAAAGAGGGAGAGGGAGAAAGAGGAAGAGGGAGATAAAGGGAGAAAGAGAGAGAGGGAAGGAAGGAAGGAGAGAGAGAGACAGAGAGAGAAGGAGAGGGAGGGAAAGAGGGAGAGGGAGATTCTCTCTCTTCCTCTTTCAAGGGCACTAATTCCATCAGGAGGGTTCCACCCTGATGAGCTTAATTACCTCCCAGTATCTAACCCTAATTACCTCCCACATCATCACAATGGAGGTTAGAGTTGCAATATATTAACTGCAGCCGGAGGCCATCACAAACATTCAGTCCACAGCAAACCACCTCTTTGTTTTTAGGAAACTATGGCTCAGAAGGGTTGGGTTCCTTCCCCATGGCCACCCAGCTAACTAGTTGTAAAGCTAGGGCTACCCAAATGTTTTTTATACCACACTGGAGACTTGCCTAGTGCTGCATAATCAGAACCCCTCCCCCTCAACAAATGAAACCCATTCGTCCCTGCCTGGATCCCCTAGGGGCATCTAGGGGAGAGAGCAGATGTTTAGAGATGGTTCCTCCTCTGCTCCCAGGCCAGGGTACCTACCCGAGTGCCCACATCCACCTTAACAGCCACCTGCCCCCTACTCCATTGCTGCCTTTGGTCCACCCAGGATCCACAGGCTCGGACGCCCCCCACCAGGAAGATCTGAGACAGAGCCTTTCTGCCAGCAACACTCCCTTTTCACACCAAACCATAGAAAAACAGCAGCTTATCTAAGAGAATGAGAGCCCTTGGTTTCTATCTGTGTGGCAATCTTATCTAAACAGGTTCAGGTGGCAAGAACGAGGGAGGAAAAATAATCAAGGGGAGGCAGGTGAAATGCTGACATTATTATTACTTAAGCGCTGCAAAGCTTTTAGTTCATGTTTTTATACTGGTGACACCCAATGAGGGAGAAATCAGCTTGGCCGATTATCTGAGCCGCACACCAGCTCACCCCACCTCCTTGCCACCTGTAAATCTTATTAAATGGATTCCATCGCAAGAGAGAAAAATAATTAAGGCGAAGGCAGGTGAAATGTTGATGTTATTACTGTAATGCAACAGCCTGCTTAGTTTCTACACCAATGAAATGCAACTGAAGGAAATCAGTTTTAAAGATCACCTTTTGGAGATGCAAATCGGAGAGCCAGAAGCTGGGCTTAGAGAAGCAAGAGGTGTCAAACTAGGAAACATTTCCAAGTCTGCGCCAGTCTCTTAGGGGCTTTTAAGTCCACAATTTACCTTTCGACTGCATTCTATTTTCTTGCAAATACTTTATTTCCCACTTATTTATTGACTAGAGAGACACAGCACCAAAAGAGAAAAAGGAAGAGTGATTCTCCAGCTGCTGGTCTTAAAAATCTATAGCAGAAAATGGTTCTCCAGAGGGAGGTTTTTAGCACTCGCTGTGAACCAGGGCTTAATTGAATTGCTTTCCCTCTGAGGTGTGCCTGCCCAGAAGGGACAGCTTCTTCTGACTGTGCCTGGGCAGGAGGAGCTGTCCTGTTTCCTCTTGCCAGGAGGAGTGGAGGAGGGGCTGTGGGCAGCACAGCCAGGACAGGTCCCAGGAGCTCTCAAACTGTGCTTCCCTAGCTGGTGTGCTGGTCCAGTGCGGTGAGTGGATGCATCCCCTGTGCTAGGCAGCATGAGATCTGCCCAAGGTGAGACCCTTTTCAAGTGGGCAGAGAACTTTTGAATGGCTGAACCTGGATTCATATGCAGCAGCTGACAATTAAGGGGAGGCCAGGGCAGGCACATGGATGGATCCGGTTAGCTTCCGGAGTATCTGTAGAGTTTTTTACATTCATTATCCATGTTTAAGATTCTGGGGGGTTTTATATTAAAAAAAAATTCTGATTTCTGGCTTCTCTTACAAAGACCTGGTCAGTTTATGCCTGTTTGCCTGCTTGCAAACAATTATGTAATGGCTGCTCCCTTGGGCGGGATGTGGCCCACCAGTCCCCACTCGTCCGTGCTTACCTTGGCACCTGGGTGCATGTAAGTCACTGGTATCGATGTTTTCCACCCCTCACCTGGCCCACCCCAGACATGGACCTGCCTTCAGGGAGCTCACAATGTGGGTGGGGGTTGAACTAGGAACAGAAGCGGGAAAAGGAGGCAAAGGCAGGCAGAGGCAAGCAGTGCCCAGGGCCAGGCGAGTTGGCAAGTGTAGGCTTTAAGGAGGGTTTAAGTGAGTTTGAAAGCATGAGTGGAATTTGGACAAATTAATTGATTTGTCATAGATGAGTGGGCAGTGTGTTCCTTCCCTGCTAATAACTGCCCTATTTTAAAGAGCCCAGAACTTGGAGTTGAACAGCCTGGGTTCAAATCCTAGCTTTGTCACGCACCGCCTGGGATGAAAATGCTCCCTGCAATGTGTAGCACATCAACAGGACCCAGGACGGGCTGCGGTAGAATCTGCTCGACCTGCGCTCTGCCTTCCCCACCTGGGCACCCTCGCTCCCCAGAGGAGCCTCCTTAGTCTCTAAGACTGCACCCCAGGCCCCAAGCTGGCTCCTCTCCCTCTGCAGCCCCGTCTTCCCCTCTTAAAGATGTGAACATGGAGGAAATGAATAGGCTTTAGAACTACAACCGAGGCGTTCAAGCTAGGGCCAGAGCCAGGCTGACTCCTGGGTTTGCCTGGGTTCACCCAACTGAGCTTCCTGCCTGCAGCCTCAGCCAGTCCTCCTGGACTCCTCAGACGTGCAGAGAAAAGTGTGGGACGGACCAGCTGTCCACCAGTAGTGTCCTTGCACTGGAGATATCCTGCCTCGCACAAGGCTCACAGCAAGGAAATGAAACCCAGAGGAGGAGGCTGGGAGAGGCAGAGCCAGGAAAGCTACACGGAGATGTCTCGGCAGCGGGTGGAGGGCGTCAGAAGGGGAAAGGCTGACATTTGGGATCCGCATGCAGATGCAAACAGGTGGACAAATGCAACAGACCAGCAGCAGCCATTCAAGAAGCTGTGAATGAAGTAAATTATACTTGAACTCCTCACATGGTCAGAGCGTGGCATTTCCCCACTTAGTCTCCCATTCTGGTTAACAGAGTTATGAGTATGCTGATCTGGTATCAGCACTGAAAAAAATAAGAATGCAGTGAAAATATATACTGTTTTTCTTTTCTTTTTCTTTTTTTTTTTTTTTGAGTTAAAGTCTCACTCTGTTGCCCAGGCTATAGTGCAGTGGTGCGATCTCAGCTCACTGCAACCTCTGCCTCCTGGGTTCAAGCAATTATCTTACCTCAGCCTCCCAAGTAGCTGGGATTACAGGTGCCCGCCACCACGCCCAGCTAATTTTTGTACTTTTTGTAGAGACGGGGTTTCACCATGTTGGTCAGGCTGGTCTCGAATTCCTGATCTCAAGTGATCCACTCGCCTCGGCCTCCCGAAGTGCTGGGATTACAGGCATGAGCCACTGTGTCCAGCCACATCCTGTTTTTCAACTAAATTAATGTGAGTCGCTTGTAGCCAGGCTCACCAGACACCAAGCAGGCTTTGAGTCTGGACTCTCCAGGCTGCCCTACATAGTGGTGGCTCCAAGGTCTCTCAGCTGAGATGCACCAAGCCACTAGCCACAGTGGCTATTTAAATTTAAATTAATTCAAGTTAAATAAGACTAAAAATACAGCTCCTCAGTCAGTCACGCTAGCCTCACATCAGGTGGCTTTGGGGAGGCTGAGATTCCTGCAACTACTGGCCAAATTCCACCTAATCGTACTCCGACAACCCAACAGCATCTAATAATAAAGACAGGTTCAAGGATCTGGACCTGGGGAACTAGAGGTCGGCTTCCCAGAAGCATTTACATTGAAATCATAGTGCAGTCAGTGGGTAGAAGCTTCCCATTAATACATTCACTCGTTTATCCTTCACATCTTTATTAAATGCTTACGATGTGCAAAAGCATTGTATCAGACCCAATGGGAAGATGCAGAAATAGCAAAATGCCCTCTGTGCCCTCAAGGAGTTTACTGCCAAAGGAGGGAGAAGACATAAACAACTCACTACCATCCCAGGCAGGATAAAAGAAGCCCTCGAATATATAAGCACAATACTGAGGAAGTGTTCATTTCAACTCAGAAAATCTGGGATGACTTCACAAGACTTCAGTAACAAGACTTCAGTAACTACCGAACTCTCCCTTGGTAGAATGGGTAGGATTTTAGCAGCTGGAAAATGAAAACGTAATCATAGCAACAAAATCAAAGGCACAGAAAGATAGACGCCCACCCTGCCCCCACTCCCTAACGTGAGCGTTTGGGATGTTTGGCGTGCAATGCTTGAGCAAGTGTAGTCGGATGTCAGCCCAGTCAACAGGTTGGGGCTCAGTGGAAAGGGCTTTGAGCCACGCTGGAGCATCTGAATTTGGCTGTGGGCAGTGTGGAGCCGTCCTAGGTGTTTAAGAGAGCTCATCGCCTGATCCGAGGGTCCCAGGAACAGAACCATGCAGGGTATGGGGCGTGAATCTGAAGGCAGGGAAGTGTTGGGTAGTTAGGTCCTGTTAACAGAAAGTAAGTAGGGCAACCGGGAGTTTGCAGATGCTTACTAACGATGAAAAAGAAAGGGGAAGTCCCGAGGCAGGAGGCACTAAAGTGGGGCGGAGAGTCACCCAATGGATTTTCGTTAGCCAGGGGACTCCTAGGTAAAGCCTTTAATCCCATTCAATGCAATGACGATTCCAGCAGAAATATCCCATGCTGCCTGAGCAACGCACAGCTTTTTTTTTTTTTTTTGAAACGGAGTCTTGCTCTGTTGTCCAGGCTGGGGTGCAGTGGCACAATCTCGGCTCACTGCAACTTCCGTCTCCCAGGTTCAGGTGATTCTCATGCCTCTGCCTCCGAGTAGCTGGGATTACAGGCATGTGCCACCACACCTGGCTAATTTTTGCATTAAATGCTGGCCATGTTGCCCAAGCTGGTCTCAAACTCATGACCTCAGGTGATCCACCCGCCTCCACCTCCCAAAGTGCTGGGATTACAGGCGGACCCACTGCACCTGGCCCACACAGCTTCTTTAATGATCCAGAAGTTTCCGTGCGTCGAGGTCCTGAGCCTGTGAAGAACTGGCATTTACTGAGGGCCCACGCAGGTGCTCCTGTGGGAGGGGGACTCAACCTTAGGTGCAGAAGGGAAGGTGCTCCTCCCAGGAAGCAGGATACTGGGACGCCAGGCCAGCTCTGTCCCCATGGACACACCATTCCTCTCATCACTGAGTCTCCTCTGCTTGTCGTCACAGGGTGCCAGGTCACGGGCCCCTTCCCCTCCTGGCTGTGACACTTGGCATGCCCCGGAGACCATTAGCACCTCTCTGGGAATATTTAACTGAAAACAATTTCTAGTCGGGATCTTTTATAATTACTAATTAGATCTGATTATAATTATCTCTCGCTGCCACCCCTTACCTGACAGACAGGATAGTGTGATGCCTAGCGACAATTAGCAGCAGGTCTTTCCTGATACACTGGCTGATTAGGAACACAATCGCAGGGTCGGGGGGAAGAGCCTGGCTTATTAAAGAGAGGCTGCTGTTTACTGAGGAATGTTATGAGCAAATTAGATTAAAATTAATGAGGGGGAAACTTGGAGTGAGAAAATGGGCGTTTTCTTTTTCTTTTTGTCTTAGCTGATGACATCATTTTGGGGGAAGAAAGTAAATCCTCTTTTGTGCTACCCCTCTCTTCCCCTCCTCGGGTTTTAGGGGTTTGATGGCCACCCCAACTCTGCCCCCTTTCACTCAATCAGCTTGGTCCAGACCAGTGTGATGCAGTAGAGCTACTAAGCAGGCTTACTGGCTGTGTGATTTGGGGCAAGTCATTTACCCTCTCTGAGCCTCTGCTTCCTTGTCCATAAAATGGAGAAGACACTTTTTACTGAGCCAGATGCCTGACTCACTTATCTGCAGGGCCTAGGAAGGTTAGGAAGGGGCTGTGTGTATTCCACGGGGGCCCACAAACTCTCTGGGGATCAGAGACCATGGCTTAATCCTCTTGGAATCTCCAGGCTCAGGCCCAGGCTTGGCACAGAGAAAGTGCTTGGTGACTGAAGGAGGAGCTACACTAAACTCCCACCCAGGACCGGTATAGGGGCCCCTCCCTCCCCAAGAGAGCACCTGGAGGTGGGGCTGAACATTAGTAGGCATGCATCCATGTGCACTGGCGTGGCTTCTTCATCTGGTGAGAAAAATCAGTGACTTCTCAGTTCAAGCAGCTTACCAGAAGTGGGAAGGCTGAGAGCCCGCTGTGCAACCAGAAGAGAGTTTGCTCACTTCTCTGAGCTTGAGCATCTCCATCCAGAGAGAGTTCCCTGTGATAACAGATGCCAACTAGAATCTGAGCTGAAGAGCAGAGGTGAGCTCTAGCAGCTCTGGGAAGAGTGCGTTGTGGCCCTGCGGCCACTGTAGGCTGGTGCACTGGGAGACCAGAGTTATTTGTTGGAAATGCTCAAATTACCGGAAAGGCCTCCCTTTGACTTGCAATATGCTGGTGACTGGGAACAGAGATGGCAGGCACACAGAAAATGACCCCCCTTGGTGACATTTTGGGGAAAAGGGAGTCTCTCTCTCTCTGTCTTACTCTCTCTCGCTCTCTCTCTCTCTCACACACACACCCTGTCACACAGACACTCACACTGTCACGCACACACTCACACTGTCTCACACACACTCACTCTCACACACTCACACTCACACACACTCACACTCTCACACACTCTCTTACACATGCACACTCTCACACTCTCTCGCTCTCTCTCTGTCACACACACACACACACACACAGCCAAGCAGGCTTTAAGCCCAGGCACATGCAGAGCCTCACATGCCTCTGTGTCACGTGTGGTCCTGTATGCAGCTGCTCTGGCTAAGCACTGGACCCCACTCCCTGACAGGATTCCCAGGCTGGGGTGCATTTCCTTGGCCATTTCCCTACAGCAAGGGTGGGCCTCCTCCTCCATTGCTCAGTTCTGCCCACTCTCATTGGCCTCCAAGAAGCAATTCCGGGACATTGAGGCACTGGAGAACTGGCCCCAGCTTCCAGAGGCCCCAGAGAGAAGTCTCCTAGATTTGTGACCTATGTCTCAGTCCCCTGGCTGAGCCCAGCTTCCCCAGCCCTGACTCCCTGCCTACAGCCTCAGGCCTTGAGTTCGCACGCAGGCCCTCCAACATTTCTGAGCGCTTCTGTTTGGGTTTTGGCAGATACAAGAAGCCAAGAGTAGCCCTCAGTCTCTTGACACCTACCCCAGACTTAGCCTCCTTCTCCAGGAATGTCCCTCCACCCCACCTCCCAAGACCCTGTGGATGTGGTCTTCCTTCCCTTTGCCTCCATCACACCCACCCCTCCCTCCAAACTTGGCCAACACCTTGGGTTCTCATTTGTGAAGGGAGTGAGAAGAAATGGCAGCCATGGGGTGGCAGGGAAGGCACTGAACTTATCATGGGAATTCCTAGGCCCTAAGACTGGCCCTTTCATTTTTCAGCTGTGTACCCTTGTCCAAATCACTTAGCCTCTCTGACCCTCAGTTTCTTCATCTATAAAGTGAGGACTAAGAATGCCTGCCTTACCAGTGTTCAGGGTTCTGGTAAAGAGAAAGATGAACGTGTATAGAAAGCATTTTGCAAACAGCACAGTGCCTCTCAATGTTCCGAGCACAAAGTACCTTTGAAAGTTGACTGGCTAGTTCTGCAAAATCTGTCTGGTTGTCAATTTCTGCATAACAAATCACCTCCAAGCTCAGTGGCTTAAAATTACAGGAATCATTTCTTAGCTCTCACAGTTTCTGCAGGTCAAGAAACTGAGCCTGGCTTAGCTGAATGGTTCTGGATCTCTGCAATCAGACATAGGAGGGGCTGGGGTCACATGTCTGTTGCCTGGGCTATGCAGATGCAAACAGCTAGGGGCTGGAGCGCTGGGGTAGTAGCAGTGCAGATACTGAGAAAGGATGATCTGTGCATGTTTCAAAGGTGGAGCCCACAGCAATTAGGATACGAGAGAAAGGGCAAGTCAAGGACAATCCCAAGGTGTTTGGCCTGAGCTCCTGGTAGCATGCAGTTGCCATTTGCTGAGTGTCAGGACTAGAGTCCCAGTGTCCTGATCCTCAGGCTGCTGCACAGCACTGCCTTTTACAAGGAGAGCGGTGAGAAGGGCAGGGAGTGCCCACATGGGCTCAGAGAGGGCAGGTGAATCTCTGAGTGCCCCTCCTCCTCCATGGTCCTGACTGTGACCATAAGTTTCTGCTTATACCTGGTGTCACAGCAGGGAGGACACAACAGGGTCGCTTCCTTCCTGAGGCATCTGCTGCTGGGGTGGCGCTAGACCCGGAGGAGGAAGGCCAGGTATAAACAATAACTCAGGCCCTCATTCCTAGCAACACGTCCACACACACAACAGCCACAACCAGAAACCCGGCCAGCAAGGATGAGCGGAGACGAGGAACACAGACAGTCGAGGGAGGCTTTGGGGAGAAAGCAGAACCACCTGGGGTCAGGCAGGGAGGTCAGAGGGTGCTGGAGGTAGGGCGCAGAGAGGGAGGTTCATGTAGAGGATCTCTGGGGCTCAGAGGGCAAGAGAGGCTTGGGCCAGGGTACAGAGGGCCCGGAAGTCAAGCTGATGGGTCACACTGCACTCTGCAAACAAGGGAAAGCCACTGGGAGTTCCTGAAAGGCAAGGAAGAGCCAGTTTGCAGGCCCTGCCCTAAGTGTCCTCCTCCATCTGTCTCCTCCCTTCCTGCTAGTCCTTCCCCACACACAGCACAGCCCAGGGTCCGAGCAACAGACCTTGGGACTTGCCTGGAGGTCAGGGCCTAAGAGGGGCCAGCTAAGTGCTCAGTGCCCACTGGAATTGGCCAGTGCACAGCCTAGCCACCCTGGTTGAACCTCTCACTCCTCTCCAGACACCAACTTAGAGCCTACAGGAGCGTCTGCTCACCCGCTTCTCCCCGTCCCACGCCACCCGCATCCCTCAGGCCCGGGGCCCTTGTGGCCTGATTAAGGTGAGTGTCATCCCACAGGGGTCCCGATGGATGAGCTCGGTAGTGGCTGCCCGTCTCTGTCTGTGGGCCTCGGGAGCCCATCCATCTTTCCTTGGCAGCCTGCGCCTGTCCTAGCGCTCACCGCCCCAAAACAGTTTCAGGCCTGAACATGCCCCAGGTGGGTCCCAGGGCCCGAGGAGGGATCCTTTTCCATTTTATCCCCACCAAGGACAGGATAGAGAGGCAGCTTCCCTCTCTGGGAACAGAATAAAACTAAGTTCAGAGTGAGGCATCATTCTCAGGCACAAAATGTAAAGGGTACCCAAAGAATCAATAATCTAGACAAATAATATTTTAAAGCAATATTTTTAAAAATCCAAATGAATGTGAAAAAATCCATGATAAGCAAAATATCAAAATATTAGACAAAGATAGGATCAGCAACAGCACCAAGCCAAGTCACAATAGACCCTGCAGCAAGAGGGAAAACGTGCACCTCATTTATATTTTTAAAGTATTCTTTAAGTGGTAAATTTTTTCCAGAACATTGAAGTAGTTGGAAAAATATTGAAACATTTAAAAGCAGGTGTATTAAAATCCCCAACATTATGTTACACTTAAATATTTTATTTACAGCAAAAACAGAATGTATTTCATTTTACTTTCCTGGCTGTAATGGAAAATAACTCACCAGTAATAGTAATCATCTACTTCTTTGCTTATCTCATTTTCGACTGAGAGAATTGGCATTTTGACCATTTCTCTTGACCAAGTGACCATCTTAAACAATTCTTAATTAACTGCAGCTCCCTAATCCTGTCTTTACTTAAAATTGTGATATTTTCCTCATCGTGGATATTTTTACATTCATTCTGATTTGTTTAATTTGCATTAAGATATTATTTATTTCCATTACTGGGGTTTTGAGTACACCCTTAAAGTTTGTGCCCGAGACAAGAGCCTCACTCACCTCCCCACTAATTCCAGCCTTGAGTCAGAGAGGTGGTGCTGGACGGCCTGCACCCAGCCTGAACCAGGAAAGGATGGTTCCGGGACCCAGAACCAGCCTTGAAGGAAGGGAGAAGTAGGAATGAAGCAGCTCTGGGCCAGCGACTGCCCTGTCACCATGTGTTTGCCCAGGCGGGGCCAGCTGGGGGCAGAGTAGAAGATGCAGGCTGCTGTGGGTGAGGGGGGCTGTAGGGAAACCTCTCTGGACTTGAAGTTCAGGTTCAGCTCCAATTCTCTCTTTTTTTTTTTTTTTTTTTTTGAGACAGAGTCTTGCTCTGTCGCCCAGGCTGGAGTGCGGTGGCGCGATCTCAGCTCACTGCAAGCTCCGCCTCCTGGGTTCACGCCATTCTCCTGCCTCAGCCTCCCAAGTAGCTGGGACTACAGGCACCCACCACCACACCCGGCTAGTTTTTTGTATTTTTAGTAGAGGTGGGGTTTCACCGTGTTAGCCAGGGTGGTCTCGATCTCCTGACCTCGTGATCCATCCGCCTCAGCCTCCCAAAGTGCTAGGATTACAGGCGTGAGCCACTGTGCCCGGCTAATTTTTTGTATCTTTAGTAGAGATGGGGTTTCACCGTGTTAGCCAGGATGGTCTCAATCTCCTGGCCTCGTGATCCACCCGTCTCGGCCTCCCAAAGTGCTAGGATTACAGGCATGAGCCACCGCGCCCAGCCCAGCTCCAATTCTCATTGCATGATGCCTGAGAGGCATTGGGCTCAATGCCTGTGGTCCCCACTGAGCCCTTTCCTCCTGAGTCCAGGAGGGCTGCTGCCTGCCCTGAGAGGCCATGAGATAGAGGCAGGTTGCTACTCTGCCTACCTCACTGCCTACCTCACTGTCTTTGTGACGCTCCACGTCAATCCCTGCAGGGAAATTGCTGTGCAACAAGCAGTGCCAATTCCTGCCCCCTGTCAGTTAGCCGCAGCACCGAGGCTGTTCTACGGCCTTTTGGGTCACTCAGCCCACGGCCAGGAAGTTCTGCGGCATGTCTAACTTAATTCCTCCACCCTCATCCCCTGGTCTGTCTTTTCTGGAGACCAACCTTGCCATCTGCCTGGAGGTCTCTATCTAGTCCTGCCCCCTCCCTCTCCAGAGCATCCAAGAGGAGGAAAGAGCTGGGTCTCGGGGCAGGTAAGAAGCCAGTCCTCCCTGCACGGTCCAGCTCAGAGCCCCCTCAGCATCTTGATATTTCACCATTAACAGTCACTGAGGCATGAACTGCTTGGAAGAAAAGGCCCTTTCAGAGTCAATTTATCAAAGTTTGATAGGAAGTCATAAAAATGGCCTGGTGGCTGTTCCCCTCCAACAGCTGAGGTGACGCTTGCTGTGTGGCGGTGGCAATTGGCAGCCTCATCCCTCCTCCTCCTCCTTCCCACTCCAGCCCCATGCTCCCCTAGCCCCTCGGCCCCTACAGATAGAAACACCTCTCAGAACTGGACGGACAGGGGCTAACTGGGAGCAGGGAAGTAACTTCAGCAAAACTAATGAGGAAGTACTTGAGTGGACAGGGGCTGAGAGGGGCTTTGCAGAGCCACCAGGTCCATCCCCCTGCCTTAGGGTCATGTCACCTTGTCACATCCACCTCATCCCTCATCGGGGGTAGGGGAACAGGCTTGGGAAAAAGAGGCCTGACCTCCCTTCCCCAGCTGTGTCTCCAACAACAGTTCTTCCAGATGTCTAACCTCACTCCCTCACGCTGCAGCCTGAGCCCATCTTCCCCTTTCAGTGAAGAGGAGACTGTCTATAGATCATCCTCCCAGTTCCTCGGTGGCCCTCTGCAACTTATCCTTTTGTCCATTTTATAAGCCCGGAGGAAACTGAGGTAAGCAAGGATGGGGCCCTTTGGCTCACTGAAGGGAAGTGAGACAATAAAAGTCCAGATTCTGAAATCCCTCTATCAATACTCCAAATCTCCCAGGCGTGGTGGCTCACACCTGTAATCCTAGCACTTTGGGAAGCTGATGCGGGAGGATCACTTGAGGTCTGGAGTTCGAGACCAGCCTGGCCAACATGGTGAAACCCCATCTCTACTAAAAATACAAAAATTAGCCAGGCATGGTGGTGCGCGCCTGTAGTCCCAGCTACTCAGGCAGCTGAGGCAGGAGAATCGCTTGAACCTGGGAGGTGGAGGTTGCAGTGAGCCGAGATCATGCCACTGAACTCCAGCTTGGGTGACAGAGCAAGACTCCGTATAAATATAAAAAAAAAGAAAAAAGAAAAAAAGAAAAACATCCAAATCTGTGTGTGGGGAGCACAAAGAAACGGTAATCTTGGCTGCTTTGGGCATGTTGCTCAACTTCTCTGCACCATGCTTGAACTCCTGGGTCTTCTCTCTGGGGACAGACATGGGCAGGTGTTCCTGATATGGCCTCCTTACCTGCCCCAGACCTCGACTCGGGGGACAGACAACACTGGAGTCCAACAGTCTGGCCCAGATGGGAGCAGAGAACCAGGATGCAGGCTTTAGCCAGAGTCACATGGCCTTGAATTAGTTCTCAGCCAGCCCTGCAGGAAGAGAGGGCGCTTTCTTTCCCCCTGAGAGCAAGTGTCCCCACCCATCACACAATAAAGCACCCGCTCAGAGCCAGCACGCGCCCGCCCTCCTTGGGCTCACATTACATTCGGACACCTGAGCAGAGTTTCAGGCTCACAGGCTTCTGGCCTTCACTCAGCCTTCCTGACCCTCAGGTGGTTTCACCGCCATGCCCACTTTCAGATGCAGACGCTGACGCCCGGGGAGGTGCAACTCGCCAGAGTCCACGCAGGTAGAAAGTGGTGGCCTGGAGACTCAGGGCTTGTCTTTGGGATTCCGGTTTCAGGATTATCTGAAGCCCTCCCTTCTGTTCACATAGGACCCCTTTCCACTACGGGATGGACCCAAAATCCAGACAGAGCCCTGCCCCATTCTCCAAAGAGACAACAGGCTCTCCTCCACCCTCCAAACGCCCCCTCCTCGTGCAGGTGGGCTGTGGATCCTCAGGCATTTGTGGACCCCCTGCACCCTTAAGAGCAAATGAGCATCCCTGCCTGACCTTGCACTCCAGAAGGAAGCAGTGGCGTCTTCCTATTTGACTCCAAATGCTACTGCCGGCTCTGCTCGGCCCTTGGAGTCCCAGACTCGCAAGAGATGAAGAAGGCAGACCCATTCTTTGGGAGACGAGGAGGGAGGAGAGACAAGAAAAGGAATGAGCATTCACTGAGCCCTGTTCTGGGGACGTCACAAATGCCATCCCATGGAACTTCTCCTAACCTTCACAGAATTATTATCCCTCTTATTTTATGACGAAGACACAGGCTCAAATAACTAATTAACGTATCCAAGGCCATGCAGCCTGGAACCGGGAGTCCAGGAGTCGCTCCCAGGTCTCACCACAAACACAGCTCTGCATCCCTGGCCCAGTGGCTTGTTCACTGAGGTTGTATCTCAGCCCCCAGGATTTCTGAGCACCCGTGGAACACAGGCCTACATGGTCTTTTCTGAGCACCCGTGGAACACAGGCCTACATGGTCTATTTCCAATAACCTGGCTCACGGACAGGGCCAGGCTGAAGAATACTTCATGGGGAGAAAGCTCTGCTCACCTCTCCCTAGCGGCTGTGTCCAGTGAATGCAAATTAATGCTAATGGGAGTCTAAAATAAACATACACAGAAAGTAAAGCTGCCTTGCCTCCCCCGCCCCCGCCACACACACACACACACACACACACACACAATGCATTCCAAAGCCAAATGCAAATAATATTCTCAATTATACACCAGATTTGGATTATGTATGCCTCTGGCCACAAACACGAATGCCCATCATGGGAGCTAACTGTGACTTTAAGGCACATCCAAAACATTTCACTTCAAAGCAACACTGGACACCTCACCCCGTTCACTCCTCGAAGCAGCTCATGGGCTGCTTCCAAGCAACACGTCTCATTTTCCCCAACGTATGCAGCACTAACACGCCCAGATTCCTGCACAGTGCCAGGGATGGAGATCTGAGCTGAGACCCACGTATTTTAACCCGGACTGATCCCAGCGCACCCACTGCAACTCGACACCATCCTGTTTTTTGATAGAGGATCCGCCATGAACAACACACTTTCCATGGCAAGTGAGTTGCTCATCAAAGCTGAAAGGGAAGCCTCAGAGAGAGCCAGCAAAAGAACAGAGGTGATTAAGGATCCAAGGGCTGCTAGGCCTAGCTGATGGGCCCCTGAGAAAGGGGTGGTGGAAGGTGGAGAGTGGGGAATGCAGAGGGGAAGGGGCACGTCCAAGGTCTCAGGAAAGCCAGGGGACACCAGCTGTCCTGGGTCCAAACTTATGGTGATTCACACATCTGCATCCAGCAATGCCCTTATGGACTACAGATCTCAGCATCTCCCAAAATTGACCCAGGAATCCAAGATGGAGTAACAATAGGGCCATCAGGAAGCTTTTGGAACATAGTTGACACTCCATGCTTATCAATGTGTCCTAGATCTGCGCCTCCCAAAGTATCCCCTCTGGAAGCTTTGTTTTCCCCACCTAACTCCCACCTGATGCAGGCGTCTCTTCTTACCCTTCCATCATTGATGGGGTGCTCATCTGTTGAGCACCTGCTCCGTGCAGGCTGAGCTGGGGCAGGAGAGAGAGACAAAGAGGAACATGACAGGGCTGCTTCCCTTAGGAAGCTCCCATCGAGCCAGGCACCCGGGTCCAGCCAGCAGTGATTCCCATGCAGCCGGCTCTCCACCGCAAACGCAGCGCATCCATCTACAGCTTCCGTCCTGCTCAGCCCCATGCTGAGGTCCCAGGCTGAGCCCTGGGATGCACCCCAGGATGAGACTGACTGCTGCGCTCCAGATGCCTAAGCGCAGTCTAGTGGAGGTCAGAGGGCACATTTGAGCAAACACTGAACATCGTGTAGGTGTCCACAAGTCAGGAAAGGAAAGGAAGCGCAGTCTCGGAGGAGAGAGCCACAGATCCAGGGTCCGAGGCCCGTGGCTATGTGGCTGTGGCCTGCGGCAAGGATCCCGTCTTCCTGGCTGGAGACGGGCACGGGGTAAGGCTGCAAAGGTGGCCAGGCCTGGGTGCTGTGGGGCTTTGGACACCATAAGCAGAGGGACAACTTGATTAGATCGTCATTTTGGGGGGATCCCCTGTGGGGAACAGGTAGGAGCAGGGAGAGGCCAGAGGAGAGCAGTCACCTAGCAGGCTTTCCCTGTGTGGCTCATGGGTGGTGGGAGGGTGTGGGCTCCAGCTCACGGAGCCTCCATCTGCAGCTCCCTGGGCCACAGGCCAGGTCACTGGAAGCCGCGGCTCCTTCCATGTTGCTTCTCTTCCACTGCACAAATGCATTTGGTCTGAGCTTCCTTGCCACTCTGCCTTAACCAGGGGAGCAGCTCATCTTCACACAAGAGAAGGCAGTGGGTCTTCAGCAGCAGCCTTTGTCTTCATGCTGACCAGCAGGCTGCCTCCACGACTGCGGACCTACTACATCTTCTCCTTTAATCCTGCATTACTCGAGGCACATATTAGCTCCACTTTACAGGTGAGGAAACTGAGGCTCAGGAAGGTTGATAAACTTGTTCAGGGTCACCCTGTGGGATCATTCCCAGCTCTGTCTGAGAGCAAAGGCTGTGCCCTTTCTTCACCTGCCTGACATCACCCACCAAGGGCTGGAGATGCAGGGGCCTGGGTGGCCCCAAAGCCATCCCCACCAACACCAGCAAACTTAATTGTAGGGATAATCAGAGCCAGATGAGGAGTCCCTCCCTGCCCCGGTGAATAGGTCTCAGATGAACATAGGAGGCCCACAGTCCCCTCCTTACCCAGTAACCAAGCTCTTCTTATTCTGAATAAGGGGCTTATTCTGATCGTAAGCACTCTAGTGCCAAAACCAGCCCCATCCCACCTCAACAGTGATGGAGCGAAAGAAGACACCCTGGGGGAAGAGGCCATTCCCTCCCTCCACCTCCGCCTTCTGTGAGCGGCACCCCGTAGTGGAAGCTGCGGTGCTACCAAGTTTCTCTTTACCCCTTTCAGGACAGGACAGAAGGACTCATGCTGGAGTGCGGGGCGGCCAACTCCCTGCTGAGTTCCACTCTGGAGTTGTCTGTGGCTAAAGACAGGAAGCTCACTTCCAGTGACTGTCCCCACAGGGTAAAAAGGCCAGGCCTCCCTCCCCAGAATGGGGCAAATGTGAAAAATGAGGAACAGAGGAGATTTCAAAAAATAACTATAAGGCCAGACTGTAGATGAGAATTAAAACACTTTCATCTAATGAGTTCTAAAAATATTGCCCTTTTTCAAATGTAGAAGCTTGTACTTTTTGAGAAAAAACAAAAAAAGAAGAAGGCTCAGGTCGGAAAAGGATTTTGACTTTTTCCTCTTAGGATTCTGGCAAACAGTGGATCTGGTAAATTTGCATAAAGTTGAAAGGTATATTTTAGTGATTTTCTGGGATTCCCTGAAATGAGTGTTTGTAGCAAGAGGCCTAGAGAAAGTGTTTTGCTTGTTTCCTTCCTTGGAACACTGCCATTTGGTTTTATGGTGCTCCATCCCAAAGGACTGTGTGTGTCTCCCCACATCCATCTTCTTCCTGAGCAGGTGACTTGCACCCCACGCCCCGCCCTGTGTCTTTGCCTCTTTGCCTGTCTTTTTAATTTTTGCCCTTCTGTCTCATGGTCACCTCTCTATTCCCTCCTCCTGCCTGCCCTGCTGGCCTGTAACCAACCAAGATATGGAACAAATGCATGCTTTTATCCTGCAAAACACAGTATTCCTAATCTGTCATCTCAAAAGAAAGCTACTGGAATGTCTTGTGCTTATTTTTTAAACCCCTTAATGTAATGACCATCTTCCTGCGCCCCTCCATTTCTGCTAAGACTTCTGAGGCTCCAGGGTATCGGTAGGCAGGATTTCTACCTGGCCTCATTTTCGTCCTTACTGAAACTATGAGGCTCGTTGAGGAGGTGGATTTACCGGATGGGGAGCCCATAGCAAAACCAACTATATCAGTTCTGCTTCTATTTATGGGACCAGCGGGGACACTCCAAGTCCCTGCCTGGCCCTTTGCTGGGTCAGGATGGCTGCCTTGATGCTATTAAAGCTACCGAAGTGAACCAATGCAGATCCTCCTGCTAGCACAGCCTATGGTACCGCAGTTAGGACTGAGTGGTTGGGGCAGCAGGATCTGAGCCAGAGTCCTTGCCAGTTGCGTGACTTGCCCCAAATGTTTTGGCCAGCCTATGCCTCAGTTTACCCACCTATGAAATAAGGCTACTGCAAGGGCCCACCATACCATGAAGCATGGATTATACAAGTCCACGGCAGCCACCATGATGGGCTTTTCCCACCAACCCAGCTGTGTTGAGCAAAAGAGACCCCAAATCAGGTTAAGGTCGAAACCAGCTGGAGAGCTTTGTGAGCGGCTGCAAGGGGGCATGTGCCGGTTATTCCTGCAAACACACCTAAGAAGCGCTCTCACCCATCCTGCAGCCATCAGCATAGGAGCTGGGCTGGAGAAAGGAGAAAGTCTCTCGCTCCGCAGGACTGGGAGGGTGAGTGTAAGCCACCCAGCACCACACACTGGCCTTCCTGCCCCAGCCCTACTCACCCCTTCCTCTCTCCAGTTTGATGCACTCCCCCACCCCACTGTCCCTTCTCTGCTGGCCTCTCCCAAGCCCTCTCACCCTTGCTGTGCAGACGGCGGCCACGTAGCACCCTCTGTCATCTGGAGCCGGCACAGGCACACTGGTCTGCTTGAGTGCAAATCACTGCAGCTCCCTTCTCTACCCACCTCCCTTCCTCCACTCTGCATACAGCCTGAGACTTACATCCCTACTCATTATTAATGAAACGTCTGTCTCCTCACAAGTAGCTCTGCCCTGAGATGCTCAGACCCTCTTTCAGGGTTTAACCAAATATAAACAGGACATTCACCCTTCCTAATTTAAGGAGCGAACCAAGCCACTGCTGACTTTGACCCTGACAGCACCTGGCTCCCTTTCCCTGGCCCACTGGACTAGCCCTCCCTCCCTTGGGGTCTCCTGCCTAAAGGCAGCAGGGCTGCCCATCAGACCTGTACAGCTGTGGGATCTTTGGGTCTGTGACCTCCTTGTCATCGCTCTAGTGGTTTAAAGGTGCTTTGAGGCAAGGTACTGACCATTCCATCTCAGGAGTCCAGGGCTGGGCATGGAACAAGGTAATAGCAGAACAAGAGGTGGAAACAAGCCCATTTCACATGCAATATGCTACTCTGCCCCCATGTGGAGTTACTTATTAAATAAACAACAATAATACTAAGAGCTAAAATTTAGTGGGTTCTTACTACAGTGCCAAGCTCTGGGACAAGACACTGCATAACTCTTACATGAACTCATTTAAACAGCACACCAGCCCTGTACAACAGCTACTATAATATCTATGACATTAACATCATCCAGCACAGAGAATTTGCACATGGTCACGTGGCCAGTGAATGACGGAGCCAGAAGCCCAGCCAGGCACTCTGACTTCAGGGCCTCCCTTCTTATCCCCTAAACAATATGAGCTCCAGCTGAGAAGTGGGCTTCCCAGTGTCCCAAACCTTTGCAGGGGACCTCTGAAGTCAGCTAGTTCAGGGTTCCCCCCACCCCCAGGTTAGGAGCAGAACTGAAACAGCCTCCAGCACACCTTCCTCTGAGCTACATGCCATCATCCTAAACCTGCGTCTTGCTCCTTGTTCCTCTTTTCTCTCTGTCCCCAACCTCCTTGGAGACACGTCTGTGCGATTGTGCTGCCAAATATATCGGATGCCACATCCTTTAACAATCCCACTTGTGGCCGGGCGCAGTGGCTCACAGCTGTAATCCCAGCACTTTGGAGGCTAAGGTGGGCGGATCACCTGAGGTCAGGCGTTTGAGACCAGCCTGGCCAACATGACGAAACCCCGTCTCCACCAAAAGTACCAAAAAATATCAGCCAGGCGTGGTGGCAGGTGCCTGTAATCCCAGCTATTTAAAAGGCTGAGGCAGGAGAATCGCTTGAACCTGGGAGGCGGAGGCTGCAGTGAGCCTACATTGTGCCATTGCACTCCAGCCTGGGTGACAAGAGCGAGACTCCGTCTCAGAAAAAAAAAAAAAAAAATCCCATTTGCATCTTGCCCCACATCTTCTTAATATAGACCTAAGTGGAGGCGGGGAGGGTCTGAAGAGGGGGAAAGCACACCTACATTAATTAAATCACATATATGTAATTAACACATCTACAGGATTGCCAGATAAAATACAGGATTCCCTGTTAAATGTGAATTTCAGATAAACATACTTACACTACCATTTTTTAATTTATCTGAAATTTACATTTAACAGGGCCTACTGTTCTTTGATTTGTTAAGTCTGGAAACCCTACCCATATCCCAGCTCTGCTGCTTACTAGCTATGTGATGTTGGGCAAGTAACTTGACTACTTTGTGGCTGTTTCCTCACCTCCAAAATATGCATCGTCATTGTATCTACCTTATATAGAGCTGTGAGGATTAAAGGATATTTGTAAAGTACACAGAAGAGTTCTTGCTGTGTGGTAAGCCCTATATCAATGTTAGCTATTATTCATATTATTGGTGCTGTTTTTTTATGACTGCATCCAAGGTAACATACTAGGCAATGGGAGACAGGCAAAGAGGCGCCAGGACTCCTACCCTGCAACTGTAGGGAACCTGAAACAGGTCCACAAGTCAATGCAATAGAGATGTGGTGAGGACCAGTGTAAGAGGTGCTCAGGTGGGGAGGGGGCTTCTAATTCAGTGGGATCAGGCAAGGCACCAGGCAACAAGTATTTATTAAGTGCTCACTATGCCAGGCACTGTACTAAGTACTAGAGAGAGAATTTGGCAAGGACCAGCCCTCAAGGAGCTCACAGCCTCAGGGGAACAACAGGTGGTAATGGCGCCAGGCACCACATGTACCTGCTGAGGCGGGCACATGGTCTTATGGCAGTGCAGAGGCTGCAGGTGGGAGAGTCAGGGGTTGAGATTGAGAGAAGACTTTGTGGAGGAGGTGACAATAGCCTGAGTCTTAAAGAATAACCAAGAGTTAACAAGGCATGATAGGCCTTTGAGCTGATTGAAAAGAGGCTGGGATTCCAGCCAGTTAAGACTCAGGCAAGGAGATTCCCAGCAAAGGGAACTTCACAAGCCAAAGCGTGTATTTGTAAAAGGGCAGGCTATCCTCACAGAAGAGTTAATGGTCACACAGGAGAAAGCTGCAGAGATGAGACCTCACTGGAGAGAACCGGGGAAGGCCCCCATGATGAGGAATTGATTTTTGTGCTGGAGCAGTGGGAACCATTGAACATTGTGAGCAGCAGACCGAGCTTCCAGAACAGTCACCTGGCCATAGTGGAGGGAGAATGGATCGGAGGGAAGTGGAGAGACAGTTGATGCCGTGGGCCCAGTTCTGAATCAAACAGCAGGGGACTACTGGGTTACATCAGTTAGCTTTTGCTGCTGCAGGGGAGAAAAAGTAATATATTTTCCTCATCCATTACAAGGTTTGCAGCTGACACCCGTGTAACAAACGATAGATTAAGAAGAGAAAAGTGCAACAGATGTATTTAACCAAAGTTTTATGTGAGCTTTCAGAAATGAAGGCCCAAATGCCATGGGAAAATTGTGTATTTGTAGGCTTATGTTCAACAAAGAATGGGCAGTTGTGCAGAAATGTGATTGGACAAAAAAGGGGGTATGACCTCATGGTAACAAACCAGAAGAACTTAGCAAGGCCTTGCCTGCATTCCTCTTTGAGTTCCTGTACACCGTTTCTTTCCTCTGAGTATAGGGCAGGATCCCTCTGGAATGAGGATCTCATGACCTAGTTTCAGGGGAGATGGGTCAAAGAATTTTTTACAGCTAGCTCTCGCCCAGGAAGGCAGGGGATTGGAGAGTAAACTTTTTGCTTCTGCTGTTTTCTCAACTTCTAAGATGCGATATCTTGGAGTATTGTGTTCTGAATGCAGATACTGCATAATAAACCACTCCAAAACTGTGAGTCAGCAATCTGGGCTGAGCTCAGCTGAGATGGCTCATCTCTCTGCTCCACATGGGGCTCACATGTGCCTTTGCAGCCCATAAGCAGTGTGTGCCTCAGTTGGCACAGAATGTGGGGGGGCCCAGAGGGAGGGGATGCCAAGCCAGGCAGGGCAGCGTGGAATCACCCATGGGAGCAGCAGGGTCTTCACCCAGCTCCCAGCAGGGCAAAGCAGGGAAAAGGACATAGACCTCTGCTTTACCAAGGGGGCAATCTGGGACTTCTAAGTCCCAGCTCCCCTGCCCGTCTATCGCCTTTCAAAGGAATGAGCCCAGTCTGCTTAGAGAACCAATAACATGCCACATCATCCATCAGACCCTTTACAAAGCATTTTCTCATGTTACATCTTCCTTGACCCTGGCAACTATACAGTGAATCTGGTTTTGTTATTTTAATTCATATTTTACAAATAAGGACACTGAGGCACAGAGAAGCTAAGCAGTTTTCCCATGGCCACAAGCCAGTAAACATAGCACCCAGGATTCAAACCCAAGCTGCCCGACCTTCAAGTTAGCAAAGCAAAAGGAAAGGGGCAGGCCCGGCACGGTGGTTCATGCCTGTAATCCCAGCATTTTGGGAGACCAAGGCAGGTGGATCACCTGAGGTCAGGAGTTCGAGACCAGCCTAGCCAACATGGTGAAACTCCATCTCTACTAAAAATACAAAAATTAGCCAGGCATGATGGTGGGCACTTGTAATCCCAGCTACTCAGGAGGCTGAGGCAGGAGAATCACTTGAACCCAGGAGGCAGAGGTTGCAGTGAGCCGAGATCATGCCATTGCACTCCAGCCTGGGCAACAAGAGTGAAACTCTGTCTCAAAAAAGATAAATAAATAAAAAATGGAAAGGGGCAATTGGGGAAAAGCGATTTACTCCAACAAATGCAGGTGGCTCTTATCCACAAGGAGGAATTGAGGTAAGAAGTGATGAAAAGCAAGGCCGAAGAGTCAGCAGTGGCCAAGAAGTTCAGACTATTTAGATGGCAATGAGGGACTTTCAGAGGATTTGAAACAGAGGAATGCTAGACATTCAGCACATGGTGGGTGAATTACTGGTTGACTGGATAGGTGAATATTCAGACTTCTGTAACAGTCACTCTGGAAAAGCACAGAGGACTAGGAGATGGAGGGGAGAAGCACTATTGTAATCCAAGCACAAAAGGATGATGGCTGATCCAGGAAGCCTGTGGGAATGGAAAGAGACAAATCTGAGCGATACTTCAGAGGGTTAACCAGGCTAGTTGGCAAGACAGGGTGACTGAGAGTGGAATCCAGAAAGACCCCCAGATTTCTGACTTGGTCCCCAAACAGTGGGGCCATTCTCCAAAATACAGAATATGGGGATGGATGGGTGTCTGGGAGAGGCGGTGGGTGTGGTGTCACACCTGCTGAGCTTCGAAGGCCCGTGGACAGTTGGGTCATGACTCTGGAGCTCAAGAGAGAGGTCTGGCCTGAGATGCTTCTTTGGAATTCGTCAGCTTAAAGATGTGAGTTGAGTTCACAGAAAAGTGAAGGTTTTCCATTAGATAGTGTGTCAAATGAGATATGGCCAGCAAGAGCTAACTAGGGAAGACCAGCATTTAAGGGGTGGGAAGAAAACAAAAAGTAACAACCAGAGAGGAAGGAGAAAAGCCAGGAGGGAATCCCGGAGGCCAATTTAGGATGTATCTATTCCCTGCCCAGTGTTACTTTCCTTCTAGTACTTATCAACACCTAACCTTGTATTATGTATGTATTTGTGTATTCATTTATTGTCTGTCTCTCCCACTAGAAGGTAAACTCCACTAGGGCAGAAGCTTCTTGTCCCTAGTGTTTAGAAAGGGCCTGGCGTATAGTAGGTGCTCAATACGAATTTCTCCAAACATTGTTCGGCTACCACTGGGAAGCTGACTCTTAAAACCAGGTCAGCTCCCTCTTGTCTCTACATCCTGCAGTTCTCCATTGTGGCCATTAGGTGGCGCATCTGTATACGTGAGGAAACCGGAAGCTGGGATTACACGCGGCCCAGAACCAGAGAACCGGGCAAAACCACAAAAGGCAGCAAAGAGCTGGGCGGACTACAAACAACATTCGTCCGTTCCCTTAGCAGACATCGCCAAAGCACCAACTGCGAGCCAGGCTCATGCTTCCTGGGGCCCTCTGAAATTCAGACTGCGGGGAGGGAAGGGAGGAGAGTACCTGCCAGGTCTGAATGCCCCCTGGGACAGGCAGAGAGCCCGCTTCGCAGAGCTCTAGGGCCAGGACAAAGGCAGGGGTTAGTGGAAGGGCTGCTGCAGCTGCAGGGATAGTCTGGGAGCTGCTCTAACTCCAACAGAACATGTTGTAGGGTCAAAATCTCGAGTCTAAATTCCAACTTCACCACTTATGGCTGTGTGGTCTTTGCCAAGTAATTTGCCCTCTCTGAGTCTCAGCTTCTTAACCTATAAAATGAAGACCCTAATAGTCCCTGCCTCAAAAGATATTGAGAATAAAATGAGAGGACCTTGGCTCAGCACTTTTCACACAGCCACAAACCTAAATATTATTCCTAAAAATTAGACATAATAACCTACATTTGTATAGCCTTTTACAATGTTCTCTGTGTATCTTTCATATTGTAAGGTAATCCTCATGATAACCCTGCAAGATAGGTATTTTTATTATCTCACTTCCCAGATAAGAGGATTAAGGTTGTCGGATTATATAACTTGTCTACAATCATATGGCTCATAAAGTGATCGACTCAAGTCAAGTTCAGCTCAGCAAATGCATATGCCACCCTGTGCCCTGTGCAGCAGGCAGGCACTCTGCTGGGAGATGGGGATCCGGATGGAGATCATGGTTCAGGGAAGAGACACACACAGAGAGATTTCCATAGGATGTGGTAGCTAGTGAGTCAGGGGATGCCCAGGATGCTGTGGGATCATAGACAGAAGCCCTATACACTTGGCCCAACTGGCAGATTCTAGAAAGGCCGCTCAGAGAGGGTGCCCTCTGAACTAAGTCTCAAAGGGTGTGTAAGAGTGACCCAGGAGAAGACCAGTGGTCCAGGAGAACGCCAGCATTCCAAGCTAAAGAAACGGCATACACAAAGGAAGCTGTTCTGAAACAAGATCGTGTAACTCCAAAGCTAGTAAGCAGGGAGCAGTCTGCCCCTTTCTCTGGCCGGCCCCGGGGGAGCGAAGGGAGCAGGCAGCCTGTGAAGGGATCAAGGGTCCCCACACGTGCTCTTTGTCCAGTGAGCCTTCCCTTCATAGCACTTGTCAGTTTGTCATGATTTCTACCTCGGAACCCTTAGAGCAGCGCTCCTCCAGCTTGAAAATGTATGTGAATTGTCTGGGGTCTTTTCAAAGGCAGATTTTGACTTAGGAGGTCTGAGGTGGAGCACAAGAGTCTGCTTTTCTAACAAGCTCCCAGGAGGTGCCAAGGCTGCACACATGTCCGTCTTGGGCACTGGCCTGGAGTGGCAAGGGCCTCCCCATCAGCTCTAAGATGGCAGGCCGTGTATGGCTTCACTCAGCTATCATAGCCTCAGCTTGTGACATGGAGGAGGCTGGTGAGAGAAAGGTTGGGAGGGAGGGAGGCAGGAGGGCAGGACACATGGCAGGCTGACTGCAGGGCTGCAGCGGGGAACCTGGGGATGGAGAAGATGCTGAAGGTGTGGGAGATGCACCCCGAGGCTTCGGCATCCTCCCTCCACTGTAGTCAGTGCTGGAACTCCTAGCACTGACTCTCCCAGAGCCCCTGGGTCTGCGGCAGAACAAAATCAAAGAACCCACAAACGTCCTTCTCCCCACTCAGCCAAGTGTCTCTGATCTGTCACCATGCTCGGCCTGCCGCCCTCTCCCATCCTATGTTCCAGACAAATCAGAGGACAGCAGCCACGGAGAAACAGGCTGAGAATCAGCTCCCAGCACCAAGCCCCCCTCAGCCAGGCTTCCCTCTCTCGAGGAGAGACAGGGAGCACCAACCCTGATGCCACAGCAGCGCAGAGTTCCTACAGCGCTGTCCCAGCTGGCCTCAGAAGGGCTCCTGCTTTGCCCTCCTCCCTCCCACTACTCACGCAGCCCGTTCCCAACTGTACCCAATGCACACACACATGCATGCACACACACAAACACACATATACACACACATATACACACACACACTTACATACACATGTATACACACACCCATACACATGTATACACACATGTACATCTACATGCACATACATACACATACATATATACATATACACATACATACACACATACACACGCATACACACATACACACATATACATGCATATACATATACACATACACACGTGTACACACATATATACACATACACACATATACACACATGTACACACATATATACACACACACATACACACACACAAGATTTAAAACGCTGACCTCAGAAGCCAAAGCCCATGATAACCGTCCCCCCGGCCCCATCCCCACTCCCCTTCTGAGATTCTTTTATTTAACAAATAATATATTCAACAAATATTTCTTTAGCGCCTACTGTGTGATACAGCAATATCACAATGACCAAGATAGATAAGGTCTTTGTTGTCCTTTCTAGAACGGTGACAGATAATAAATGAACCCAGTGATCCAGAAAGTGCAGGGGTGGGTAGTGGAGAGTCACTGAAGGGCTCTTGAAGCTGCACCTTCATTGACGGGAAGAGCCAGCAGAGTGAGGAACAGGAAAGAGCGTTACAGACAGAGAGGAGCAGGGCAAGCCCGGCCCCGGAAGGAGCTGGGTTTGCTGAGCAGCAGAGACGCAGTGGGGCCAGGGTCTGCTGTGTAAGGAGTGGTTGGAACAGACCGAGGCCCCAGGGGCAGCGAGGGCCGTAAGTGCTGGTGCTTGCAGGCAACACCTACTCTCCTTCAGCGGGAAGCCCCTGGAGGGTTTGGTGTTGGTGATAGACCCACTCTGCCAGCATTGTGGGGAACTCGCTGCTCATTGAGTCAAATGAGAACCAGTCTTGCTCTCCAAAGGGCTGGGTGTCTATGAGGTTCTCCACCATGCAGTATGGGGGCAGGAGGGTGGTGCTGCTGGTCCCCCACCCCTCCAGCTGCCACCGATCAGCCATGCTCAGAGACCAACCATCCCAGGCTGATGGAGCATCGAGGAATTCCTGGAAGCCCAGCCAGGTCTCAGTTGGGTGACCAAGTGGACACTGGAGGAAATTCCCTCAGTGCTGTCCTTGTCCTGGCACCAAGAGAGTTTTTCCAGCCTGCTCAGACGAGGCTGGCCAACCTGGCAAACTGTCTCTAAAAAAAGGGGAGTATAGAGGTTAGAGAGAACCTTAGTGCGTGAAATAGATGAAAGCTTTACCTCTCCAGTTACAGCCAGGATGTGCGTCCCAAGCCCACCCTCACCCTTCTTTGCTCTCGTCACTGGTAACTTTGGGTCAGCCTCTTGTGCTCTCTGGCCTCAATTTCCCTCTCCCCATGCCACCTGTCCACCCGAGACCCCATTGTCTTTGGCAGCAGAACTTGGGGAAAGCTTTTGGGGGCTCCCTCCCACACACAGGGAAAGGGACGGGTACCCCCACCGCCCACCCAAACAAGGCAAAGTCTGCAGAGCTGGGCAGGTAGGGGCAGAGCAGGGAGGGAGACTGAAGCTGCCTGCTCCAGTCCTGGCCAATGGGAGAGTAAACTGTAAAGAGCTCAGCATCCCGCGATGATGTGTTTCTTTCATAATCAATGCCCCAGGAGCCAGCTGGGTGCAGGAGTGTCGCTCAGCCACCCCCGGCTAAGGCCGCGCTGTGGCCTCTTAGGCTGGCTTCCAGCTCTGGGGACCCACTCTGCCTGGGATCCGCTCAGTCCTCCCCAGGCTTCAGTGCCCCAACAGTTAATGCCATTTTTTTCCTGACTGACAACAAGCACAACACCAAAACAGTCAACTATTTTTATCTCCGGATTAATCACGAAAAGGCTAACGCCTCCACCTTCCTTGTGATTAAAAATTAGAAGCCCAAACTCTATAGTGGTTGAGGATAATAACCAATCCTGCGAGGGGGTGATGAATAATACATCTCCAAGCGGGGACCACTCTGAAACTTCCTCCCCTCGCCACTGCCTGGCCCAGCCTGGCCGAGTCTGAATGGGGAGGTAATGAGGAGCCCCCTTCCACGCCAGACACAGCTGCCAAGAGCGACTGCTGATTTCTCTTCAGCCTGCTGGCCCCCAAACATCCTCCATCCTCACCAACCCCCACCCCCCCCCAGCCCCCACCCCCATCTGGTGTGCAGTGAAGCGAAGACCAATCAATAATGCCTGGCTACATGAATACCCAGCATGATAACCACTTATTTGGGAAGATGTAATCAGGCCCCATTCTGAGGGTGGATGTATGTGCGTGGCTGTGCGTGTGCCTGAGCACTCCCACAACACGCCCCACTCCCTCCTCCCTCGTCCTCGCTGCCTCTAATCCGATATTCCAGTAACACAACACTCCAGCCACAAGGAGGAAGGGCCCGTCCTCTGGGTCTTGGATTCTCGGGAAGGCCTTGGTGGCTGCACTGTGCTCAGAGCAAGCAGAGGCTCCTGCCCCTCAGCCCAGAGTCCAGAGCCCAGAAAGCTGGTCCTGCCATGGGACCCCCTGGGGAGCTCCCCAAAGTCCTGATGCCTGGGGTCCCCTCCAGAGACTGGGACTTGGCTGCTCAGGGTGTGGCCCGCAGTGAGGTTTTAAAACCTCTGCAGAGGAGCATGCAGTCAAGGCTTCAAACCCCTGTCCAAGGCCCAGTAAATGTCCGTGCTGGAGAGCGGTCAGTTCCCAGATCCTCCGAGCTCTCACGTTTGCACCTGAAGCCACCCTGAGAGAAGGGGCTTCCTGCTCCACCCTCTGCTCTCAGGCACTTTCCACAGTCACTGGGAAGGCTGAGGCCCCAGGTATCCAGGCTGTCCCCAGGGCTCCACGTGGCTCTTTTTCCAGGCCCTCAGCTAGCTCATGGAGCCCGAGCTCCTCCATCCTGGTCGGGGAGGCTGCCTTGAAGAAAGAAGGGTGAAGGCTGGCCACCTCTGAGCCCTGCTCTTCCTGCTGCAAGTCCCCCACTCACCGCGTGGAGATGCAATTCCCCTCCTCCACAAGTGGTTGCACCCACCCCCACTTGGTGGAAAGCCCTGAGCCGCCTCCGTTTTGCCCTGTGGCCAGGCCCACCCCAAGGAGGCCCATGGGCACTAATGAAAGGGTGTGGGGTGGGCGGCTGGGGGGTCGTCTTCTCCATCCATCCCATTCATGCCTGCTTCCTCCCGGCTCAAGAGCCCAGGGCCAGGCAGGGTTGCCTGAGGCAGACTCTGTTCCTGAGCCAGGATCTCGGTGGAGTCCGGGGCTCGCTGCCCCTGGGGTCAGTGATGGCTTCTCGGAAGCCCTGGGAGGTTGCTTGTTCCTCAGGAAATGGCACTGCTGTGCTGTTAGTGTGGGAGCAGGCCTCCAAGGCCGGGCAGGGAGGGCAAGGCAGCTGTTCTGAAGGTTTGCTTCTTGGCTTCTTACCGGCCCCCACTGGGGCTTCCTGTCCCTCCTGGAGCTTTCACAGAAGCCGGAGTGGACTAGGAGAAGGGCTGACGGGGCGATCCCCTGAGAAGGGGAGGGAAGTTCCCATGCAGGCTGAGGCTGGAAGGCTGAGCCAGTGGAGTCAGGACGGGCCCGGAGCTGTGACTGTTCAGCTCTGAACTTCTCCAGCCCAGAGCCCCGAGCACAGAGCCTGCATAGAAGGGCGGGCTTCTCTGGCCACCAGGCAGAGAGGACCCTTTGTGCTAGGTTCCCACGCCCCCGTTATCCAACTACCCCTTCTGTGTTTGCTGTGTACACAGACAGCTCACGTCTTGATGTGTCCAGAGGCCCTGGGCCTCTCTCAGCCTCCAGAGCTGGTGGGCCCAGCTCCTCCTGGGGTAAGGGAAACAGGGATTCCTCAGAGGACAGTCGCCTCACCTCCTGTCCCTTCTGTGGCTTGTCCAGGGAGCAGCAGAGGCCTGAGACTCTCAACGTGTCCCCAAGCACAAGCATGGGAAAGGCCCTGTGTCCTAGGCAAGGTACTTCAGATTTCTGGGCCTCTCCTCCAAACCATGATCATCCACCATCCTTCAGCCCATGGTCCTCATCGGAATCAAAGGGTGACCCCAGTGGGGCCAGCAAATGTCAGTGGAGTTTCCCCAGCACAGGGCTCTGTGCTGGGCACTGCGGAGACCGTGCTCCGACGCGGATGGCCCTCTTCCTGGCACTCAGGATCCCTTGATGGGAGCCACCCGTCTCTGACCCTACTACAAAATGCAGTGGAAGGCTGGGACAGGAGAGAATCAGGCTGCCTCTGGGGATGAAGGGGCTGGAGCCGCTCTGGAGGAGTGAGGAGCTCAGGAGATGCCAGCGCTTACACAGCCCTCCGAAGCGCTGGCTCCACTGTGAAGGGCTGCCCTGTACCCTGCTCCCTGCCAGGGAAGGGGCCGGCCTGGTGCTCCCAGGTTCCCTGGGCCTGGCCTCCAGCCCTGGCTCTGCCACCATGTGACCTTGAGCCAGTCACTAATCTTGCTGGAACTCGGCTTCCGGATCTGTGTCATTGGGGTGGTAATGTTGACCTCACCAGACTGTTGTGAGGACTAACTCAGACAGCAGGTGTGACAGTGCTTCATTTAAAGAAAAAAGAAAAGCCAGGTGCCGTGGCTCACGCCTGTAATCCCAGCACTTTGGGAGCCTGAGGCGGGTGGATTACCTGAGGTCAGGAGTTCGAGACCAGCCTGGCCAACATGGTGAAACCCCATCTCTACTAAAAATACAAAAATTAACCAGGTGTTGGCCGGGCATGGTGGCTCAGGCCTGTAATCCTAGCACTTTGGGAGGCAAGGCAAGCAGATCACCTGAGGTCAGGAGTTCAAGACCAGCCTGGCCAACATGTTGAAACCCCAACTCTACTTAAAATACAAAAAAAAAAAAAAATTAGCCGGGCATGGTACCACGTGCTTGTAGTCCCAGCTACTTGGGAGGCTAAGGCAGGAGAATCACTTGAACCTGGGAGGCAGAGGTTGCAGTGAGCCGAGATCATGCTACTGCACTCCAGCCTGGGTGACAGAGACTTCATCTCGAAAAAAGGAAAAAGAAGTTAAAAAGCAGCCACAGACATCGCCTGGGCCACAGAGCTCTGCTTCTGGGTCTGGGAGTGCAGGCTGAGGCTGCTGGCCCTGTCCCCTCCTGGCAGGTCCTGAGCAGGGATGCGATGACTGGCAGGAATATCCTCCACTGTAAGCACGCAGTGCACATGTCAGGGATCACTGTGGGTGCTGCTCTCATCATTACGATACAAGCGGACGATGCGTTTTATTAATGTGTGATAATTATTGTTTGTTGCCATCTCCACAAAATCCTCCCAGCCTGCCTGCCGTCCTGCCCGAGGTGGGAGCCTCGGCCTGACCTCACTGCTTCTCTCCCCGCAGTGCCGCCTGATGACCCCGTCATCCTGGGGGGCCCTGTGATCAGCCTGCGTGCGGGGGACCCTCTCAACCTCACCTGCCACGCAGACAATGCCAAGCCTGCAGCCTCCATCATCTGGTTGCGAAAGGGAGAGGTCATCAATGGGGCCACCTACTCCAAGGTGAGGCCTGGAGGGGAGGGGGTGGGTGTGGACGGGCTTCAAGGGGAGTGGGTGGGGAGGGGGCTAGGTGGACAGGGAGTTGATGGGGAGGAGGCTAGGTAAGGAGGGGGCTAAAGGAGCGGGGGCTGGATTAGGAGGGGACTAGGAGGGGTGGAGGTTAAGTAGAGAGGGGGTTAGGCGGGGGGCTAGATGGGGGCCTAAGAGGAGAGGGGCTGGGGGGTTAGGTAGAGAAGAGGATGGTGGGGGCTGGGGAGAGGGGCTGGGGGGGTTAGGTAGAGGGGAGGATAGTGGGGGGCTGGTTGGCAGGGGCTGGGGGTTAGGTAGAGAGGAGGATGGTGGGGGGCTGCTGGGGAGGGGCTGGGCTTAGGTAGAGGGGGGATAATGGGGGCTGGATGGGGAGGGAACCAGCTGCCCTGTCTCTCTGCAGCTGTCCCTCTCTCCTGCCCCTTTTGGTTTCTCTCACTCTTTGTCTCCTTGTATCTTTTTTTGCTCTCTCACTCTGTGTCACTTTTTCTCATTCATGCTGTGGTTCTCCTACTCATTTGTATGTGTGTCCATCCTTTTATCTGACTTGTGCTCTCTCTCTCTCTCTCTCTCTCTCTCTCCTCTATGTCCTAGGGTAACTGCTGGGGAAGACCCTAACAATAGGCCATGGTCAGACGAGGAGACTCAGGGACAGTAGTGGCCAGGTTCTAGGGGTGCAGATAAAATGCAGGATGCAATCACGGTCTGAATGTTTGTGGCTCCCAACATTTCTATGTCAAGATCCTAACCCCCAAGTATGAGGAGGTGGGGCCTTTAGGAGATGATCAGGTCATGGGGGTGGAGCTTCATAAATGGGATCAGTGCCCTTACAAAAAAGAGGCCTGAGGGAGACCCCTTGTCCCTTCCACATTGTGAGGACACAGTGAGAAGAGGGCATCTATGAACCAGGTGTCTGTCCCTCAACAGACAACAAATCTGCGTTGATCTTGGACTTCCCGGCCTCCAGAACAGTGAGAAATAAATGTCTGTGGTTTATAAGCCGCCCAGTTTATATATCTTGTTATAGCAGCCCAGCTGGGCTAAGACAGATGCCCAGTTAAATTTGAGTTTCAGAAAAATAATAACTTTTTAATGTAAGTATCTTCCAAATACTGCATTGGACATACTCACAAGCCATACTTATACTAAAGAAGACAGTCATTATATATCTGAAATTCACATTTAACTGAGTATCCTGTATTTTATTTGCTAAATCTGGCCACTTTCCAGGGCTGCCAGGTGAAGCCGTTTAGGCTCCACCATCTCCAAGGTGCCTGGCTCAGGGGCCAGGGAGGGCTGAAATCCAGCCCATGATCCCTTACCCAACAGCCCTTGCCCTGCTGTGTCTACCAACAGGGGTTCTGGTCTCTAATTCACACACGATACCAAGGGCTGGAAGCACCCTGAACTGGCCCCCGTATTAATTGTGTCTTTAAAATGTTGTGTATTTTATGATGCTTTGACATCTGGGGCCTTGCAGACCCAGGGAAGGACCAGGGTAAGCTAATTCCTGGAGATAGCAAGCAGGCTTTATATCAAAGCAGACCAACCAATCCAGAGCCCAGGCCCCCACAGCCTTTTTTCATCAGGCTCCATAGTCCAGGACATTATACCCCTACCCTAAATCTCCCCAGGGCCACACATCAGACCACCCCTACAGCTCAGGGCCCAGGGAAATTATTCAAGCTATCCAATCCTAAACCTGCTGAGCCACCAACCCTACCTCACCATTCCTTCCTATGAAAGCAAGCCACAACAGAGGCTGTGCCCACACTCTCCCCACACCTCCCACCCCAGCCCCAACTGACCCTGGGGCCTCCCCTTCCTCTGGGAACTATGAGTAGCAAACTGTCTTTTCTTTTTTTCTTTCTTTTTTTATTTTTTATTTATTTTATTTATTTATTTATTTATTTTGAGACAGAGTTTCACTCTTGTTGCCCAGACTGGAGTGCAATGGCGTGATCTCAGCTCACCGCAACCTCCACCTCCTGGGCTCAAGTGATTCTCCTGCCTCAGCCTCCAGAATAGCTGGGATTGCAGGCGTGTGCCATCATGCCCAGCTAATTTTTTTTTCTTTTTTTGTATTTTTAAAAGAGACGGGGTTACTCCATGTTGGTCAGGCTGGTCTCAAACTCCCGACCTCAGGTGATCCACCTGCCTCAGCCTCCCAAAGTGCTGGGATTACAGGACTGAGCCACTGCGCCCGGCCGCAAACTGTCTTTTCAACGGCAGTTGTCTCCTGATCTGTTGGCCTCCCTCTACCTGAATAAAAACAAAATTCTGGGTACATTTTTAAACAGCCCCCACCAAACTCCACTCAACAAAACTGTGCATAGAGTCCCAGATGGGGTTAATGTACCACAGAGCCTCTAAGATGAATGAGGCCTTACAGTATACCTGGGCCAACCTCTTTTGTCTGCAGCTAGAAAATTGAGGCCTGGTGGGGAAGTGACTGTCCTTCTCAGTGGTGGAGTGGGCAGTGCCAGGCCTGGAACCACAATTCCTGACACCCTGGCCTCTGCCCTTGCCCATGCTCCTCCTAGGGCAAGCCGGTCCCCCAAGCTCCGCAGCTGGGGGCCCAGCCTCCAGAACGCCCGCTCGCCTCAGGTCTGAGGGTTTTCCTTGTCCTCAGAGACTGGGGAAATACACGGCCTGGTTCCCCCTACCCACCAGTCCTCTAAGCAATCCTGGAAAGATAAGCAGGGCCTTGGTCATCCGAGGATGTGAGGCAGGCCCGTCCCCACTCTGAGGGTGTGTCTTTCCTGTCCCAAACTGACCACCTGCCAAGAGGTCACTCCAGGGCTGCCGATCAAAGAACCCAGCACCTGGTGCCAGAACCCAGGGCAAACTCCTTCCCTCAGACACAAGTCCAGGGGGAGGGAGGGATGGCTGCCTCTTGGAAGACAAGCCTCTCCCTTATGTCCTGGGCTGAAGCCACCCTGTCCTGTTATGTAATACAAGGATATAACACAGAGAGAGAGTTGTCCAGAGGAGAATGAAAAGGAAGGATAGGGGCTTTCCTTCCAGTCTGAGCACCTGTCCTGTCCCTCCCTGAACTTGGGCCAGCCTGGACCCTAGCAGAGTCAATGTCCTGCAGAGGACACATGCCATCAGGTGGAGAGAGAGGTCAGGGTCACTCTGCTGGACCTGTCCCAGGATCACCTTGAGCTCAACATGTCATCCTTGTCTACATTGTGAAGGCCCCTCGGAGAGCCTGGTACCATACTACTGCACAGCAGGGCGGGGGACCCGATCCATGCTCCTGGGCCTGTGACGGGAACGGCAGCGCCAGGCAGTCGCAGGCCTGGGTTCCAGCTTCCACTGCATAACCTCAGGCAACTCACTCCCTGGGCATCTGTTTCCTCGTCTGCAAAATGAAGGTGTTGGATCAGACGCTCCGGAAGAGAAACAGATTCCTCAGGGGACAGTCACCTCAGATGGTCTCCTGCCCCTCTGTGGCTTGTCCAGGGAGCAGCAGAGGCCTGAGACCCTCAATGTGTCCCTGGACATGAGCATGGGAAGAGGCCCTGTGTCCCAAGGCAAGGCACTTCATTTCTCTGGGCCTCTCCTCCAAACCATGGTCATCCACCATCCTAACTGTCCACCCCACGGCCAGTGGTTCTCATGGAGACCAAAGGGGTGACCAGCAGAGCCCGCACACGTCAGTGGAGCTTCCCCAGGCACGGGGCTGTGTGCCGGGCAGGGAGAAGCTACAAGCCTGTGATGTGGAGTATACCCAGTAGGTTACACAATCCAGGGCTCCTATGGAGCAGGCTCTGGGGGCTGTCCGAGCCAACCCCTCTGCTTCCCCTCCCAGGGACCCAGCCCACCCCCTCCTCCCCCAGGGCTGCAAGGAGCCCTGCCATAGGCCAACAGCACTCCTGACTTCCCCAGAGAGGCTACATATGAGGAGGGGCCAGAGCATCAGCCGCAGAGAGGAAGAGAAGCTGGGAGCACACACAAAATCAGGCAGCCTCCAAGGACCCCAGAAAAGACCCCTCAGGGCAGCCCTGGCTGCTGTCGGGTCTGACGCCCTCAGTGGCTGTCACATGGTGGATGATTATCCCCGTGGGCTCAGGAGCTGGCAGCCTGAATTTGGATCCGGGCTCTGCCACCTTCCAGCTGCGTGACCTCACCTTGCCGTGCCTCCCTGTCCTTGCCATACAATGGGAACGACAGCAGCACCCACTTTAAGGGGTGCTTGTGAGGAGTTGAATGAGAAACACGCCTGGCACATAGCGAGCTTGCAACAAGCACTGCTGTTGGGATTGTCACCCCCTCACTGGATCCACACGGCTGCAAGGTCCACCCCACTATGGACCTCGCGTTTCCCATATGCAGACATCGGTGTCATAGTTAGGCTGGCCACATGGTTCTGAAGGCCTAGCTCAAACCTGGGATCCGTAACATAACATGGTGATGTCACCCTCTGCCTCAGTTTCCCCAGCTGCAAAATGCAGTGATAATGATCACGGATGTCTGTTAGGGTTGCAGAGTGACTTACAAGAAATTATGCATCAGAAGCACCCTGTCAAGGGCAGGAGTAAGGACTGGATAAATGTGAGCTACTATTATTGGCTCCTGTCCCACAGGGGGAACCCCAGTTCCCTGCCCCAGGGGTCATACAGCTATTTCATAAAACACCAGGCCTGTTCTCAAAGTTTCTGGGTTGCTCACCGACCATTCTCTCTGTGACTCCACCATGGGACCAGTAGGGGAGGGATGAGCCTCAGCCCTGGAGGGCACCAGGCCCCTTCCCCAGGAGGAAGGGCAGGAGAGGAAGCACCCAGTCCCTCCCCCAGCACAGGCTGGCCATGCTTCTCCTTAACAGGCCACTGTCACAGCCTCCAGGGTGCAGGGCGAGCCACACTGCCGGATGGGGCCTTGGGCAGTGCCCACTGCAGGCTCCCAGCGGGTGTCGGCTGCAGAGGCACAGAGCAGGAAAAGGCCCCTCCAAGCTTCTTCCTGGAGACTCAACCCTGGGCTGTCTGGGGACAGTGGGTTCCTTCCCTGTTCCTCATACTTCTGAGGGCCTGGCGCCAGAGTGGAGACCACATTCTTTCTTCTGGAAAGCCCCCAAGTCCACACAGCAGGGGAGGAAGGATGGGTTACGGAAGAGGAGGGGCGAGAGGACAGGCTGAGCCCAGAAAGAACCCTTCCTAAGTGCAGCTTCCTGCCAGGCAGGAGGGTTGCAAGGTCTTAGCACGCACAGTCGTGTCTGTGTCTGCTTGGAGCCCCTTGCCCTCTACCCCTACCACCAGGACCACTGGCCTCGCCTTTTACCACCTTTGCTAAGAGGAGCTCTGGAGACCCCACTCAGGAAAGGGATAAGTGCCCACATGCATAGGGCCCTCACCCTCCACTGGGCACCCCCTCCCTGGTCACTCACCCATCACCCTGCACCTATCTGCCCAGCTTAGGGGCCTAGAGTCTCCACTGGGTGTGGCCGAGGCTCATCCTGGCCTTCTCTGTGAAGGGCACCCCTCTGGCCTCTGGCCTCAAGGCTGGATGCAGGGACTGGGGCAAAAAGCACTGCGCATCCTCCACCTGGCCCACACACCCTTATTCAAGCCAGGTGGCAACCAGCCCATGGGGAGCCCCAAGCAGCTATCAAAAGGGGAAGCAGAGCCATGATTTTTTAAAAAAAAAAAAAAAGGGACCCAGCAGGTGGGGAAGGTGAGTAGCGGGGAGAAGCGAGGCGGCCTTGCTGCCAGGCAATCAGGCTACTCTCGGCCTTTCCAGACGGTTTGCCTGTCATCGGGCACCCCATATTTAGCACCAGTGCTTGGGCCCCCACCCCTTGTCTGCCCTCCAGCCCACCCATTTCCGAGAGCTCAGCCTGGCTCTCCACTGCCCAGAGGAGGCCCTGGGGGCTTTGGAAAGAGCAGAGTGGCCAGCCACTGCCACCCAAGCAGGAAAACCATGGGGTGGGGTACACTGTGTACAACCATACCTGGGAAGACCGGCCTCCCAGGCCGGTGCTGGGGAACTAGAGAAGTGAGTGCCAAATCCCTGCCCTTAGGGAGGGGCAGTGGGGGTGGGTGCACAGCCCTGAGGCGGCACCTGAGCAGGCAGCGTCCAGAGAGAACCTGGGGCCCCGCAGAGTCACGGCAGTCAGTGGACAGAGGCCCATGAACACCCAAAGACAAAAACAGGTACGCGCACATACCCACGGGGGTGTATGCCCTGGCACGCTCGTTCCCGGACACATGCTGCACACACGCCATCTATATGCCTGCCCCTGGCCCATATCTGCACACACAGGAGCTGGGTCCTCGGGGACTCTTGGGAGCCACCATGGCAGTCACATGGGCAACCTGGGCGAGCCGGGGGCTGGCAGCACGTTAGTGCTCACCACACTGGAGGGAGGCCTTGGAGGCGGTGGCTCCCACAGTGAGTGGCCCACCATGAATAACTCACTTCCTTCTGGAGCTCACCTGCAAGGCATGAAGCTTTCTGAAGCAGGAGGTGGGAGGTTCAATGCCCATGGTGTGTCCCCAGAGCCAAGCTCAGTGAAGGGAAGCAGGGAAGGGAGGGGCGGAGTGGAGCTGCGACTAGAACCTGCAGATGATAGAATGTTCTCCTGGACAGTACCTTCAAGGCTGCAAAGTCCAGAGGCTCCATTTGCATATGAGAAAAGTGACAATTAGGGGAGATTCATTTCTGAAAAGGAGTGAAGCAAAAGAAACAAGAGAGGCGAGATCAGAAAGGAATGGGGGAAGAGAAACCCGGGGGTGCAGATCCCCCGTGCCCCTCCACATCCCGCCCTGTCCTGCAGGTGCAGGGCTCCCTCCAGCCTTCCCCCTGGGCCCCCCAGCTCTGTCCCACCTTCCTCCCCTCAGTCGTCCTGCAGCAGAGCTGGCAGACCCAGCCTTCCTCCCTGGGATACCCGCTGCACGGGGCCTGGGGTCCCCCGCGAGCTAGGGGCCCAGGAGGTGCTGGGACCTTCCACGGGGACAGAGAGGGTGTTGGTGCTGGGGCACGTGCCTTCCCCTCACCCTCCTTTTGTTTAATGAACACATCTCCCTTTTTCTCTAATTAGGTGGAACAAACAACTTGAACCAGAATTTTTATTTCCCAGAAAAGCACACGCCTGGACCCAGTAAATATGTCATTAATCATCATTCCGAGGCGGAGGAGCACGCTGGGTGCAGGGAGGAGGGGGAGCAGTCAGAGGGCCTAATTAGAGCTGGGTCCCCTCCCTCCCCTGCCACTGGCACCCACCGCCCAGAGCCCATCCGTTGGAAGGGCTCCTGGCAGAGTCAAGCTTATGTAAATGTCCCTTGTTAGCACAACGGAAATGTAAAGAAGAGAAGAAGAATACCAACCTGCTCCTCACCACCTCCCCGCCCCTGCGCGCCCTACCCGAAGTCTTAGTTTCATCCAGGAAATTGTTCTTATTATCACTTGGCTATTTATAGACTCGATGAGGTCTGCTGAAGAGCCCAAGGCAGGGTGGTAAAGCGGTGCCAGCTGCTGCTCCCTCCCTGCCCGGGCTTTGGCTTGGGGTTCAACTTCACTCCTCTGCAGTGGTCCTGCCCCCGGCTTGCTGCATCTGGCCACGTCACTCTCCTCCAGCCCCTCTGCCCAGGGCCGTGGCTGGCACCCTGAGTCCCAGGCCTGCAGCTGCACCGCGTGGCTCTCTAGAATGTCACAGTCCGGCTTTGCCTCCAGCAAGATGTGCTGTTCTATATAGAGGCTCTGGCCCTGTTCTCCTGACGCCACGAGGTTTGCCCCAAGTTGAGAAAAACCTCACTGAATTAAGGACCCAGAATGTGGGGTTCTAGGAGCTTACAGGTTTCTCCCTGTGGCCCTAACTGTTCCCATCTGTCCTGCCAAGAGCACGGTACCCACCGTCCAGCACCCCCGGGGCTGCAGCAGAGGCTGTGGCTCAGGGTTCACCCATTCTTAAGTGCAAATCCTAGCTCCACCCAGCAAGTTCCCGGCTCACTTGGAACACAGGTTTCTCTTTGGCTAATCAAAGATAATGCTGCTGTCTTCCGGGGCCCTCATAAGAATTAGAGACATTGCCATTGTCACTTTATGGGAGGTTTTGAGGGAGGAGTGGTCTGTTCATCTACTCCCTGGCTCCAGTCGGGGGAAACAGGACTGCACCCATAGTGAGGTTCCTTCCTAGTACCTCCTAGTAGCAGAAGCCTTTGCATACTGACCAGACCCCAATCCCAACCTGGAAGTGCACCCCCACACACACTCAGCACACCCTCCCCGGGGTGCACCTGACTTAGTGCGCCCCAAAGTGATGGGGAAGTAGCTGCAAAGAGGAACAGGAGAGGGAAGGAGGTAGCAGCCACAATGGGGAACTAGCTTCGGAATGACATTGTGGCCCAGTAGAGAAAAGCAATGACCTGGGAAGGTGGGAGACCAGCAGTTAAGATGGGTTTGCTTCCTAGGGCTGCCATTACAAAGCACCACAATTCGGTGCATGACACAACAGAAATCAATTATCTCACAGCTGTAGAAGCCAACAAGTCTGGAATCAAGGTGTCAGCAGGGCTGTGCCCCTCCAAAGGCTCCAGGGGAAAATCCTTCCTTGCCTCTTCCAGCTCCTGGCAGCTCCTGGCATTCCTTGGCTTGTGGCAGCATCCCTCCAATCTCTGCCTCCACCTTCACCTGGCCTTCTCTGTTTCTCTCTGTCTTCTCCTCATCCTCCTCTTCTCCTCCTCCTCCTCTTCTCTTTCACTTTCTCTTTATCCTTCTCCTTCTTCTTTTTCTTTTTCTTTTTCTTCTTCTTCTGAGGCAGGGTCTCACTCTGTGGCCCTGGCTGGAGTACAGTGGCACAACCTCAGCTCACTGCAGCCTCAACCTTCCGGGATCAAGTGATCCTCTCACCTTAGCCTCCCAAGTAGCTGGGACTACAGGCACAAGCCACCATGCCTGGCTAATTTTTTTTTAATTTTTTTCTTTTTTTTTTTTTTTTTGGTAGTGACAGGATCTTCCTATGTTGCCCAGGCTGGTCACCAAGTCCTAGGCTCAAGCAATCCTCCCACCTCAGCCTCCCAAAGTGCTGGGATTACAGACATGAGCCTCCACACCCAGCAGACTCTCTTCTCTTCTTCCAAGGACACCAGTCATTGGGTTTAAGGCTCACTCTGAATCCAGTATGACCTCATCTCAAGAGCCTTAACTAATTACTAATTGCTTAACTAAACTGCAAAGACCCTATTCCCAAATAAGGTCATATTCTGAGGTTCCTGGTAGACAAGAATTTGGAGAGGACACCATTCAACCTGCTGTAGGAGACTAGTACTTATTTCAGGACCAACTTGAAATGTGAGTTTGGTCAAGCTCCATAGCCTCTGTCTAGCCCACCTATTTCCTCCCCTATCCAATGGGAGATAATGGTATCTGTCCCACCTATGGTTTGATTGAGACTCTAATGAGATCAGGGAGTGAAACGCTTTGGAAAGTTGAAAGGATTTATATAGGCAAATAATCGAAAGGTTGATGTGCACTGATTCTGCCCATATCCCCACCCACTCTGACTCCCATTCCCCAAACTGTGCCTCCTCTGCAGACTGTCCCCGCTCAGGGGCCACAGTCCCTGCTGGTTGCAAACCATCTCGTTGCTTCCTACAGAGCCTGAGACTGTCACTCAAGCACCAGAGGCAAAAAGATGTGAGTTCATTTCAACATGGGACCTCCCTGAAGCCTGGTTTCCATGAAACCCATCCTGCTTTCTTTTGTGCTTTTAGCATGTGAATCCAGGCTAATTTTCACATGGTGGAAAACTGTCTAGTTCCTTTTTCCTTCCACAGCCCAGCACTTAGCCAGGCCAGGGAGCCAGGGGGTAACCCCCGAGCTCTGCGTAGACATGGGCAGCCCAGGTCTCCTAAGCTGAACCCCTCCATCCACAGCTCCCCCTTCTGTCTAAGCTGGTGCTCGTTTACCCCCAACCCAGGCTGGCCACCCCAGCCAAGCGACATGGAGCTTTCTCTCCCCTTTCCCTTTCTCCCAAGACCCTGCTTCGGGACGGCAAGCGGGAGAGCATCGTCAGCACCCTCTTCATCTCCCCTGGTGACGTGGAGAATGGCCAGAGCATCGTGTGTCGTGCCACCAACAAAGCCATCCCCGGAGGAAAGGAGACGTCGGTCACCATTGACATCCAGCGTGAGTACCCACCCCCTCCCCCAACCCAGCCCTGCCAGGCCCAGGGTGAAACACCCAGCAACCCTGACCATAGCCTGGCCCATCTGATAGCAGGAAATGGGTCAGGCAGCTCTGTGGATTGGCCAGCTTGTAGATACGGACAGGAAGGACCATCTTGTCTTCCTTACTGTCATGAGATGCAACCTCACAGATGAGGGTCTTTCGCAAAGGACATCTTCAGGCCACATTTCAACACCTGTACAAGGTGGGACTTTCACACCAATAAATACGGTCAGCTGCTGCCTCTGCTGGCCTAGCCGGTGGCCCCTCTGTTGGAGGGGAAGTCTGAGTGGAGATGCTGGTATTTGAAGGGTCCCCAGGCTTCAGAATTGGCAAGCAGCGCTGTGCTCTGGAGAGGGTGCACCAGCCACTCTCATGGAAGGGTTGATCAAGGGGACAAGAAGAAGGAAATCTACATGTATTATCTCATTTAATCTTTTTTTTATTCTTTCGAGACAGAGTCTCACTCTGTTGCCCAGGCTGGAGTGTAATGACGCAATCTCGGCTCACTGCAACCTCTGCTGCCCAGGTTCAAGCGATTCTCCTGTCTTAGCCTGCCTGAGTAGCTGGGATGACAGGCATCCATCACTACACCCAGCTAATTTCTGTATCTTTAGTAGATATGGGGTTTCACCATATTGGCCAAGCTGGTCTCAAACTCCTGACCTCAAGTGTTCCGCCCGCCTTGGCCTCCTAAAGTGCTGGGATTACAGATGTGAGCCACTTCGCCTGGCCTTATTTAATCTTTACAACAACTGTTTGGAGAAGGTGCAACTGTGGTCCCTACCGTGGGAAACTGAGGCACCGAAAGGGTGATTAACTTGCCCAAGACCACTTAGGTAGCATAGATTTCCAGAGTCCACCCTGGTAACATCCTCTCCACACTCCTGCCCAGCCAGCCCTCGGTGGCCCGTGTTAGGATTCATGTTGACAGTTATGATGCTTCAGGGCTCCACCAGCATCGCATCCCACAACCACCTAACAGAGACCCCTGAAAGTCTCCTAAAAGTCTCCCTAAGGTGCCTGTCAGCCCCAGAACCAAGAAGAGCTCAGCAAGGTGTTCCAGGGGCCTTCCTCTCAAGACTGGATTAGTTCAGTTTAAAGAGTCAGGACTCAAAAGTGGACTTCTCTCCTCTGAGATCCCCTCCCTGCCGCCAAACATAACGCTACTGCAAGCAGGTGGCTGCTTCTGTCCTGGGCTCTGAATTTCAAGGCTGGAGCTGCAGGCTGGCATTCGTGTCCTCCTTAGCCTTTTACTCATTTTAAAGCAAGTGCATTTAAAAACACTTCCTAACAGCCCTGATTTCTCTAAGCCTTGTGGATTCTGGGCTCCGAGTGTCTCTCCAGGGACCTGGAGTCCAGAGATGGGGTCCAGGTCTTAAGGTTCTGAGAGCTCATCTTGGCAGCTGAGAGCAGAAGTTCCCAGCCAGTGTCTAGAATCCTGACAGACACCATTTAGATTCCAGAGGGCAGAAGAAATGGTTGAAAACCTCAGGTAGGCTCAAGATACCCACACACAAAGGCTGAGTTCTTGGGGCGGGGGGGACTTTATCTTCACTGTCTTGCCACCAGCTATTAACAAACATCTCTGTCCCCCCTACAACCCCCGACATACCCCTGTACCAAGGAGCCTTCTGGCATCCTCATTCACAAGCAGCCAGGGCCGCGGAGCTCTGGCCAAGCCTAGAGCTAGGGTGACTGAAGGAGGTCCCGGGGCACACAGTGCAAGCAGGGCTGGCCCTGAAAGTGAGGCCAGGCCTCCTTAATCTCCGACCCTCGGCTCTTCCCCCTCACTGGCCCTGGCCCTGGCCTGGGTCCTGGGTCTGAGCACCGCCTCCTCCTGTGTGGTGAGCAGCCACATGGAGCAGTAAGCCCCACTGGAAAAGGTGAGATGCCGCAAAGCCATGCAGTCCAGCATCCACGACGGCTCCACAACCCATGGGTGGGCTGGGCCTACGCCTGTCACATCACCCTAGGGGACTCTGGTTCCTTGTCTGATTTGGCCAAATGACATCCAAGGCCCCTTCTTGCCCGAGGACTGGCCACGGATCAGAGCTCTCTGTCCAGATGCAATCCAAATCAGGAAGGGGAGAGGGCGGGAGACACAGAGCATCCAAGCTTCCTACTTCCAGGCTGCCATTCGATTCACTGCCACCACCACCACCCTCGCTTCTTCCCCAGCCTGTCCCCAACCTGATCAGGAGGCCTGTACAAAATGTTACAGACTCCTGGACAAAAGTGACAATCTAGCTGGCCCCCTGCGACAGCAGCGTAGGTCCTGGCAGGGAGAGGTGGGAAGAAGCAGTTTCCTGCTCCAGGCATTACCCCAGGAGAACCTCTCCAGGCAACGGGAAACTCGCCCTCCTAACCACAGCCCACCCGGCCTTCTGCACTCATGCCCACAGAAGATCGTTCAACAGGGTGCAGGTGACAGTCTGCATCCAGAGGACACTGGGTCTTGCCAGGCCTCTGGGCCCTTTCTGGCTTCCTTTCCAAGGACATCTCAGCCACCTTAGGAGGCGTCAGAATGAGGTCAGAGTGACACTTGGGGCCCAGCAGCCCAGTTTCCCAGACCAGCCTCGTCCAAGGCAGTACTGGGTAGTGGTGAAGGCCACAGCATTCTTCCTGCTTTGAACTCTCTGCCACTTACTGAGTGGCACTGACCCGGTTAGTTAACCTCCTTGTGCCCCGATTTCCTCCTCTGTACATGGAAGTAATCATGCTTACCTCCTAAGGTTGCAGTGAGGATTAAATGAAATCCTTCCTGTCAAGCCCCCTAGCGCAGTGTCTGACACGTTGTGAGTGCCCCACACCTACCAGCTGCTGTCAGGACGCAGAGCCATAGGTGAGTGGTGCCCCTCATCAGGTGTCCCCACAGCCCTAACAGGCAAGGGATCTTCATCCATTTGTCCCCGCGCTCACCGCCCCTAGCCTGAAGGTGCTTGTATGTGCTTGCCAAGCAAAGCACACGTTCTCCACCCGCTCCCTCCCCCCTTCCCCCTCCTCCTGCTCCCGCTCCTCCTCCATTTATTCATTTGTTCATTCAGTCAGCATCCAACTGTTTACTAAGGACACCATGGGCTGCATCAGAGCTGCCTTTGTGAACCTGCTCATTTTCTCAGTCAACCAAGAAGCATCCAAACTCAGCAAAAGCACATTTGTTGTTTGTTTCTCTTGGTCTTCATATGTTACCCAACGGAAGACAAAGCCCTCAGATTGAGTAATGGGAGAGAAAGCTTAACACCCCCAAAGCCTCACCACATCTGGACTCTGTGTCCAGCTGCCAAGTTTCAAATGAATGTGCTACAAAATCACTGAGTCATGAAGATTCTCTCTTTTCCCACCCTCTCCTCCATGTAATACTTCCCCTGAAAACACACACACATGGACACACGCACACACGGGCGGATGGAAACACTAACAGACTCTCAGCTGTAACATCTGTTCAATGTGATCTCAGTTCCACCAGCTACATCAAAGCTGCCCTCCTGCAAGTTATGCTGCCGACATCACAAGTGAGATTAAAATCATGTTTAATAGTTGGATATGACATAAACTATTTATACCTCTGGAGCTTGGCAGACTCCTGAAAATGTATATTCTGTACACCAGCAGAAGTGGAGAAAGAAGCTTGGGCACCTCTGGTCTTGGGGTGGAGGTGCAGATATGGCCAGTGAGTGTGGAACCCTTGTGAATCGCTTCGGGGCAGGTGATCACCAAAGACGATGCTAAGAGGAAGGGAAAGTGCAGGAGAGCAGCCTTACGAGTGAGCTGATCATGGCAGGGGCGTGATGAGGCATCGGGCAGCAGGAAGGTCCTACAACAGGTGTGTGCCCCACCTCCCTGCCTCTCAGACCTCATCACTTTAGAAAAGACCCCCAGGTGAGGGAAGGGCCTCCTGGAACAGCCCCCCAAGTTCTGTGGCGGGTCCCTTGAGCCTATGGGACTGGCACTCACCTCCTCAAACCAGACTTGGGGTGGGTACTCACGTCCCAGCGTTGGCCTTTATAATGCGAGGGCACGGGCCAGCAATGCGTTTGGATCCGGTGGCGATTCCCAAGCTCCTCTGCCCCACCTCCACTTCTCCAACCCACGGCGAGATGCAGGCTCCTCCCTGAGTGTCCATGTTCTCTAGGTAGGGTCCCACGGACGCCCAGATCAGCCAGCCAGCCCTGCATGGAAAGAGGGCTGGAACTCCTGATTCAGCCTTGCCCTGGAAGCTAGGGTGCAGCTTCGAGGAGAGGTCACGGGGTTCTGGGGGTGGGAGGAGCGTTCTCGTGGCTATTCCTTGTAACCCCATCTTTGTGACCACTTGAATTATGCCTTACAACTGGGATTGAGATCACAAGTGAGGGCACTTCCCTTGTAATTCCCCACGAAAGGCAGGCAGGCTGACCGCACCAGGAGCAGAGGTTTCCTGGATTTGTGGTCCCCCGTCTGGAACTAGGGAAAATGTGGGAGAACAGGCTCCCCAGCACAGTCAGCCACCTGCTACTCAGAAAACAGAGTTCTCTCCCCAGTGCCTGCAGACACCAGCACAGCCCTGGGGCCATCTCTCAGGCCAGCTCCCGTGCCTGGCACTAGGCAGGGAGGCAGGGTCCTCTTGGGCACCAGCAGGAAGAGGGCAGCTGAGCAGTTATGTGATCCGAACTCCAGAGTAAGGCCGGCTCGGTCTGCAGCTTAGAGGCTGAGTGCATGACTGTATGACTCTCTGAGGGTCTCAGGACCCCACCGTAGTCCCAACCAGAGCCCAGACCAACTGGGCCAGCTGGGGCCTTGCTCCCTTTGTGGTGCCCCCATGGGGACCGAAAGAGACCAGCATTTTTCCTCATTGCCTCTGAGAAACTGGTTTCTTTACTTCTTTTTCTGGAAATGGGCTGGACCCCTAGAAGTCCTCGTGACTTTCCAGCAATTTGCTCTGCTTGTTGGTGGGGACTGACCCAGAAGATGCAGCCCAGGGCCCAGCCTGTCCATGGGGATGAGGTCCTGGGCTGCCCACTCAACTCAGCCAGAGCTCTGGGCCATGACAGGGAAAAAGGATGGGAACTGGCTCGTTATCCCCCATCCCTCGGCGTGTGGATGCCCCGGGGGTGCCGAGGCCTGGGGGCCACCAGGAGCCCAGCAGCAGGGGTGACACCAGCCTCTGGAGAGGATCCAGAGCCAGCTGCCCCTGAGCTGGGCAGGGCCAGGCTGATGGAAGCCCTTCCCACCTCTCTGTCTCTCTGCTGCAGCCCCCTCGAGCTGTTTCCATCTTTCCATCTTGCAGCGTCTGCTCCTCCTTCATATCTCTTTTCCTCGTTGTTTGACTTGGTCTTTCTCTCTAACACCCTGTCATTGTCGGGCCCTATGTGCCGGGTCTCCGTGGCCTTTTCTGCTTTTGGTCTGAAATTCTTGTCTGATTCACAGTCTCTGCAAACAGGTCAGTCTCTCCATCTCTCCATCACTCTGCCCTCTGCTTCTCTAGATTTCTCTTTTTCTCGCCCTTTTTCTGCACTTCTCAATTTCTATGTGTGTGTCTTTCTGTCTCTCTGCCCATGTCTCTCCCTGTCCCTGTCACTTCCTCATCTTTGTCTCTCTCTCTCTCGCTCTACACACACATACACACACACATACACACACGCATACATACATACATATAAGCATACACACATATACACATGTATACACACACATACACATACACACACGCATAGACACACATACACACGTGCATACACACATACACACACACGCATACACACATACACGCATACACACAGAGACATACATACACACACACATATACACATACACATGCATACACACAGAGACATACACACGCATACACACATACACATATGCATACACACACATGCATACACACATACACACACATACATATACACATGCATACACACACATACACATACACACACACACACACACACACACATAATCTCTCTTCCTCTATGGTCTCCATGTCTCTCCTCTATGTACATGTCTCGCTGTCGGCCTCCGGTCCCTTCTGTGTGTCTCTGTGTGTCTCTGGTTCTTGTCTCCCTGCCTCTTTCTCTCCCTGACTTTCTGTCTCCTCCCCTTCCCACCATTTAGCACTTCAGAGCCTGGCTTCTTATCACGTCAAATGAGGAAGCGAGCCCCGGCCTGGGAAGCTGAGGCCGTGCGCCACCAGCCAGGACTGAGTGGAGATGATTAGGCTGATGAAAGGGTGTAAATGCCGCTTTCAAGTTAACAAATGCCCCAGAACCTTTACGGAAAAGAGATAATAAACAGACATTTCAAAGACAGTCTGCACTGAAGCGAGACTGAGTGTCCACGCGCCCCTCTCTGCCCTGCACCCCTCTTCCCACCTCTCCTTCCTAGATTATTTTGTTCCGCCCAAAAGTTGGAGGATGGGAAACCCCTGGGCCCAAGCCTGAGGCTTCCTGGCTCGGGGTTCGTGTCCACACCAGGCCCCAAGTCCACGGGGAGGCCCTGTTCCCACCTCCAGGACTGTCTGAAGCAGGCACCTCCCATGGAGCCCCCAGCTTCCTGAAGACCACCAGGGCGGGGGCTGCTCTGAGGGTCCCTGGGTGGTGGAGTCTCTGGCTGTATCCTCCATGTCGCCCAGGATCTCCCTGCCCCCATTCTTTCTCCGGTCTACAAGTGACTCTCCTCTCCCTGCAGACCCTCCACTGGTCAACCTCTCGGTGGAGCCACAGCCAGTGCTGGAGGACAACGTCGTCACTTTCCACTGCTCTGCAAAGGCCAACCCAGCTGTCACCCAGTACAGGTGAGAGTCACTGCTGAGGGGGCCCGGCCTGGCCACTGGCCCCCACCCCCGTGCCTCTCACGTGGGATGTCACTTAGGGTCCTCAGCATGGCTGCAGTGTGTGCCTAGTCCACACCGCGTGTCCAGTAGCCTTCTTCCCTTCCTCTTAAACCCGCCTGCCTGCTAGCCGTGTGGACCCTTCCTCTCCTCTGTGCGTGCACGCGCCCTCTTCCACTGGAGGAAGCAGGACTCACGGCTTCTGCTTGAATAGCCTGATTATTCCACACTCCAAACATGGGGAAAAGGCTCAGGAAAAAAAAAAAAAAAAAACGAAAACAAAAAAAAACCAGAACAACCAGGAGAAGCAGCAAGATCAGAACCTCCATTCTAGTCTTGTGCCCATCAAACTGGTTCACCTGGGTAGATCAGGATGTCTGGGCCCCGGCCCAGTCCAGTGAGCATCCGGGATCACACTTACTCATGGCCCCTGTGTGTCTCTTGCTCACAACACGGATAAAAGCACCACTGTTTGGTTTGTTGGTTTGTTTGTTTGTTTGTTTCTTTGTTTGTTTTGAGACAGAGTCTCGCTCTGTCACCCAGGCTGGAGTGCAGTGGCGTGATCTCAGCTCACTGGCAAGCTCTGCCTCCTGGGTTCACGCCATTCTCCCGCCTCAGCCTCCCAAGTAGCTGGGACTACAGGCGCCCGCCACCACGCCAGCTAATTTTTTTTTTTTTTTGTATTTTTAGTAGAGACAGCGTTTCACCGTGTTAGCCAGGATGGTCTCGATCTCCTGACCTCGTGATCCACCTGCCTCAGCCTCCCAAAGTGCTGGGATTACAGGCATGAGCCACCGCACCCGGCCAAAGCATCACTGTTTTTGTTTTACTTGTTTCTGCCTTGTGACAGAGCTTCTTGAAGGCAGGAACTGCAATTTAGTCACTGATGGCTCTCAGCATGCAGCACAGCACATGGCATAAACCACATGCTCCTTAGATGTGTCTGACTGATCCAATAAACACACGCTTCCTCTGGGCGCCTTTCTGCCTGGGCACTGTCACTGCACAAGACTCTAGGAGACTAAGTGACCTTGGAGGCACTCAAGGGCAGACTCACCTCCTTTTGGGTGCCACGTGGAACTTGCCATGGCCCTGACTCAGCCTGGTCTCTTTCCACCAGACCAGGCTTAGTGGTGGAGCCCAGGTGTCACCTCTGCCATTGATCTCGGCCATTAAGCTGCAGCATCTGCAAAGGCCAAGGATGTTAATGGTGCCAGCCTAGGAAATAAGCCGGCCTGTGGGAATGGAGAACAGGGAAGACAAGAGCCAGTGTGGCCCCCGTGGGCAGAATGGAAGGAAATGGGCCACAGGGACAGCCAGGGATTCAGGTTGGACATGAGGAGGTGCTCCCTGCAGAGTGCGTAATTAAGCAGCACTGGAGTCAGAAACCCAGGCAGAGCCCAGAGTTCCTATCCCCAAGGATATTTTTAAATAGGATGAAACCCATTTGTCCTGTCCAGTTTAACCATTTGCTTGACTAGAGTCAGAAGAAAGAACAGATGACCTCCAGGGTCCCTTCTGAGCCGGGGACTCCAGGCTCCCCAGAATCATGTGGGTCCAGCCAGGTCCAGGGGGCAAGTCTGGTTTGGCTGTGGTCTGGCATCTATTCAGAAGCCACTGAAGATACAAGAGAGGCGCCCAATGAGACTCCCTGGCCCTAGGCTTCCACGCTGCACCTGCCAGGCCTGGGTTTCTCCATACAAGTTCAGCTTCTCTCCTCTGTCTGCTCCCAGGTCTCTGCTCCTGGTCCCTAAACACCAGGTACAACATGCCCAGAAAATATCTGTCATGCTAGCTTCCCAGGGCAGCCCTTCACACCCACAGACCACCCGGCAAGCACCCCTATTCACCCTCACAGCCACCCTTAGAATGCCTGTTGGGCGCCCCAGAGACCAGGACACACAACTTTCGACTTTCGTTTCTCCTCACTGCCAGGCTCTGGTCACCTGGGGTCCTAGTGATGGGTAGGCTGGGCAGACAGCAGGGCTGCACGCCCTGGGACCTGACCCCTCCACCCCCAGGCCTGCCTCCCCCACCCACACCTGCCTACTGACCCGGACAGCAAACACCCAGGAAACGAAGTGCTGGGCCTGATTCCCAGGGTCACCAACCTCAAAAAAGCAGAACAGCAATAATAGGAAAGAGAAGAAGGTGGGAGGAGAGGAGAGGTCTCCGCAAAGCACGCGTGAGAAAATGTTAACAGCTGGTGAATCCGGGCGATGGGAGGGTGGCAGTTAATGGGACTATTCTTACAACTTTTCTGTAATTCCGAAGTTTGTTTTTTGCAAGCTGAAAAGTTAATGAACAAGCAGAGAACATGCGGGCTTCCCCATGCTACAGGTGGCCTGTGGGTCCTCCCTTTCGTACTCCCCTGGAGCTCACAGTATCACAGCCGGCCCCTCCTATACCAAGCAGGAGCTGGGAGGGGCAGGGAGGGCAGGGTGCCCTGCAGAGACTCACTAGTTCTTCCTGGTCACCTTCCCTCATGGCCTTCTGATTAGTGAAGGGCCCTGAAAACACCTCACTGAGGGGTCATCTCCCTCCAGGACTCCAGAGGCTTTCAGGGAGCCCCTCCGGCCCCCAGGTTAATGCCAGAGAGCCAGAGTGGCCTGGGAAGGGAGGAGGCGGAGGGGCCACGGAGAGGGGAGGTGGTGGGCGCCTGCACCCACCCACACTCGCTCAGCCCCTTCACTCCAGCAAGGTCTCACCAAGCAGCCAGGTGTTTAGAAGCAATGTTGGGATCCAAGAAGAAAAGCCGTAAGCAAATCTCATCACATAAGTACATTGATTTTTCCTAACTGACAAGATTACAGGAAACTTTGTTTCTTTACTTTCATTCATCTTGATAGCTTCCTCCCTGCTGTCACTAAGAGGCTGTCATCTCTGAAGCTAGAGATAACGCCCTCCTCCATCCCAGTGCCTGGAAAGGAGGCCTGGGTGGCATGGGGATGTCACTGCAGATGCTCCTAGGGACCAGGAGCCCAAAGTGCTTTGGGGCCCTTTCCTCTGAGAGTCTCTCAGTGTTCCCCAGCAGATAGCGGGATGTGGCCCCCCCACACGAGATGAAACCTTGGTCTATTTGAGGACAACCTGGCGGCTGTGACACGCCAGCCCCCCTGATTCTGTGATATAAATAATTAATCCTCTTACATTTGTTCAGACCAAATTAGACATTGATTGGGAGAGGCTTAAGCTGACTCCACTTTCAGAGGGGCTGGGGGAGGTGGGGAAGCAACAGTGAGTTGGGGGAGGTGGGTGGGGAGAGGGGAGGAGACAAAGAGGAAGGACAGGGAAGAAACTGCACCAAAATCAGGAGAGGCACGAAGAGGGTGGGGCGAGACTCACTCTTTAGCTCTTGGCCTGGATCCTTGGCCAGCTGCGTGGATGCAGTGGTTTGAGTGTCTGTGCTTTTGGCAGGGACCTCTCAGAGGGTTTTTCAGTGCAGGAGGGGAAGAAAGACCGGCTGGGCGAGATGTGAGCTGCGGGCTCTGTCGGGTCCTGAGGCACCTCCCCAAAAGACCTGGCTTGGGCTCCTGCGGACCCAGCCCCGACAGCGGCTCCGGTCCTCTTCCGTCTCTGGCTCCCTCACCATGAGAGGAGAGGACAGGGAGGGCAGGGAACCTTGGCTCCCGGAGCCAGCAGCAGTTCTGCTGATTACTTGGGGCCAAGCAGGTGGGGCTTCCACCCTCCGTGATGCTCCTGGTGAGGGGCCCTGGAAGGAGAGGAGAGGCGAGAGCTTCTCCAGGAAGCCCTGAGGAAGACGCATGCTTGGCCCTATCACCTGGGCCCAAACCCTCCAGCCCCAGCCCGGCACCCACAGCTGTGAGCAGCCAGGGCTCCCTGCCTTCCCAGCCCAGCCAGCTGCCCGCTTGGCCTCACGCTGCATCCACCACCTGGCCCCCTCGCCTCAGCAGGGTGAAAGGAACTGCGGGGCTGGACACACTTCCCTAGCTGTGCCTGGAACTGAATTCATTTGCCGCAGGCAGGGGCCGGCCTGACTCTTTTAAGTCTGGTCATTAAATCAAAGTTAAGAGATTGAAACGACACATGAATAACTCATAATGGTTTGTTGGGAAGCTCCTTAAGCTCTAAGGGAGATATGGTTTGCTCTGTTGTTAAACTACAGTTGTTATTATTAATTGTGTTCTTAATAATTACCCAATATTAATTTGCAATAACAACTGCTTGGTGCCAGCCTAGGTGTTCTGTCTGATGCCAAGAAACAGTCGTCTCTCGGGGCTGGATGGGTCAGACGGAGGCAAGAAGCTAATGGAGGGAAGGGCAGGAGACGGCGTTTGTGGTGCCAGGAAAGGCTCCAGGAATAAGATAAAGGGGAGGCAAAGCAGGGGAGCAGAGACACTGCAGTTCCAGGGAGCAGTGGCTGTGGGGTGACGCTTCTGGAGGCAACAAGCCTCTGCAGCTCTGGAAAGACAAACTCCCCATAGACACTTCAACTGTAACAGCCTGAAGAGAAGTTCCGTGGTTTCAAAAAAAAGAATGTTGGGATCAGAGTAGGATTAAACCAGGGGAAACGGAGAACTCTCTCTCCCTGGAGATCCGTAAGGAAGCCCCCAACTTCACATGCATATGCACGTGCTCACACATGCACACACTCACACGTGCACACACACGCACATATGCACACACTCACACATGCACACGCCCATACATGCACACATGCACATGGACACACATGCACACATGCACATGCTCACACATGTACACACACGCACACACACATGCACATGATCACACACATGCACACATGCACACTCTCACACATGCACCCACTCACAAATGGACACACTCACACATGCACACACATGCGCACACACACATGCACATGCCCACACATGCGCATGCACTTGGACACACACATGCACACGCTCACACATGCACACACATGCACACATGCACACGTTCACACATGCACACGCTCACACATAGTCACACTCACATACGCACACACATGCACACACTCACTAATGCACACAACCACATGCACACACATGCACACATGCACACACGCACACATGCACACGGACACACAAGCAATGCACACATGCTCACACATGTACACATGCATACACACACCCACACATGCACACACATGCACACACACGGCCACATTCACACATGTACACATTCACACGTGCCCACATTTACACATGCACACACATGCACATGCACACACACACATGCACACATGCACATGGACACATATGCACACACGCACACACATGCACATGCATGCACACATGCACATGCTCACACATGTACACATGCACATGGACACATGCACTCACGTGCACACATGCACATTGACACATGCACACACCCATGCATGCACACGCTCACACATGCACACACGCCCACACACATGCACACATGCACGTGGACACACACGCACATGCACACACGCACATGCACACATGCACACATGCACACACACGTGCACATGCTCACACATCTATACACGCATACACACATATGCCCACACTTTCACATGCAGACACACACATGCACAGATGCACACCCTCACACATGCACACAGTCATACATGCCCACACTCACACATGCCCACATTCACACATGCACAAACTCGCACATGCACGCACCACACACGCACCATGCACATGGACACACACACACTCATGCACACACACGTGCACATGCTCCCACATGCACATGCTCGCACACGCCGATGGACACACACATGCACACATGCACATGCACACATGCACACGCACATGCACACATGCACATTGACACACATGCACACATACGCAGATGCACACACACACATGCACACATGCACACACTCACACCCACACACATGCACACATTCACACACTCACAGATGCGCACATACACATGGACACATACATGCCCACTCACACATGCACACACTCACACATACCCACACTCACACATGCACACTCACACATGCACACATGCACATGGACACACATGCCCACGCTCACACATGCACACGTGCACATGGGCACACTCACACATGCACACACGCACATGCTCACACATGCACACACAGGCACACTCACACATGCATATTCATATGCACACGTGCACACATACATGCACACATTCACATGAACACACATGCACACACATACATGTGTATACACATACACCCACATACATGTGTATACACATACACCCCTGTGAGGCTCCGTTGCTTTCTGCACACAGCAGGCTGCTGGGTCACTGGTCCAACACAGGGGTCACTGCCCCAGAGCCAGATCCAAAGCAAGCCAGAGGCCTCCTGTCCTCCCCTATTGTGTGGTACCGATTGGCCGACAAAAGAGACTTCCGACTCACATCCCCTCACCAAGCCAGTGCTGATGGAGCCATTGCTTCAGAGGAGCAAAGCCAGGCTGCAAGGGCAGAGGCCAGGCAGGAAGAAGAGCAAGTGCCATCCAGGGAAACTAGGAGGACTTTCTGGGGCGAGGAGACACCATGCAGAACCCCATGGAAGCAGGAGGCAGAACAGGACAGGAGAGCTGAGAGCTTGTCAAGAGGAAAGAGAGGGGCAGCCAGGGCTACTCGCTCACGCCACTCCTCCTGATGGGTATTAGTATTCCACTGTTTGGACGGGAGATGGAGCCCCTACAGCATACCTCTCCTACAGCTTCTCGCCTTGTCAGTGTGTGTGTGTGTGCTCGTGCACACGTATGAGCATGCATGTATGGGCATGCTCCGTTTGACCCTGGCCTCTGAGGTCATGGACTTGGCCTCCTTCTTTTCCAAAGGGGCCCATGATCCAGCTCAGAGCAGGACAGCGAGCTGTCTGCCCACTGACAGTTGGATTTTCCATCGTCTAGCCAGCAGATGGGCTGACCAGCCGAGTAATCAACTCACCCCCTCCAGAATAACCCACTTGTTGAGTGCCACTGACTGCCTGGTGACCACAAACCAAAGCCCACTGCCTTCACAACCACCTGGGTGGGAGCAAAACCAACTCTTTCTGAGCCCTTGAAGTAGCCCCTCTGTGAAGATTCCCCTTGACGGACCCCAGAGGACTCCCCACTTGCCACACAACCCAGGCCTCATTTTTCCATGGGATGGATGTGTCCAGCTCCCGGAGGGTTGGCCTTGCCACTCAAGGCCCACATCAGCCCCTGGCCTTTGTTGCAGGTGGGCCAAGCGGGGCCAGATCATCAAGGAGGCATCTGGAGAGGTGTACAGGACCACAGTGGACTACACGTACTTCTCAGAGCCCGTCTCCTGTGAGGTGACCAACGCCCTGGGCAGCACCAACCTCAGCCGCACGGTTGACGTCTACTGTGAGTGCAGTGGTGCAGGCTTCCCCAGGCGAGCAGGCATCCACTGGTTTCTGCTTAGAGCTGGAGAAACCAGGGCTAGATTCATTGCACACAACACAAGCTTCATGCGTCATGAGCGTAGGATGGTTTGCACTCGACGAAAGCTGGTTTGTGCATTGTTTCATGTTTATTTCAATCCCTATCATGACCCCATGAGTCAGGGTCTTGGCTGGGGCTGCTATGACACGTTACCATAGACTCGGTGGCTTAAATGGCTGAAATCAGGGTGCCATCGTGGTGGGTTTTGGTGGGGACTCTCTTCCTGGCTTGCAGGCAGCTGCCTTCTTGCTGTGGCATCCCATGGCAGAGAGAAAGAGAGAAGCAAGCTCTTGGGGCCTTTATTCCAAGGGCACTAATCTCATCACGAGGGCTCCACTCTCATGATCTAACCCCTGCCCCTGCAAAGCTCCTCCTCCTACTACCATCCCACAGGGGTGAGGATTTCAATTTACGAATTGCAGGGTTGACGGGGGACACAAGCACGCAGGCCATCATGGGTAGATATTTATTCTCATCATCTGAATGAGGAGATGGAGGTCTGAGGTCACACAGTAGGTGGCCAAATGAGAACTGAACCCAGGCAATGACCAAATCCATTGCCCATTCACACATTCTGCTGCCTTCCACTGAGGGGACTCACGGACGTACCTTCTTTTTCTTTTTATTTCTTTTTTTTTTTTTTTTTTTTTTGAGACAGTCTCACTCTGCCACCAGGCTGGAATGCAGTGGCAAGATCTCTGCTCACTGCAACCTCCAACTCCCTGGTTCAAGAGATTCTCCTGCCTCAGCCTCCCGAGTAGCTGGGACTACAGGCACTTGCCACCATACCCAGATAATTTTTGTATTTTTAGTAGAGACAGTTTCACCATGTTGGCCAGGATGGTCTCAATCTCCTGACCTCGTGATCTACCCACCTCTGCCTCCCAAAGTGCTGGGATTACAGGCATGAGCCACCGCACCTGCCCATCCCCTCTTATTCACTGGAGGTCCAGCAGGGACCCGCAGCAAGGCAGCGCACTGCCATGGACTAGCTGGCTGGATGTGTTCAAAACAAGCATCCTTAGCTCATGCACCGCCCCTTACAGTTTTAAACTTGCTTTTACAAACTTGAAAAAATCTGGCCCTCCCCCTTGCCCTTGAAGCCTCCGAAGAAAGTGCTGTTACTCCCTTTTTACATCAGGGGACTAATCGCAGTCTCCTGGCACCAGGCTTCAGGCTCTGTCTGCTCCCTGGAAGGAGCACTCTGAGGCCTGCCTGGCCACGGTCGGACCCTGAGCCTGGAATCCCCACACGGCCCCCACTGTGTAGACCAAGCTTGGTCTACAGAAGGCTCCAGACATGCTAGGGAAGGTGGAGAGGAGCCTGCATTCAGCTCTTTAATGCTTAGGAGAGGGGTCGGAAGTGGAACCCAGGGCTGCTCCACTGCAATGGGCGTGACACAGAGGCTGGAACGGCTGTAATAGGAGGGTGGCCTGAGAGCACCGGGTGGGAAACCCTGGGGGAGGAGGCGTGGGTCACGAGAGCCCTGCCTCCATCACCCTGCATCTCAGAGCCCCCATCCCACCCCAGAGGTGCACCAGTCACTCGATTCCAGGTCATGAAGGCTGAGGCTGGAGGAGATGGCAGCTAGCTTGAAGGCAGAGGCATGAAGATCCCAAGAGCCCAGATTTCCAGGGCAGGAGGAGGGCCCCTGCCCGCCACTGGGATGGAGGGGCTTCCGCAGCTTTCTAGCACCGGGCGTGATCCAGACAGAGGGAAGGGGATGAGAGCCGTGGGGGTAAATCCAGGCAGAACCTGGTCCCCAGCACCTTCTTCCCAGGCCCCACGCTGCCGACCACCTCCATGGGCCCAAGAGAGGCGAAGCCTCAGGGAGAGTGGTCTCCTCCTTGCTTCCTGAGTCCCACTCCCAGATCCCAGACCCCGCCCGGACATAAGACTTAAAATGGAAGCGACTGAGGTGGCACAAGTACCCCACTGCCTGCCTCCCCCCAGTCAAGGTCTAGGGGGAAAAGGAGGCAGCAGCAAGGAGGATCCCAGAGCTCCCCACCCACCTGAACCTGTCTTCTTCTTCCTCACATCGCAGTTGGGCCCCGGATGACCACAGAACCCCAATCCTTGCTCGTGGATCTGGGCTCTGATGCCATCTTCAGCTGCGCCTGGACCGGCAACCCATCCCTGACCATCGTCTGGATGAAGCGGGGCTCCGGAGTGGTGAGGCTGCAGCTCAGACCTCGGGGCACCTCTGGCAGGGGGCGGGGACAGTGGAGCAAGAAGGAACTGCTGCCCAGGCCCCTCTCACTATTAGACTGGGGGAGTCAGCCTCCAGTGTAAGCCACAGGGAGAAAGATCCCAGAAAGAGGAGGGGGAACCCAGGCACCCCCATGTGCCTGTCCCACCCTGAGCACATTCAGCCATTGCACTCTTGCCCTGTCCTAAACCTTACAAGAAAAGTAGGTGGTCACCAATGTGCTGGGAGGGAAGGCACTAGAAAGGCTTTTCAAGTGGGCACAGTGGCACACACCTGTAGTCCCAGCTACTCAGGAGGCTGAGGTGGAAGGATCACATGAGCTCAAGAGTTTAAGTCCAGCCTGGGCAACGTAGCAAGACCTTGGGGAAAAAAAAGAAGAAGAAAGGAAAGAAAGAAAGGAAGAAAGGAAGAGAGAGAGAGAAAGAAAGAAAGAAAGGAGAAAGAAAAGAAAGAGAGAGAAAGAAAAGAAAGAGAAAGAAAGAGCCTTTTAAACTTCCCCCAAATAAAGCCACCGTTAGCCTTGGACTTGGGCTTCACTTTCCTGTGTTCCATTTTTTTTTTTTTTTTTTTTTTGAGATGGAGTTTTGCGCTTGTTGCCCAGGCTGGAGTGCAGCGGCGTGATCTTGGCTTACCACAAACTCCGCCTCCCGGGTTCAAGTAATTCTCCTGCCTCAGCCTCCTGAGTAGCTGGGACTATGGGTATGGGCCACCACGCCCAGCTAATTTTGTATTTTTAGTAGAGACAGGGTTTCTCCATGTTGGTCACACTAGTCTCAAACTCCCAACCTCAGGTGATCCGCCCACCTCGGCCTCCCAAAGTGCTGGGATTACAGGCGTGAGCCACCGTGTCCAGCCCTTGTGTTCCTCTTTTAAGACGTATATATTCTTCAGTGCATAAGAGATTGTCAGATGTCCTCACATAGGAAGGAACAGGGAGAGCTCCAGGTAGGGAAGCAGGGGGACCAGAAGGAAACCGACCTTTGTGTGGCCTGTTATGTAGCAGACGCTGCATTATCCTAGCAGCCTCCATACATAGAAAGGGAGCGTCTGAGAAGATAAGTAACTGACCAAAGAGACACAGGTGTTCACTGCTGGAGCCGGGATTCGAACGCAGACCAAGCTCATGCCAGAGCCTGTTTTCATCACTCCAAGCTATATCCCAAAGGGATCCTGAAAATGACTCTGAAAACAGGTCCAGGAGCCCCCAGAGAAGTTCAGCTGTAGGATCATGTCACCCATGGCTAGCCTGGGAGAGGAGAAGCCACCGCAGGTACAGGGAGGTTCCTGTAGGAGGAAACCTGGAAGTCCCCAGGCAGGCATCCCCCTCCTCCGGCACATGTGCCCCCACATGCCCCCAGCCCACAGGGCTGCGCCTGGGATGTAACATCCTCAGTCACACGGGGTGGCCTCTCTGCTGGTACAGTCTCCTCTGTACAGCCCACAGGCATTGTCTGGGCCAGGAAACTTTTGGCCTCTTTCCTCCCCACCTTGCTTCCTACTGAGATGCCGGAGACTGCCTCAGTTACCCCAGGCCAGCCTCTCAGCTGCCTTGTTCCCAGAGACAAGAGTGCACCCCTCCGCCTGCTCTTGGCATCTGAGCCTGCCAATTCTCCTAGGTCCTGAGCAATGAGAAGACCCTGACCCTCAAATCCGTGCGCCAGGAGGACGCGGGCAAGTACGTGTGCCGGGCTGTGGTGCCCCGTGTGGGAGCCGGGGAGAGAGAGGTGACCCTGACCGTCAATGGTAAGACCCTCGCTGGGGTGAGCCAGGCCTGAGGGAGGGAAGAAGGACCTCAGGCATCTTGGCACCAGGCATAGCCCCAAAGGAGCTGTCGCTGGCTCTGGGCCTTGCTGTCACCTCCAACTATGGGTAGACAACAATTAGGTCCACCTCCTGGATTCCCCGTCAGACCCAGGCTGAGGGAGGAAGGGCCTGGGTAGTTTTCTAGTCACCTCTCTTTTTGTTTGTTAGCTTTGAAGGGGTCTCAGCCCTGAGAGTGGTGGGTGATGAATTTTATCCTGGCCAGGAAAAAAAGCATCAGAGGTCACTAGGTGGCCAACGTGTCCACCCTTTCATCCACTCACCATGGCCTTGGCCCGTGAGAATTTTTTGTTGGTTTTTTGCTTTTTGAGATGGAGTCTCGCTCTGTTGTCCAGACTGGAATGCAGTGGCACGATCTCAGCTCACTGCAACCTCACCTTCCTGAGTAGCTGGGACTACAGGCACGTGCCACTACGCCCAGCTAATTTTTGTATTTTTAGTAGAGACAGGGTTTCACCATTGTTGGTCTCCAACTCCTAACCTCAAGTGAGCCACCTGCCTCGGCCTCCCAAAGTGCTGGGATTATAGGCGTGAGCCACCTCTCCTGGCCCCATGAGAATTTAAGAGAGCATCTCTGCAGCTCCTGATCAGCCTCTTCCCAATGCGTGTGAGTCACCCAGCCAGGGAGCCCTGTCACCGTCTCCACGAGGCCACGTGTTCAGGGGCCCCCTTGAGGGCAGGGGGCATGTCTTATTATATATAATAAAAATAATTGCAGCAGGGGAGTATTTTCACGGTGGGAGTTAGTAGATGAATGACTGTTACATGAAATATGTAGGGACAAGGGCATCACACCAGGCCTGAATGATGGGGTGTAGACAGTCATGGAGAAGCTGAGACCTGGCTCAGGCCAGACCCAAGAAGGTTGTGGCACCAGGACGCAAATGCGGACGTCCCTGCCCTATCTGGTGCTTTGGCCACAGGCAAAAAGCAAAGCTGCCAGTTCGATTCCTCTGCCGTTTCCGAATGCTCCCCCCTCACCTCTGTCATGCCCACTGCCCTTTGGGAGGCCCCTGTTCCCACCATAGCCTGACTCAGATCAAAACCCCAAAGCTCTGGGACCCTGCAGGAACTGAACCACCAACATTTGCAGGACATCTGGGTCCTGGCCCCAGAGCAGGGCCCTCCTGAGGTCTCCAAATTAGCTCGTGGGCTTCAGCTTCCTCTCTACCCAGAAAGCCACCTGCTGATGGCCTCATCTATTCTCCCCTTCGCTAGAAAACCAAAACCAGCTTGGTGTCTCCTCAGCCATACCTCTCTACTGTCTCCATTCACCAGCTCCCCCCACACTGCCCCGCATTTCCATTCCTCTCCCCCCACCCCAGAGTCGTGGCAGCCCCCAAGGGAGGCTGAGTCTACCCAGACCCCAGCACGTTCACAGCCACCTGTCCTGGCAGAGCCCTGAGTCGGAGCCCTCCTGCCTTTCCTGAGTGTCCCCAGGATGCCACCAATAAATTGGCACTGCAGGGCTAAAAATAACAGCATCTGATCGCGCCTCCGTATATCCATGGCAACACAGGCTGCAGCCTTTTCCTTTCAGCGCAGGTGTCTGACACTCGGCTCAGAGCTCCAGGCCCCAGTGAAATCAGCGGCCCTCCACACAGCCCGCGCCAGCCAGGGCACTCGGAAGTCAGGCTGTCTGTGCCTGCAGCCGGCTCTGCTCTGCTGGCCCTATGACCAGCCAGCCCGGGACCCTCACACTCACTCATGCACTCCAGGGCCCCCAAGCCTGGAGCATCAAATGAGCATTGGCGTTTCTGGGGAAAAGCAGGTGGATAAAGGAGGAGCTGACATCTGCTGTCACTTTAGACGTTCAGACATTTCCAAGGGAGATTTAAAGAGATTTCTTGAGGAGAGAATGCCCCCTGGGGAACACAGGCCGGGAGGGACATTTCTCTTGGACGGGGAGGGCACTGAAACCCGGGCCCTGGCGCTGACCAAGGTTGAATCTGCACTCTCCAGGTCTCTTTCTCTCCCCTCCTCTGCCTCCACCCCTGCCAGCACAAGCTCCCCGAGGCTTCCAGGCAGAGAAAAGCTGGAGGGATTGGAGGGAAGCAAAGAAGCTGCTTGTTTATTTCTTGACTAGGGTGGCCTCACACACCTGGAGGCAGGTGGATGAGTTCAGTGGCCCCGGAGGGGAGCGCACCAGACCTGCCAGGGGGCGAACTGTCTGCCCCTGCTTCTGCAGAGCAGGCAGAGGGAGGGGGGACGCCCAGTGGATGGGACCTGGGCATGGGCTGGAGGGAGCTGGTGATATGAAAGCATTCAAATGAGATCAGGTTTTTATCGCGACAAATCCCAGCCTTGGACAACTGCTGGCCAGCGCAGCAGTCCTTTGGGAAAGAAATTGGCACACACCTCAACCGATTTGGCTCAAATCAGGTATCTGCAGGAAGGGGAGAGAAATCTTACTAACCCTCACCCCATTTCCCTTTATCCTGGTTTTCATTTTCTTTTAAGAAGCAGATGCATTTGATGATGGCTTTTAGAATCATGAAAACCCCTCAGGGAATTCCTAGCTCCTGGGAAGCACAAGGAAAAGGTTTTGTGTGTGTGTGTGTGTGTGTGTGTGTGTGTGTGTGTGTGTTTTGTGTGTCTGTGCATGTTGGGTTTTTTGTTTTTTTTTTGTTTTTTTTTTTTGAGCTGGAGTCTCGCTCTGTCGCCCAGGCTGGAGTGCAGTGGCGCAATCTCGGCTCACTGCAACCTCCACCTCCCAGGTTCAAGCAATTCTCCTGCCTCAGCCTCCCAAGTAGGGAGGCTAAATAATAAATACTAAAAATTTTTGTATTTTTAGTACAGACGGGGTTTCACCATATTGGCCAGGCTGGTCTTGAACTCCTGACCTTGTGATCCACCCTCCTCAGCCTCCCAAAGTGCTAGGTTTCTAGGTGTGAGCCACCGCACCTGACCAGAAAAGGTTTTATATTATCATCACGTTTTAGTCCAGCAATAAAACAAAGCACCATCCGGTTCCTAAAACATCAATCTCCTCATCTCTTTGGGTCCTAGACCTGTTGGAGCTGAAGGATTTTTAGGAAGGAGGGCAGCGCTCAGCCCATTCTTAAAGCCATGGAGGGTCCCCCACGCCCACCTCACGCTGCCCCGAGCCCTTTTGCCTTCTCAAACTCAACAGAAGTCACTGGAGTGTCTACAGTACCTTTTCTCCCTTGGCTGAGAGCTACTCATAGAAATGCAAATCTGCTTTAATTAAGGTGGCTAATAAACAGCAATTATGTTTGCAGCAATTTTTGTTTTGTTCCTGCATAATTCTGTGTGTTCTCCAGATGCGTTGCTCCCGGCTGTCTTTCCTCTGGTATCTGCCATCTAAGTCCCAACTGTGACCCCAGGGATTGGAAAGGGAGCATGACAGTTTCCGTCCCTACTCCCATCCTTCAACCACCCAGCCCAGCCAGGAAGCCAGCAGAGCCCAGGCTAAGCTAGCTGCTCCTTCTTTTGTCTTTCACGGCCAGGCAGGCGTCACAGGGGAAAGACTTGGGTTAGGTAACAGGCGGAACTGGACAGGAGGCGCTGGGGAACAGGCTCCCCTCCACCAGGTGAACTCTCTTGGCTGTGCAATGTGGTGAATGAGACAGGCGCTCTCAGAACCTGACACCCATAAACATGTGCCACACTCTGTGATATGATAATATTGGGGTCAGTTTGGGAGCCATGGCCTCACTTGGGCAGTCTGGGTATGGACGTGGAGGCAGACAAGATGATGAACTGCAGGACCTCCTGAGACACAGGTGGGAGGAGGGCTGTGAACACGGCCAGCGCATGCATTCCCCCTGTCCGGGGTGATTCCCGCCCTAAGGAGAGGGACAGCAACCATTTCTTCCCGTTGGCCCGTCTGGCCGAGCAGCTCCCATTTGTTAGGCAAGGGCGCCCTCTACTGGATATCTGAGGAATGGCTCGCAGGGGTGCCGCTGGCTGAGGCGGGGGAGTCTTCCTTCATCTAGACACCTCCCCACCCCCTCTGCAGGCTTACCACCTCCTCCCTAAAGCTTTCCCCGTCCGCCAGATAGAATTATTCTCTCTCCTCTGAAGTCGGTTAGCACTTTATCTGCACCGCTCCTGTGGTACTAACACTCACCACCTTTTATTACAGTTATTTGTATCTTCTGGGGGTTCTGACTTAGAAGCATTCGCTCATGATCCCTTGAGAGGTTTATGACTGAATGCCTAATTTATCTCTGAGTCCTCTACCTTGCACTTTACCTTGCACATACAGGCCTTCGGCAAATGTTTGCTGAATGCTTGGATTAATGAATACACTTCTGAACCCACCCAAGAGGGCGCCAGCAGGGACGTGCCCTTCCCGGGTGCCTAATGGGACGCTGTTTCTCAACAGGACCCCCCATCATCTCCAGCACCCAGACCCAGCACGCCCTCCACGGCGAGAAGGGCCAGATCAAGTGCTTCATCCGGAGCACGCCGCCGCCGGACCGCATCGTGAGTGCTCCAGGGACGGCGGGCGGGGGCCGGGCCAGCAGCCCAACAGTCACTTTTGCCAATACCTGGGTGGCCAGCCAGGCGGTGCACACCTCCGAGGTTCCTCTTTCTTGCTGAGGAAAATTATACCTGCCTTGGCTGTCTTGGAAAAGCATCGTGAAGACACAATTGCAGGCCTTTCTCAGAACAGGCAGTGCTCTCCCAGGGTTCAGCTGCCATTCTGCTGAGCTCTGACATGAACGGCTCTGACCAAATTCCGCATCCTAAGGGCAGAGGGGCACACGAGGGTAGTGGAGAGAAAAGACAAGTGACTTCTTCTCTTCCTGGGCTCCAGGCCAGTCTTTAGCAAAATCTTAGAGCGCAGGTAATAGTTGGCAACCCCTTTCTGTGCCTCCTGGAGCCCTCCTTGCCAGGTCTCTGTGGCCTTTACTGTCCATGGTAGCCTGCCCTGTTGCCTATCAATCGTCCCCTCTAAAGTGACCATTCCATTCTCTCTCCCTTCCTCAAAGAACTTATCCCTGCAATGCAGCTAAGGCAACTGAGGAGTCCACCCTCAGCGCCTCCTACCAGCTATCTGCTTGGTTTTTTTGTTTGTGTGTTTTTTGGGTTTGTTTGTTTGTGTTTGTTTTTTGAGATGGAGTCTCGCTCTATCACCCAGGCTGGAGTGCAGTGACACAATCTCGGCTCACTGCAACCTCCACCTCCCAGTTCAAGCAATTCTCATGCCTCAGCGCCTCTTGAGTAGCTGGGATTACAGGCATCTGCCACCACACCTCGCTAATTTTTGTATTTTCAGTAGAGATGGGGTCTCACCATGTTGGTCAGGCTGGTCTCAAACTCCTGGGCTCAATCGATCCTCCTACCCCAGCCTCCCAAAGTGCTGGGATTACAGGCGTGAGCCACCATGCCCAGCCAGTATCTGCATTTTTTTAAAGGGAGGGTCTTACTGAGCAGGAGCCTCATGTCTGTAATCCCAGCACTTTGGAAGGCTGAGGTGGGAAGATCGACTGAGCCCAGGAGTTTGAGACCAGCCTGGGCAACATAGTGAGACCCTGTCTCTACAACAACAACAAAAAAATTAAGGTGAGGGCAGAGTCTTTTTTTCCCTCTTTCTTTTTTGAGACAGAGTCTCTCTCTATCACCCAGGCTGGGTGCAATGGTGCAATCTTGGCTCACTGCAACCTCCACTTCCTGGGTTCAAGCAATTCTCCTGCCTCAACCTTCCAAGTAACTGGGATTACAGGCACCTGCCACCACACCCAGCTAATTTTTTTGTATTTTTAGTAGATAAGGTTTCACCATGTTGGCCAAGCTGGTCTCAAACTCCTGACCTCAGGTGATCCAGGGGCAGAGTCTTGTACTCAAATCCATCTAAAACTGGAGGGATCTCAGGCATGAAAACAAAGAAAAGTGAGCATTTTATAGCACTACTCGGGGAAAACTTATTTGTAGTAATTCCCAGTGTATGGCAAAATCCTGCTAGAAGACTGTCCAGGGGTGGAGTGGGCAGGGCAGTTGTGCAGGGAGGGTGGGGCTGGCCCAGATGTGAAGCAGCTGAGGTCACCCCTAACCCGTGCATGCGGGGGCTGAGACACCCAGGCTGCACCAACTGAAACTGTCATCCTGTTAACTAAGATATTATTAGAGTATTATTGCTGCTACACGCTTTCTCAAGCATTCAGTTCATTCACTGTCTGAAAGATTCACAAAAAAATTGCAAGAACTCATGAATAAAACTAATACCTACGCCTCCCCATTCACTTTGCTTTTTGATGTTTTTAATTATAAATGTAACACATGCTCATTGTCAAATATTCCATTCACTCTTGGACATTTTCACACCTTCTCTCCAGAAATATCTGATTCTAGGCCAGCGGTTCTCACTGGCCCCAGGGGACATTTGGCAGTGCCTGGAGACATTTTGGTTGTCATCACTTGGAGGATACTCCTGGCACCGGGTGTGTAGAGGCCAGGGTGCTGCTGACATCCTGCAATGCCTGGGAGAGCCCCACGGCCAGGAATGGGTCAGTCCAGCGTGACAATAGCAGCAAGCTTGAGAAACTCAGTCCCTCTCATCAGCCCCGAACCAGGATATACGAGGCGCTTACACGATGAGGTGCAGACAGTGTATGTGGCCGGCTCTGAAAACTGTTAACCAGCAGCCCTGTAAACTAAGGCAGACGAAGGTGATCGCAAACACAGCTCTGTAGACACATTTCTCACACAGACATACAACATCACACAGGTAGACGCGTTCATGGGGCTGCTGTCCTAACTCACACCCACCCAGGCAGCCACAGTCCCGGGGGGCATTTGTGTGGAGGCGCAGTGCGCAGGCCAACAGGGCACCCACTTTGCCCAGAAAGATGCTCCCCAGGCCCCTTTCTGGGATGGAAAGACCCTCTGAGGATGCCCCAGAGTATGTGTGTGTACATGTGTTTGTGGATTGTGTACATGTGTGGTGTGGGTGTGTTACCGTGTACATGTGTCATGGCATGTGTGAACATGTGTATCTGTTGGTAGTGTGTGTACTTGTGTGTGTGAGCACATGGTGTGTGTGTATGTCATAGTGTGTGTACCTGTAAGTACACATGATGGTGTGTATGGCGAATGTGTGTATGTGTTGCAGTGTGTGTTGTGGTATGTACATGTGTGTAAGCATGCTTGTATTGTGTGTTGTATTGTGGCATATGGTGCGTGCATCTTGGTGTGTGTGTGCATGTGTACATGTATTTCGGGGAGTGGCTGTGTGTTGCGTGTAGATGTGGTGTCGTGTCTGCCATGTGTATGTACATGTCTGTATCATGTTTTTAGTGTGAAGTGTGATGTGCATGTACTGTGATGTGTGTATGCATGTTGTGACATGTGCACATATGTGCAGGCATGTGTGCACTGTGATGTGTTGTGTGCTTTGGTGTGTGCATGTGTTGTGATGCATGTTTATGTGTGTTGTGGTACATGTACTTGCATATGCATGTTTGTAGTGTGGTGTGTGTGTACAAACCTGTGTGTATATACATTGGTATGTGTACGTGGTGATGTGTGTGTTATAGTGGGTGCACACTTGTGTGTGTGCAGAGCTGTGTGTACACATTTGTGGTGTGTGTAGTATGTATATAAACGTGTTGGCCATGTGTGGGGAGCTGTGTATAGACGTGTGATGTGTTTGTGTGTTGTGTGTGCACACGTGTACCTGCATGTGGGTGCCGTGTGGGATGCTGTGCATGCCCATGTGTGGTGATGCGTGTTGTGTGTGCACCTGCATGTGTGCATATTTGTGGTGTGTGGCATGTGTGCCTGCATACATACCCGTGTGCACATGTGTTAGTGTGTGGCAGTGAGCATGAACATGAGCAGGACAGTGGCACTGTGACTCTGGTGTGGGCGTGTCCTGGGCCCCTCTGGTGGGGTCTCCTCCTGATTCTGCGCCCCCGGGCAGGCCTGGTCCTGGAAGGAGAACGTTCTGGAGTCGGGCACATCGGGGCGCTATACGGTGGAGACCATCAGCACCGAGGAGGGCGTCATCTCCACCCTGACCATCAGCAACATCGTGCGGGCCGACTTCCAGACCATCTACAACTGCACGGCCTGGAACAGCTTCGGCTCCGACACTGAGATCATCCGGCTCAAGGAGCAAGGTGAGAGCTGCCAGGGCCATGAGGGAACAACGAACGATGGAACCAGAGGGCCCTCTCCTCACCTAGGTCAGGGCGCGGGTGGCTGCAAGGTGGGCCAGGGCCCAAGGACAAGCCACAGTGCTCTTCCTGGCTGACCACACAGCCTAGCCAGCCAGCAGCCTCCTCAGCCAGGCTCTCGCTGAAGCAAGGGGCACGAGCCTCCACCAGGAACCAAGAAAGGGAAGAACACAGCTCAGAGGGGCAGCCCTTGAGGGCGATGCTTCAGTGGGAGGTGACCACAACAGTGAGCAGGCTGGTGGCAGTGACAAGCTGCCCAGTAGCCTCCAGAGGCCCTGGCTTCTGTGCCCTGCCCTCTGCCATGGGCCCTGGTCTGACACCAAAGTGTCATGCCTGGGTGGAGCGTGGGATACACTGGCATGGGTGTGCTGGGAACCTGGCCCAGTCACAGTTAAGATGACAAGCCCATCCAGTTACTCAGACACAAGTCCCACAGAGGGCACCCAGGCTAAAGCTAAGGGGTTAGGCTTGCTTGTCCAGATCCCTAGGGTCGGGGGCTGGGCTCAGATGACCTGCAGACCCAGGAGGCACATGGACCCCTGTACCTCAAAGGCAGCGCTGGGCAAAGCAGCCGGGTGGGTGAGAGGGAGGAGGCAGGAGGAACAAGCCTCACCCCACTGTGCCCCCGTGCGCTGACGTCCCAGCTCCTGGTCAAAGAGGCTCAGATCTCCAGCGTCTGCTCAGAGCTCTCAGGCACAGACAACAGGATGGGGAGCCTTGGAGGGGCACGGAGGGGTGGCTCCAGAAGCCCCACCACAGCCAGCAGCAAGCCGGGTTCTGAGAGGGGCAGTTGATCTTGCCCTTTTGCCAGCAGGGGCTAAGCCATGGTGGACCAGGGATTCGTGCTCAGCTGGGCCTGGGCCTCTGAGGCCCAGGAGGCCTCAGTCCTGACGATCTCTGACACCCTCTTAGGTAAAGGTCCATTCGCAGGCTGTCAGGCCCAGCAAGAGATTCTAGGCCAAGTGGGTGGTCTCAGCTGGGCCCCCAGGCCTCAGTGGGCCACACCAGGATCACACCTATGGGTCAAATCACACAGCATCTCCCAACACCTCTTCCCTAATAGGTGCTGCTTTGCATAATGCTTTGCACATAATTTGCATAATATCATCCACACATCATCCCAAACCTTCCTGGTCCCCTGTTGCCTACCCTCCGTGTCTTCCCCTTGGTGCCCCCATCCCCATGCCCTCCCCCGAGTGTTCTCACCCCAACCCTCCCAGACCCCTCCGAGACGTGATCTCTCTCCGGTCCCTAGCCCCTCCAGAGTCTCTAAGTCAGCCTGAATGAACTCCAAGTTCAGCTGGGCTAGCCTGGATCTGTTGGGGGGTCCCAGAGACATGACTGGGAAAGGAGCCCCTCACCCAGCCCCGCTCAAGCAGCTAATTCCCAGTCCCACCCCACCCTGGCCAGCCAGGCCCTGGCTGTAGACGCTTGCTTTATTTCCAAACAGGTTCGGAAATGAAGTCGGGAGCCGGGCTGGAAGCAGGTACGGAAGGAGATGATGAGAATGGCCCTGGGAAGGGGGGAAGGGACTTCCTGGCTAGCTGGGGAGGGAACCCAGCAGGGGGTAGGGAGGCCTGTGCTGGCCGCTAGTGTCTCCGCCCTCCCCCGTCCTGAGGGTTTAGTGTAGACAAAGCAGTGGGGAGAGGAGGTCCCAGCCAGCTTGGGCCTAGGGACCCCAGAGACCTGTCTCCTGCCTGCCGCCGGAACCCACAACTCCTTCCTCTCTGGGACACTGGCTCTTGCTCGTCCCCGCTCCATTCCTTCCATCCTTTCTCTTCAGGAGCCCTGACTCCTGGCCTCTGGGGTCAGCTGGCCCCTGTCCTGACTGCCTTCTGCTTCCAGGCTCTCTCCGACCCTTCCCGCTTCTCCACATCATCACCAGCTTGGCCACTGCTTCCCAGGACACCGGGGGCCCCCAGCCCCTGCTGTGGCTTGTGCAATCCATGCTTGCTGTTTGCCACCCCTCCCTACTCCTGCAGTCCCCATGGAAGTGTCATCTCACCCCAAGCTGAGGCTGCAGGGCAGCGCCTCCCTCCCCAGGCACACGCAGCAAAGCAGTCATCAGGCCCCCTGGGCGGAGTTGCTCTCAACCCCACCCCGAGCAGAAAACCAGAAAAGAGAATCAGGACCAGCAAGCCAGGCTCTATGGCCATGCTGAAGACTTGAGTGGTCCTCCATCCCAGGCCTCCTGCCACACTGGCCCCTGGCCTCTGTTACCTCCTCAACAAGCTCCACGTGGGATCCTCATGCCCCTGCCTCTGCCCCTCCTGGCAGACATGCCCCTATCAGAGCACCAACCCAGGGCACAGGTTGCTCACAGAGGCCCCTGCAGCCCACACTGGGGCAACCCAGAAAGCTGCCAGCCTCCCGCTGCCTTCTCCCCGGGTCCATGCTAGTGCTGAGGGTGGTGTCTCCTGTCTCCGTGTCTCCTGTGTCTGCTGACACTCATCCAGAGCTCCCCAACACCTTCCCCCCTCGGTGGCTCCTGGTGCCTGGCACACCTCCTTGGATGGAGGGGAGGCTGAGTGGGGACAGCCCCTCCCTCCAGTCCCTCTCCAGGAGCCATGCAGGGAAGGCTCTGTGCAGAGAGGAGGGGCCTGCACATCGCCCTAGGCCAAACCTCAGGAAGCCAGGCAAGGAGGAAACACACACAGGCAGGCTGGGGACTGGGAAGAGATGGCACCCCGGGGCACTCGCCCCCACAGGACCCCCTGCTCTCCCCCTGCCCACCTCCCTGGTGACCGTTGTCCAGCTAAGAGGGCACCCCTCCCCCAGCCGTCAGCAGCGTGTGGAAACGTGGGCTGGGGATCCCAGGATCGGAAGGCACCTTCAATGCTGCTGCCCAGCTCTCCAGGGTGCAGACAAGGCACTGAGGCCCAGAGGTGTTAAGAGCCTTCCATGGACATGCTTTGGCTCTGAGTTCCGCTGAGACAAGCCCTGTGTTTTTCCAAGGAAACTTACTAGGAATCTGAGGAGAAACCAACCCAAATCAATCCAATTCAAAAGCAGAGAACCAATGAGCTGCCACAGCAGTTTCCCTTTCTTCATGGAACTAAACCTAGAGACGTTGTCGTCTATTGGTCAAGGCAAGCTCTGCTGAGGCCCAGCCCCTTTTCTCAGTCTGACTGTTGAACCAATGCGAGCACCTCCCGTTTCAATCCCTAAGTGTCCACCATTCCACCTCCTCTTGGTCCCCTCCCTGTCACCCCTACAGCTGTCCTGGCCACTAATTGGTAGGTAACCAATGGCTTCGTGTGCAAGTCCTGGGGTGGCAAAGGGATGTGCCAGCTTAACCAGCAACACTGCCAGCCAGGGGCGCCAGCTCCCTCTGGCCGGAGGGCAAATGGCTGCCACCCTACCCCCACCCCTTGATACCTCCTCCCAGCAGCATCTTCAGAGGCCAGGGTTTGAGGTCTTTCTCCTCCCTTTAAAGAAAAAGACAGCAAGAGGCTTACAACCCAGAACTGATACCTAGCTGTCCCCACTCGCCCACACTGACGAACGCAGGGTAGGCTGGGGAGGGGCTCAGTCTTTCAAAGGAACTTTCCTGGCCTTTAAGACTGTGAACTGCTGATCGGGAACGATGGCTCACGCCTGTAATCCCAGCACTTTCGGAGGCTGAGGCGGGCGGATCACCTGAGGTCAGGAGTTTGAGACCAGCCTGGCCAACATGGTGAAACCCTATCTCTACTAAAAATACAAAAATTAGCCAGGCATGGTGGCATGTGCCTGTAATCCCAGCTATTCGGGAGACTGAGGCAGGAGAATCGCTTGAACCCAGGAGGCGGAGGTTGCAGTGAACTGAGATCGTGCCACTGCCCTCCAGCCTGGGTGTCACAGCCAGACTCCATCCCAAAAATAAAAGACCGTGAACTGCTGGTGACCCCTTCCTGGGTAACAACAACAGCAAACACCAAACAGGGCTGGGTGCCAGGCTCTGCTCCAAGGCCTCTGCCCACATTCACCCAGCTCAAGCCCATAACAACCCTCAGAGGGGCCGGTACCATTATCCCCATCCTACAGATATAAGAGAGGCAAAGTCAGTTGCTCAGCAGAAGGGATGGAGCCAGGACTCGGAGCAGCAGCAGTCTGGGCGGTACCGAGCACATGAGATGTGGGGGATCTCACATGTCACTCTGTGGGTGGAGCTGGACGGGGTGGGAGTGGGGTGAGTGGAGGGGTGGGAGCAGTGAGAGGAGACCTGGATTGACCCTGGCTGGGCAGCTCCTGTGTGTCCTTGGCCAAATCACTTGACTTCTCCGGACCTCAGTGAGAGCCCCAAGCTCTCCCTGCCCCAGCATTCTCTAGTTCTATTCCTGATGGATTCCTCAAGGCCCTAAATCATGTGCTCCGACCCCACTTGCAGCTGTAGAAGGGCCAAGGCTGTGTGGAAGATCACCCCCGACTCTATCCTTACCCTCCCTGTCCCTACCCCCACTCGGCTTGGGCAGGAGACAGGCCACAGAGACTCAGCAGGGGTGAGGGCTTGCCTGCCCAGTGTGTGGGCCTCTCTTGCCAGGAGGGGTGCAAGGATGCTCAGAGGGGCAGCCTTGAGGGAGAAGCTGCAGACCTGGAGATGGAGGGAAAGGGGCCTCTCTCCTTAGAGAGGTGGCAGTGGAGAAGCTGTAACCCTGCTCCCTGGACCCTGAGACTTGGACACCTGAGGGCCACAACTGATGCCCAGCAGACCTGCGGGGAAGCTACTTAGACCTGCAAACACTAAGAGCCGGATGTCCTCTATATTCACCCGAGAAAGGGAAGGGAAGGAGAGAACATACGGAACAAACAAGGGCAGTGACCATAGTCATTTTTCAAAAAAAGCCAGGGCCTATGACTCACTGGCCGCTGTGTGATAGAGCATTCCTGTTTAATGCCAGAGAGAGCTCCATCGTGCCAGCCCCACCCCTCATCTCCGGTCTTCCTGTCCCCTGGCCCTCCCTTCTCCGTGTCTGCCTGCCTCGCTCTCCTTCCTCTGCCCTTTACCTCAGTTCCCCTGCCCTCTCCTCCACCCACCAAGCCCCTGTGTCCTCCACCCTGGTCTTTGCAGTCCCAGCTAGAGCTGACCCCAGTTGGACTCGGCCTGTGCCTGCCCAGGCCCCACTGAGGCATTTCCCAGGAGGGCCCCATGTGGCAGGGGCTGCCCCCGCAGGAACGGGGTGAGATCATGGGGGGATAGTAGGCCATTCCCCATCCGTCATCAGCTGTGCCCGCTTCTCTCCCACAGAGTCTGTGCCGATGGCCGTCATCATTGGGGTGGCCGTAGGAGCTGGTGTGGCCTTCCTCGTCCTTATGGCAACCATCGTGGCGTTCTGCTGTGCCCGTTCCCAGAGAAGTACGGGAGGGAGATCCGGGATCTCAGGGAGGGGGACAGAGAAAAAGGCCAGGCTTAGGCTGCCCCGGAGAGCAAGTAAGCAGGAGTGCAATGAACAGGGGTCCTAACAGTGCTGTGAGCTCCTGGGGCAGGGAGTGGGTCTGATGCATCGGTGTATGTGAGCCTGGGCAACATGGCGCCTGGCAGAGTGGGCGCTAGGCTGAGGTTGACCTGGACTAGACTGAACTTCATCTGCAGGGCAGCCAGCATTTTGGATTGAACACATAGCTCTTTCAGTCAGGAACTGTACAGAAAGATAGGGGGAAAAGCGGTTTGTGGTTTGATCCTTGCTCTACAAGAGCTGTTAGTCTAGAGAGACCCCATCTCTACAACAAAATAAAAATAAAGAGCTGCTAGTCTCACCAGAAAAGCAGGTCACTCACACAGCTGTGGGGGAGTGGGTGGGGAAGCAATAAAGGAATTGCTTTGAGAAAACTTTTAAAGGTCTTCAGTGATTACCAATAAAATTCTAGTGTTTGTGCACGCTTGAAGAATTGCGTGCACCGAGGAGATAACGTGTGAGAGATTGGATGGCAGAGAACAGGTGAAGACAATGGAGACACAGTGTTCCAGTCCCACCTCTTCTGCCACATGACCCTGGGCCAGCCACAGTTATTCCAGGCCTGTCTCCTCATTTATAATGAGGATATGACTCTGATGGCCCCATCTGGCACTAACATTATATAAGTGTAATGCAAAAAATGAATCACCAGAATGGGTCTGCTCCTCTGCCACTCGGCAGCCTGCACATGTTTGAAGAAAGCTGTTCCCCTTGCATTTTCTGCACTCCGAGCTAAGCAGCCTTGGCTCTCAAGACCACCCCAGCAATGATGTGGTCTCAGGACCTCCATCACCACCGTCTCAGTGGAAATTATAGGGAAGCATACAAATATATACACATACGCATATATACACATATATATACGGTTTTTTTTTATATAGGGTCTCTCTCTTTTGGCCAGGCTGAAGTGCAGTGACACGATCTCAGCTCACTGCAACCTCCGCCTCCCAGGTTCAAGCGATTCTCGTGCCTAAGCCTCCTGAGTCGCTGGGATTACAGGCGTGTGCCATCATGCCTTGCTATTTTTTTAATTTTTTGCAGAGACAGGATTTCACCATGTTGCCCAGGCTGGTCTCGAACTCCTGGCCTCAAGTGGTCCGCCTTCCTCGGCCTCCCAATGTGCTGGGATTACAGGCGTGAGCCACCGCACCAGCTCCTCAAGAATTTCCTTTTTTTTTTTTGAGACAGAGTCTCATCCTGTTGCCCAGGCTGGAGTGCAGTGGCACAATCTCGGCTTACCGCAGCCGCTGCCTCCCGGGTTCATTCAAGCGAGTCTCATGCTCAGCCTCCCGAGTAGCTGGCATTACAGGCACCCACCACCACGCCCAGCTAATTTTTGGATTTTTAATAGAGACGGGGTTTCACCATGTTGGCCAGGCTGGTGTCAAACTCCTGACCTCGTGATCTGCCCACCTCGGCCTCCCAAAGTGCTGGGATTACAGGCGTGAGCCACCGCACCCAGCCAAGAATTTTCTAACAGAGCTCTCCAACTAGAAACAGCCTGCCTCCTGCAGAAGTAGCAGTAAAGCTTCCATCACGGAGGCGTCGACAGAGAAGCTGCCCACTGCCTCAGGGGCGTTTCTCTTTGGATGGGGGTTGGCCATGGGCACTTTGAGGTCCTTTCCAACACTGAGATTTATGGTTCTATGAATGGAGGGATTGGAGCCCGCCTGGTAGAGCAGGTCAGAGAAGACTTCTAGAAGGAAGTGAGAATTCAGTAGGATGAAAAGGACCTAGCTCAGTAAGGCGGACAAGTGGCTGAAGACGATCTTTCAAGCCAAGGGTGCATGGCTGAGGGGCATGTGACAGGAGGCAGGCCGGCCATGGGGTCAGCCTCCTCTGAGGCCCAAACACCCACAGCATCTCCATATGGAGGTTCTATTGGTGGGGGGCTGGTGAAGCTGCTGAGTTCAGGGGCTGGAGGGGAAATGCAGAGGGTGGCAGGGCAGGGGCAGGGGACTGCAAGGGAGCTTGACATCTCAAAGGTAAGAACTAAATCTATCATCTACACTTTACTATTTTATCTCCAGATCTCAAAGGTGTTGTGTCAGCCAAAAATGATATCCGAGTGGAAATTGTCCACAAGGAACCAGCCTCTGGTCGGGAGGGTGAGGAGCACTCCACCATCAAGCAGCTGATGGTAAGAATGCAATTACGCCCCATCCCATCCCGTGACTCCATTCCCAGAAGGTCCTGGGACTAGAGGCTTCTCAATGAACTAGATGCTTCCAAAAAGCAGAGCAGCGTTCAAGATGCCCCCTGCCCACCCCACAATAGGTGAGGCACACACTCTCAGCCAACAAATGTGAGTGTGTGCCTGCTGTACTGTGCTTGTGTTCTGGCAGACTCAAAGACATCTAAGATGCAGTCCAGGCCAGGTGCAGTGGCTCACGCTTGCAATCCCAACACTTTGGGAGACCGAGTTGGGCGGATCACTTGAGATTAGGAGTTCGAGACCAGCCTGGCCAACATGGTGAAACTACATCTCTACTAAAAATACAAAAATTAGCTGGGCGTGGTGGCGGGCGCCTGTAATCCCAGCTACTTGGGAAGCTGAGGCAGGAGAATTGCTTGAACCCAGGAGGTGGAGGTTGCAGTGAGCTGAGATCAGGCCACTGCACCCCAGCCTGGGTGAGAGCGAGACTCCATCTCAAAACAACAACAACAACAAAAATGCAGTCTACCCTTCAGAGAGCCTGGCTCTTCAGTAAGGAGAAAAGACATATGCATAAATTGCCACAATATGTTGTTATATAACATATAATCCCCTCCCCTCCCCCGCACACACACACATAGCTATTATAGATATTCAATACATGTCCCTCTCCCTCATCCCCCGCACCCCACCAAAACAGTCTGCAAGAAACACAGGTTCCTCCTTGGGGACTGGATTGCCAGTCAACTCATCACTTCTCCAGGCACATCAAGCCTGCTCCTCCTCTTCCGAATCCCCATTTATGGGCCATCATCTACCTAGTTGTCCAAGCAGAAACCTGGACAACCATGCTAGAAGTTTCTGGTTGCCTCGGTCGTAACATGTTGGAGTGGAGGCAGCAGAGCAAGGAATATAGTAGATGGGCTTTCTGGTGCCTCCATGTCCTCATCCATGAGATGGGTCTGAAAGCCACAGTATACAGGGCTGTGGTGAGGGTGAAGTGGACAAAACTCAGAAGGGCTTGAAGCCCATGGAACACAATAAGTGCTCAAGAAATATTAGCGGTTTATGTTGCTAGAGGGTGAGCAGCTGCTGCTGTGTTCATCCCGGGGTCTTCGGAGCCTTACACAGGCCCTGGTAGAGGCTCACAGACGTTTACTGAATCAAACTGACTTTTCCCTCGGCTACGCTTTCTCTCTCCAATTGATTTTCAGGTCCTGTCAATTCCACTTCAAAAAGTGTCTCAAATGTGTGCCCCACCTGTCCTCCACCATCACTTCTTTACTTCAGGCCTCATCATTGCTCCCCTGGATGATTACAGCAGCCTCCCAGTTGGTCTCAGCCTTGTAGTCTTTTGTCTCTTTTCTCAATCCACCCTCGAGAGCCTTGAGAAAGCAGCCTTTCTAAAATGCAAATCTGGTCCTGTTACTTGCCCACTTAAAATCCCTCGGTGGCTCCCCACATCTGCTGGACAAAGCCCAACTTCCTGGTGTGCCATCAGGGCTCCTCAGTGCCAGGCAACCACCAACCTCTCCAGCTCCATTTTCCGGCCAAGTACATCTGGCCTTCCAGACATGCCAAAGAGCTTGATTCCTGGCCTTCGAATCTTTTGGACTTCAAAGGCCTGTGCACCGGCTGTTCTCTCTGCCTGCTAATTTTGTCTGTTGAATCTCACATTCTCCCATAACAATCAACTCCAAGATGTTCCGGGCTTGTCCTCCCCACCCCTGGCGGAGCTGTGCACCTTCTGCTCTCCCAAAACACTTTGTATGTGCCTCCTTTATAGTGCATTCCCCCAATTCCATGTCAGCTTCCCCAGTTATCCCAGAGCTCCTCAAGGGCAAAGGTCATGTTTCTGAGTCTACGCTCATCTATTTCCCCTGGGGCCTAACACAGGGCCTGACACTGTTAAAATTAACACAGTGGAGTGTTTAGTTTTACGAGGGAGGAAACCACAGCCTAGATGTGAGAAGGGATGACGTCTCTATACTTAAGCTTAATCATGTGTGTCCTTCATCCCAAACGGGACCTTGAATTCTCTCCCATCGGCAAACATTCTGTTTGCCTCAGACTGTCTCCACATCCCTTAGTCCAAATCCACAGGCAAGAGTGGGGGCAGCTCAGTGTCAGGTGGGAGCAGAAGGGACTTGCTGAGGGCTCTGGGCTAAGCCACCCCTTGAGGATATCGTCATTCTCGCATTCCCTTCACCTCCTGGCCCCAAGACAGCCCCATCTGCAAGAAGGGGCAGACTTAGAAGTTGAATCTGATGGGAAAGAAGGTCTCCAGTCCAGACAGTGCCAGAGCATTTACTGGAAAAATGAACCGCATGGTCTCCTTAGTGAGGAGGCAGCCGGGTGGCCGCACTTTGGCTGATTCTACAGGGCTCCAAAAAGAAACGAGGAAAGCAGGTTGCAAGGGAGAAGAAACATCCCGGCCCAGAGAGTAGGAGGGAACCTACTACCTATACCGTGCAACTAGCAGAGACACATGGCAAGCCTCTCGTGTGTCACAGGTTAAGCATCACTGTGGTTATTCAGATTAATTCATATGCCCACTGTGTGTGGAGTATGCTTTTTCATCTTATGTCTAATAATTTTGTTAATTTTCAGTAATTTAGAGCTAAGCCACTTTGCCTATTCATTCAACATATACATACCATTTGAAGCAGCTCTATTGTATATCAGGCACTGTGCTAGGCATTGGCAAATCAAATAATTAAGAGATTCCATCCCAAAAGCAGGCAAGGTCAGTGACCACAACATGCAAAGCACTGAACCAGGTGTGGGAGGACCCAGAGACAAGCAGGAAGTGATCCTTGCCCTCAGGCTGTTTGGCATCTCTAAGGAAGTTAACTTTTCATGAGAATAACAGGTGTGGCCCATGTCGCCAGCATCTCACAGATGGTTATTCCTTGTGACTCCCTAAGGCCTGCACTAGGCCTGCACGCTGGAAAAGAAACTGCCCTAAGGAGCCTTGCCATGCCCAGTGACTGACATTCTGAAATTATTTATCTACAAGTCCATCTCCCTGATGAGCAGAGCTGTATCTTAATGTACGTTAATCTGTGGATCTCTGGTCCTTAGCAGAGCAACTGGCCGGCATTTTACAATAAACGTTCAGTCAATGGAATTGAATCAGCCATGGGAGATCTCTGGTGATGCCCTCGCCCAAGCGAGGAAAGTATGGCCTCGGATACCTGCCCCTCGCCTCCCCTAACTGCCCCTCACCTCACCTACTCACCCACCCCCCTCAACTGCTTCCCTGTCTCCTAGGATGGGGCTCCAGGAACTCATCTTGACTCTTTCACATGGTCCAGGCAGTGAGGGGTGGTGGGGGTTATACAGGGCAATCTTTTGAGTTTCTGATCTCATCTTTTCCTTGGGGGAAGTGGAGGTTTAGCCACCTCCTATCTACTGAGCAGCCTTTTTTGGGTTGCAGATGGACCGGGGTGAATTCCAGCAAGACTCAGTCCTGAAACAGCTGGAGGTCCTCAAAGAAGAGGAGAAAGAGTTTCAGAACCTGAAGGTAAGAAGGGCCCCGGGTTATAAGACACAGCCATGGAATCTGGTCTTTAGCTCTGATGGCCCAAACCCCAAATCTATACAACAAATGACAGCAAGTCAGAGAAGAAAAGGTCAGAGGCCAGCTTGGTGGCAGGTGCCCGTCCCTGCCTAAGGCACCTCCTCTCCCTACCCCAACGCTGAGGAGGCTGAGAGAGCTAAGGCTGAGACTCCCCAGTTCTCTTCCACAGCCTCCTCACATGTAGATTCAAAATGAAGCATCCATGTTCTGGATAAAAACAATTAAAAAGCCTGACTTTCAAATGACCCTGCATTGCCCTGACATAAACCCAGTCAAGAGCCTCTGCTTCCCTCCTTCGGCCCTCAGCCCTCACCCTTGCCGTCCCTCCCCTCCTGGGGTCCGCAGTCCCCCTTCTGCCATCTCCTGTTCAGTGTCCTTCTTCCCCTGCACCTTCCCTGCAGCTGTTCACCCCTGAGTTTGCTCCCTACCAGGTTGCTCCCTTCCTCCTGTTTTCCCTCTTCCCTCCCCGCATAAGGGGACGGGCTCAGCCTGGAAACCCCAGCCACGCTCAGTGGAGACTCCACCAGGTGACGCTCCTCTTCCTCTCGCCCATCCAGGACCCCACCAATGGCTACTACAGCGTCAACACCTTCAAAGAGCACCACTCAACCCCGACCATCTCCCTCTCCAGCTGCCAGCCCGACCTGCGTCCTGCGGGCAAGCAGCGTGTGCCCACAGGCATGTCCTTCACCAACATCTACAGCACCCTGAGCGGCCAGGGCCGCCTCTACGACTACGGGCAGCGGTTTGTGCTGGGCATGGGCAGCTCGTCCATCGAGCTTTGTGAGCGGGAGTTCCAGAGAGGCTCCCTCAGCGACAGCAGCTCCTTCCTGGACACGCAGTGTGACAGCAGCGTCAGCAGCAGCGGCAAGCAGGATGGCTATGTGCAGTTCGACAAGGCCAGCAAGGCTTCTGCTTCCTCCTCCCACCACTCCCAGTCCTCGTCCCAGAACTCTGACCCCAGTCGACCCCTGCAGCGGCGGATGCAGACTCACGTCTAAGGATCACACACCGCGGGTGGGGACGGGCCAGGGAAGAGGTCAGGGCACGTTCTGGTTGTCCAGGGACGAGGGGTACTTTGCAGAGGACACCAGAATTGGCCACTTCCAGGACAGCCTCCCAGCGCCTCTGCCACTGCCTTCCTTCGAAGCTCTGATCAAGCACAAATCTGGGTCCCCAGGTGCTGTGTGCCAGAGGTGGGCGGGTGGGGAGACAGACAGAGGCTGCGGCTGAGTGCGCTGTGCTTAGTGCTGGACACCCGTGTCCCCGGCCCTTTCCTGGAGGCCCCTCTACCACCTGCTCTGCCCACAGGCACAAGTGGCAGCTATAACTCTGCTTTCATGAAACTGCGGTCCACTCTCTGGTCTCTCTGTGGGCTCTACCCCTCGCTGACCAGAAGCTCTACCTACCCCTGTGCCTGTGCTCCCATACAGCCCTGGGGAGAAGGGGATGACGTCTTCCCAGCACTGAGCTGCCCCAGAAACCCCGGCTCCCCACTGCTGCTCATAGCCCATACCCTGGAGGCTGACAAGCCAGAAATGGCCTTGGCTAAAGGAGCCTCTCTCTCACCAGGCTGGCCGGGAGCCCACCCCCAATTTGTTTGGTGTTTTGTGTCCATACTCTTGCAGTTCTGTCCTTGGACTTGATGCCGCTGAACTCTGCGGTGGGACCGGTCCGGTCAGAGCCTGGTGTACTGGGGGGAGGGAGGGAGGAGGGAGCCTGTGCTGACGGAGCACCTCGCCGGGTGTGCCCCTCCTGGGCTGTGTGACCCCAGCCTCCCCACCCACCTCCTGCTTTGTGTACTCCTCCCCTCCCCCTCAGCACAATCGGAGTTCATATAAGAAGTGCGGGAGCTTCTCTGGTCAGGGTTCTCTGAACACTTATGGAGAGAGTGCTTCCTGGGAAGTGTGGCGTTTGAAGGGGCTGGAGGGCAGGTCTTTAAGATGGCGAGACTGCCCTTCTCAGCTGATAAACACAAGAACGGCGATCCTGTCTTCAGTAAGGCTCCACGAGAAGAGAGGAAGTATATCTACACCTCAACCCTCCTAGTCACCACCTGAAATAAATGTTAGGGACACTACTCCAACATGTTTGTTCTGTTCTTTTGTTCCTACAAAGCCACAGGAAGAACCCAAGAGCTCATAGAATGCGTTGGGAACCCAAGGTTCTCTGCCCTCCTTTGATTCAATCTTCCTAGACAATAAAGGCAGTTGATAGCTCTGATTGTGGTGGCAATTAAACCTACAGGCTGACTCCTCTCCCCTGTGGGTGGATTCAATCCAGAGGACGTGTGGGACTCACCAGCCACCTGACTCAGCCAAATATAGCTCAGAGGCAGAGTGGTCACACTAGATACTGGCCAGGCCATTCTGGACCCTTCCTCTCAGCAATATTCTGAAGGCAAAGTTCCCTCCTCTAGAGGTTCAGAGAACAAGACCCGCTGGAAAGAGTCTAGACCACCAGGCACCCTAACATTTTAATATACAACTCAAATAGTGTTCTAAGAAGGGCCTCGCTTGTGGGTAAGTTTGATGTGGTCATGGCAGATGGGGTGGATAAACAGGGGCAAGTTAGAGTGCTCGTTGAGGGAGTGGGATTCAAATGGAACTTTAAAGAACCCAAATTGTCCCTAAGGTGGCTTGGAGGTTCCTTGTCAGTTTTAAACCTTTCTTCTCCAACCTTCCCTGGTAGTTCTTACCCATCATGGGAACCTTCATCACACCAGTTTGTGCTTCTTTCCAGACACTGATTCCTTGGATGGTCCCAATCCACAGATTCTATACACAGCCTACACAGCTCCTCCACTCAGAGGAATTTTCTGCTTCGATCATATTTCCAAGTGCTTCGAAATTTCCCAGAAACCTGGCTATCTTCCTTTGTAGCCCCTAAGCCTGAGGGAGTAAAAACTGATCAGAAATGTTAAGTGTATGTCCACAGCCCACATTCTGCTGCTGGTACCATGCTGGCCTAGCATAGACATCAGGATGCTGGCCCCTGCCCTCTCTAGGTTAATCTCAGCAAGCTTGCTTGCTTTCTTTCCATATATGTTTTCCATTGGCTAACAGAGAATAAGGATCCAAGACCATATGCACAATGCCTTGGTGTGCTGGAATAAGGAAAAGATGACTTTAGAGGATCTGTTCATTTACTTCTCTTATTTCTCTTGGTCTTCCCACCTTGGATATGCGTAGACCATTTACCTCCTAGTCCTCAGCACAGCTGACCCTGCCCCTTGCTCCTGCTACACACACACACACACACACACACACACACACACACACACAGAGTGTGCACTAATAGGGTGGAGGTGCCCATTCTTCCATTCTTTCCTGGAAACCAAAATTATAAACGAGAAGAATGGGGAAGAAATATGTTCTATAAAATAAGCCCTTTGTCCTGTCCCTCGGCACACCCAGGGTAAGAATATGGACTGAGCAGAGCGCACCGGGGCAGCTGCAAACACTAGGCTGCACGGTGCCCAACCCTCTTAGCACTGTCCAATGCCCAATGCAGCAAAGAATAGCCCAAGGGATAGGAGGTCACAAGGATGATCTTTGTGAGAGACAAGAGCATGGAGGGAAAAAATGAGGGGGATCTGGAGGACTCTGGGGCATTGAGAAGCCTGAACTGAGCTGAGTACATCCCTCAGCTGTCTCCAGCACTATCTATTTCTCACAAATGAGTGGGGGTGCAGAAAAGCTGGTGAAGGGAGGTGCTGAAAAACAAAGGCAGTGGGAAGCCCCGAATTCCCCCATAGGTGATTTCACATTAAATAAAATGAGTGCTCTACATTTGTAATCTTATTTAATGCTCACAATTCTACGAAGTATCACCATTTTACAGATGTGGGTTGAGGCTTAAAGAAGCCAGAAAACTTGCCCAGCGTCAAGCGCTAACGAGTGACAAACATGAGCTTTATACACACATTCATCCTAGAATGTCGCTGGAAGTGGCTGATGGTAAAGGCCATCTGCTAGCATGCGCTCTGGGGCAGGCCGGGCGAGGACAAGCACAGCTCCATTAGGAAGGCAAGACTGTGCTAGCATGCGCTCTGGGGCAGGCCGGGCGAGGACAAGCACAGCTCCATTAGGAAGGCAAGACTGGCGTCCTCCACCCTAAGTCCCCAAATGACCCGGAAAGACCACAAAGCCCTGGGAAACAAAGCTCTTCTGTGTATCAAATCACCCCCACCTCTACCAAGGACGGCAGCCAGTCTTCCGATAGCTTTAAACTTCATTACTGGCTCAGAGTCACTGGACGGAGGCCCAGTCTCTAATTCTCAGGTTCAAGATCAGTCGGCCAAGGCCAGGGTTATTTCCACCACCTCTTCCACTTTCAGGGAATAGGAAGTACTTTCACGTGAAGAGCAAAAATGTCACATCAAATCCATTTCTGACGAAGCCTTTTTGAACAAATTCTATAAAGCAAGAGGCCATGAAGCCGATTTTAAGTTTCCAGAATGGAAAGGAGCCAGGGAAATGAAAACAAACATGGTGCAGTCCTTGGGAGATTTCTTAGAACAAGAGAAAGGAGTCAACCAAAATTCCATTTCTCACTTCCTGGTTGGAGAGGAGTATGTGCTGCTTGGGTCATTTGCTATTATGGAATCAGAACCGAAGGCACAAGGTACATACACACACACACACACACACACACACACACACACGTTTGATTAGTTCTTCCCAGGTATTATGTGTGCGGTTTGTCCTGGCACCAGAAAAAAAAAAAAAAAAAGACAAAAGGGAGTCTTGAGATTAGTTTCTTCTCTGGGAGCTTTCTCTATAAAACACACTTTTTATTGAAATAAAAATATAAAAATGTAAATAAAGACTATCTTAATTTGCAAATAGATTTTTATTTTAAATGCTCCTTGGTGTGCACATCTAAAGAAACAAACACTTAGATGTAGACCAATGACAACTAAATCTTAAATTTCACTTCCCCTTTCAAAACGGCTTTTGAAAATCTCTTATCTAAGTTGTTCTTAGGAACTGTAACCACATACCAGCAATTTGCAGCTTTCAAATCAAAATTAGCAGCAGTCTCTGGGAGTCACTGATAAAGAGCTCATTCACTGATAGCCGCCTCTCATTTCCAGTGAGCCTCCAACCATCCTTTCCCCAACTCCTTATGTTTCAGTGTTCCTAACCAGGTCATAAACTGAGAAAAATTTTAAAAAATTTAAAAGCTCCTCTTCTTTCTAGAAATAAGGAATTGTTTTCCTGGCCAAGTCCATGTTTGCCGCAAAACCATTAATTCTTTCCCTCTCTAACCGCCATTCTTCCTTGGCCCTCCTCCCGTCCTCGCTAACAGCAAGTTCTTTGACATACACTGAAAGCTTTCATTACTACAAGCCCTATAAGTCTTCCTACTCCCACAGCCTCCATCTTTAAAAGGCCTTCTGTGAATATACACCATTCACAAGATACGTCATCAAATTGTCATCTACATCCCTGGTTATATTTATGCCTCTGCCAATATCTGCCTGCCACTCCATGTTCCCAGTGCTTTTCTCGGAAACAGTCCACTTAGCCCACCCACGGGGCTGAGACAGCCTCATCCCCTGAGTAGAGAGCTTCCTTGAGTTCCCTGATTGGAGAATACCAGACAAGAAATAGCATTTCTTTCCGCTGTTCCTTAACCTTACGGCCCTTGGCAATATCTTGGAATGCTGAAAACATTCAAAAAATGGTTCTTTGTAACTGTCTTCTTTATGGTGAATCTAAACTATTAATGCTCAAAAAGAAGGCTAGTGAGGTCTCAGGGAGTCCAGATGTTCCTGGAAATAACTGGAGTTTAACTAAATGGAGCTTATCTGAAATCTATACCCAGTTATGCAAGAGAAAAAGTACTATTCTGGATAGAAGCTGAATATAGGAAGGGATTCATCCCTCTGAAGATCACTTTCTTTTTTTTTTTTTTTTTTTTTTTTTTTGAGACAGACTCTCGCCCTATTGCCCAGGCTGGAGTGCAATGGCACGATCTCGTCTCACTGCAACCTCCACTTCCCGGGTTCAAACGATTCTCCTGCCTCAGCCTCCCGAGTAGCTGGGATTACAGGTGCCCACCACCATGGCCAGTTAATTTTTTTGTATTTTTAGTAGAGATGGGGGTTTCACCATGCTGGCCAGGCTGGTCTCGAACTCCTGACCTCAGGTGATCCACTCGCCTTGGCCTCCCAAAGTGCTGGGATTACAGGTGTGAGCCACTGGCCCCGGCCTGAAGATCACTTTCTATGAGACAAAGTCCAGGTGGACTAAGTTCAAGTTACCACTTTCACCTCCTTTGCAAGGAAAATAAAGGGCCAGGCTCTGCTGCCCAAGGACTAGGAAGTACATTTGTGACATTAATGGGCATTGCACTTCAGAGAAATACTAAAAGAAGAAGGCAAGTAGAGATAAAGTGATGCAGACAAGGATTTAAGCAGAATTTTCAGATAAGAGCTTCCTATTTGACTTTTAACAGAAATTAAAAGTTTATCTAGCTCTCCTGCCATGCAAGGGCTCCATCAGTGCAACATAAATTCACTGAGAAAAAGAGCACAGACCTGAAGGCTATCTCCAACCAGACTCCACCAGCTCCATGCTTAGTAAGAAGAGAAACGGGGAGACACTCCTTAAGTGTGAAAGTTGGTGATCTGTGTAAATAGTGTTTTGGGAAGACTCAGAATGATAGATGGCTCTGGACTAGCTCAGTTCAGCAATTCCAACTCCAATCCCCTAGGGTTGTTTCAACATCTGAGCCTGCTCTCATTCTCTCCACCCAACACCACTCTCCCAGCCTTCCAAGGCTCTTGAGAGGAAGCTATGTCTCTGTTCAGGTGGTGTGTGTTTAAATTGTTACCTTTCCCTGGGAACCCAAAATGGGGCAAAAAACAGCACCCGCCTCCCAAAGTTCATTTTTCCCTGAAAAATTCTTGCCAAGCCCTGTTGTAATAACCCTCTTAGCACTGGGGTCTCTCCCACCTGCTTCACACCATCTGCAGTCCCTTTAAGTGAAGAAGTGGAGCCTTCCCATACATTTGAGCTTCTCAAAAATCTGTCATCTAATGAGACTCAAGGTTCATCTCTTCTTATTTATTGGGCACAGGATCCCAAAAATCTCTAACAAGAGAGATAAACTCAATGAGATTGAACTGGACAGGAAAACCAGCTATAACTACAGACAGACACACACCCACACGCACACCACGCGCATACCCCTCCTTAAACTTTTAAGTCAGAAAGGTCTGATTTCTTGGAACCACATCTAGTACAGAATTATGGGAATGTTGGAAACTAACAGTTTTCCGAAGCTATAATGAAGACTTCAAAAAGGTTGGAGAGATTAGAATAGAGCTGACAAACTCAGGTTATACTTCTCAACCTTTGTTTAGGAATCTACTGTGGCATGCTAGGTACCATTGAAATGGATAATGTCTCCCAAGAAATCTCTTTCCCCAAGAATCCCTAAAGGTGTCCGACTTCAACTTGAAAACCGCTAATAGCCGAGCGCGGTGGCTCACGCCCGTAATCCCAACACTTTGGGAGGCCGAGGCAGGTGGATCACCTGAGGTCAGGAGTTTGAGACCAGCCTGGTCAACATGATGAAACCCCATCTCTACTAAAAATACAAAAATTAGCTGGGCGTGGTGGCAGGCGCCTGTAATCCCAGCTACTCGGGAGGCTGAGGCAGGAGAATCCATTGAACCCGGGGGTCGGAGGTTGCAGTGAACTGAGATCCTGCCATTGTACTCTTGCCTGGGTGACAAGAGTGAAACTCTGTCTCAAAAAAAAAAAAAAAAGAAAGAAAGAAAAAGAAAACCACCAATATAAAGCAGTTTAAACACTATTCATCGTTTGATTATGCAAAGCCTGTGTTGCAGTCATTTCACTGATGTCTTACCTTCCCCTACCTACCTTGTGGGTGATTTGAAGACAAAGACTTTTCTGTAACCAGCCATGTTACTCACTACCTGGCCAAGTATTTGGCCCTACAAATGTACCTAACCTGTTTCATACCCTCTGGCATTTTCCACGATGCAAGGCAGCTTTCCAATTAATATTGATATCATACTTTACACTCTACAAAATGTTTTTATGATCATTTTCCCATTAGGTCTTTAAAACCTCATTGTGAGAGAGACATGCATGATCACTGCTTTGCAGATGGAGAAGCAGAGGTTTACTCGGCTAAACGACAGAGCAGGGAGTTGAACTCACGGTCCAACTGTCCCTATTTGGTGTGCATCGCACCTTACTGTCTCCCACAAAAACCTGTTCCAAGCTCAAACTCCTCGTAGGCTAGGCAGCCTCTGGAGGAAAGCAACGGAATGCATTTGTGTCCTTGGAAAATGTAAATAAAATCCTTGGCATCCAAAATTAAGGCACACCATGTGATGTGAACACAGAGTAACATTTATAAGTGTTCCCGCACTAGAGACCTTGACTCTTATCCTGCCCAGCAAGGTGACGAAGCGGGGAGTCCCTTCTCTCCTCCGGGCCTCAGTTTCCCCTCTGTGGACTTCCAGGATCTAAATTCGATGGGACAGAGCTCTTCCACTCCCTCGCAACCTAAGGCAGTTTCACCCCAGCCTCTGCGATGAACCCAAAGCAGGTGGCATGACCGAGGCCCAGCGAGAGTTCGGAGGGGCGCGGCCCCCTAGTCCGCCCAGCCTCCCCTGAGCCGTCGCCAAGCCTTGAGCCGCTTGCCAGGGAGGGGCCGGCCTCGCCTGAGGCGGGGCGCCGGGGCCAGCATCCCGAAAAGCGCGGGGAGGAGGCCGTCAACCTGGACGAAGCGCGACAGGCCCTGCGAGATTCCGGGCGGGTTCCCACGGCCGCGAGGGTCGGCGCGGCGCCCATGCGGACAACGCTTGCACGGCCCTGACGCCAGGGCGGGGCGAGCTACATCAGTAGCTCCTCCCTCCCCTGCCCTGCCCGCCCCTCCGGAGAGGAAACTGCGCGTGCGCCTAATTGACGCCGCTGAAGGACACTGGGGCTTAGCGCAGGCTTTACACGCAGGCCGTAGAGTCAAGAGGCCCGTGCGATGATCCTGCTGTCCCCAGCAGCCTGGGTGAGACCCAGGAATCTCTATTCCCAAGTCTCCCTAGGTAATTCTGAGACAAGCGGTTCTCCTTAGCTGGACCCACCCTTTTGTTGCAGAGAAATGACTGGCCCACGTTCTTACAGAAAAAGGCGACAGAGGCTGGTGGAGAACCCAGATCTCCTGACTTGCCCTCAAGCACGTGCCCTACTGTGCTCTTTCCCCTCCTCATTTCCAGGGTATGGTTTAATCAGTCCCAGGCAGGCTGGCAGGCAGTTCATTCCCGTTGGTTGGGCTAATTGAAGACTGAAAGTCCCTTTCCCAGAAAACCAAAGAACCCCATCCAACAGCCCCACATCAAAGCCCCATTCTCAGCTCCGACCCTTGGCCAGTATTGCCTCAATCTGCGTAGGATGTTGGGCACCCTGGAGAAAGCTATCCCCACCCCCCCAAGCAAACAATGGTCTATTTGGGTATACACACACCCCGCATTCACAGTCTTCTCAGTATGTGAGCAGGAAGGACTGTCCGCACACAGAATCACAAACAACCCACCAAGAATGTAAAATGCTCCCATATCTACATGTGTGCGTGTGTGGAGTTTAGACGGGTCTGACCCACCCCTGTGTGCCGGATTCTAGCTTGAGTTTAGGCACGTTCAGTAACAGGCAGTGGCCTCAGTCCAGGCCAGCTGGATCATGTATGCAGACAGCCATTCTCAATGGCCCCGGATGGGAAAACGGACACTCCCTTGCATCTCCACATGAGCGGCAGCTGGGGACGCATCGGGGTGAGCAGAGTTGAGATCCCCACACGCTCACAACCCCTGCTGTCTGCAAGCTCGCTCCCCAGGACACAGCCTTCAAGACAAAGTTTGCCCGTGTGGAGGGGAGTGGGCTTGGGGCTGCAGATGCTGGGGCTCTACTCGCTCTCAGAACCCCCCTCTCCCCTGGCAAAGCAGCCAGGCTGCTGAGAGAGCAGCCCTTCTGTTCCCTGGGAGGGTCCTTGGGGCCATTCTGGGGGATGAAGTGGGTGTCCACAAGGCCATTCCAACGCTCTGTGGAGAACCATGTCATCTTCCTCTGTTCCTCCCAAACTGCTGCCCCTCTTTATCTGTCCTGTCCCAGCCTGGCTTGTCTCAAAACCTCAAGGCCGCAACTCTTTCCGAGAAAGCCAGGAATACAGCTGCCAGTTCCATTCCCCAAGTGGGGAGTTCCAACTCTCCCTCCTGGCTCCAGATGTAAAGGAACAGCTGTGGGGTGGCAGGAAGCCCAGTTGGCAGCTAAGCAGGATCTGGGAAGATGGAGAACGAAGGCGGGAGAGACAGGCAAACGGCAGGATTGTTAGGATGCTAAAGACCTAGGAAAGAAGCCGTTTCATCCCCTGGCCCAGCAACTGGCTGTTAGGCCTTGCCAAATCCCTTCCACACTGCCCTCCAGGCCTGCCCATCCCATCCTGGCAGCCTGGGCCGCTGGCAAGACCTTCCATAAACTCCATTTTCTGGTTCCCACTTAATCTGAGAAGGGAAACTTGGCTTTCTTTGTCTGACCCCACCCCTGTCCTTAAAACACATACCTCCCAAGCATGAGATTTGGGTAACTGAAGAATGGTGGGGAAGAGAGGAAGGAAGGTGGGAGAGGACTCTGGCACTCTCGTCTGGCATCCTCCAGCCCCTCCCTCCTCTGGGCAGTAACCCAGGGTGCCGGGTGCCAGGCTGGGTGCCTGCAGACGGGTGCTGTGAGCACCACTCACTCTCCTGCTATGCCAGGGTGATAATGCATGACCGGGCACCCAACACTGGACTCAATAAGTCATTATTTCCTGAGTGACCATGCCCTGCTCTGGTCTAACAAGCCTGCCCACTGCCACACCCTGTCCCATGCCTTCCCCCACCTGAAAGGACACAGGACATCACAACTGCTTCCGTTTTAGGAAAAATAGTTTAATGGTAGGTTTGTAACCTCTTTTCTAGATGAGGTCCCCTTCTCGGTGGAACCCCCACACCAGTGCTCTTCCCATGCCTGCTGGGAGGTAGCAGCCCCTCTCTGGAGGGCACCCACCCATTCCCAATGCCCCTGCCCTCCTGGGAGGCCAGTGCCGTGTCTAGGCCTTGGTGGGGCCATCGCTGTAAGTTTTTATAAAAAGTGGGCAGAATTCTCTACTGGCCTCTTTCCTGGATGTGTGGGACCAGCCCACAGCACCTTCCTACCCCTTAATTAAATAGCCCATTAAATAATCTCTTGGTGCTGGCAGAGAGGGGGTGCCACAGCAACGAGCCCCCTGCCCTGGCCGGGCTCCCACGGCTCCAGCGCCCCCACCCTGACTGGATCTCGGCTCCATAAGAGCAGCCAGGGGCATGGCCTCATCTCAGACCTGGCCAGGCCCAGAACTCCCTCCCCAAGAGGGGGTGAGTCCAAGTGGGTCATACTGGCACCAGCCACCCCCACAGCCACGCATGGGGGTCACCCAGACAGCAGAGTAGGCAACCGACAGGCTACAGCTCTTGCCCAGGTCAGAAGGACGTGAGGTTCTTGATAGCTCCCATCTCCAGCATCCGCTTAATGGCCAGGGCCTCTTGGGAGACATTATGGCCTGACCCCTGTGGAGACAGCCAAGGAAATAAACTGAGGGACTCCCAGGGACCTCTCTGTCCCCAGGAAAGTCTCCCTGCCCCTCCCAATGGCCCCACACTTCTTGGGAGCTCCCTTCCCCAGGCTGGCTCTTGGAAGGAAGACAAAGCCCATGTGGCTGAACATGGAGGATGCTGGCCAGGGAGTCCAGGTGCCTCGGTTCCAGTTCTGACTGCGGGAGCCACCTCTGGGTCTCAGCACTGCTCCCACTCACCCAGTGCCCCTCTGACTGTCTGCCCGTCCACGCCCTGGCCCACCATGCTCACAAGCCAGGCACTTACCGCCATGGACTTGAGCGTGATCTGCTCATAGTAGTGAATGGTCTGCTTCTTGTTGTAGGCGTCTGGGTAGCCAAAGCCGGCAATGTGCACCAAGTCACAGAGGTGGAGGGCCAGCGTGATGGCCAACAGGCCCGTGGTGGGCTTCTGAGGAACAGGGGCAGGAGGGTGTTAGTGGGAGCCCTGCTCCTCCCACCATCATCTCTGCCAGCGCTCTGCAGTGGAACTTCCTGCAGTCACGGAAACGTTCTCCATCTGCGCTGTCCAACAAGACAAGCCACGAGCTAACGAGCACGCAAATGGGGCCAGTGCAGCTGAGGAACTGAATTTATTTTATTAAATTTTAATTAATTAAATTGTAAATTTAAATCGCCACATGTGCTGGGTGCAGTAGTGCATATGCCCATAGTTCCAGCAACTCAGGAGGCCGAGGTCAGAGGACTGCTTGAGCCCAGGACTCCTGGGCTGTCGTGCGCTAAGAATGCACCTGTGAAGAGCTGCTGCACTCCAGCCTGGGCAACATAGTGAGACCCCCCCATCTCTAAAAATAAACAAATATAAATAAGTAAATAGCCACATGTGCCTAGCGGCTACCATTCTGGATGGTACAGCTCCACACATCTGGGGGAGGCCTGGGGCCTGTAGAGATAAGACTAACAATCAGAATGACAGCCATCATCATATCAGTTACTTTTTAAACACTATGTGCCAGACACTATGTTTAGTATTTTACCTACCTACTATAAAACATTATCTCATCTAGTCTCACAAAAACACTTGGAGGTAGCTATTATCATCAGCCCCATTTTACAGATGAGAAAACCAAGGCTTACAAAAGCGTTAAGCAACTCATTCAAAGGAAAGGAAGTGTTCTGCCCTCCTCCTTGGAGAACCTGACCTCATTCAGAAGACCTGGGTGCTCTGACATGCACTAACTGTGCGACCCTTTATGGGGGTGGCGCTCTATTTTTTTAAAGAGATGGGGTTTCACCACGTTGCCCAGGCTGATCTCGAACTCCTGGGCTCAAGCGATCCACCCACCTCTGCCTCCCAAAGCGCTGGGATTACAGGCGTGAGCCATGGTGGCTGCCCTCTCCTTTAAAGCAGGACAGCAGTACCTTTCCCATTCACCTTACTGGCTGCTCTGAGAACCTCAGTTGCTCATGCCTAATTCATCCACAGTGACGGGCAGCCTGATATTCTCACTTCTCCAGCCCCGCCTTCCTCCGCTTCAGCAACCTGCTTTGCACACAATTTCAGCTGCCCATACCCATTTGGGAGCCTTTCCTGGACCTCATCAGGCCTGTCGACATGCCAGCTTTCTCCCTCTCTGAGCTCTCCTGTCTTCTCATCTTCCACTCCCTGGCTGGACCTTCTTTTCCACCCTTGTTGCTTTCACCACCAGTGTGTTATCTCATCCAGCTGGGCTGAGCCACACTTCCATGGCCTTCTAGCCAGCTCTGCCTGGACACAGTCTCCTTACACTCACCAAATTCCTCCTCTTCCTTGCACTCTCTCTCTATTAGTTAAATATGTTACCACCCCCCGCCCCCTACCGGCTGTCCAAGCTAGAAACCCAGAATTGGTCAGAAATCTCTCAATTCCACCTGTAAAATATATAAGGCAGAATCGTAAGAGAACCCCAGTGACGCTAACCCTCATGTAATCTCCTCCCTTGCGCGTGTGGGGAGCCCGTGAATATGATGCGATTACGTGACGTTACTTTATATGGCACAGTTGAACACAAAAGGAGAGGCTGTCCTGCTGAGCTTGACCTAATTACCTGAACCTTTAAATCCGGGTGTCAAGATCAGAAACGGAGGTCAGAGATTTGAAGCACAGAAAGGATCTATTGTGCCGTCGCTGGCTTGAAGATGGAGGCTGTACGGTCAAGAAATGTGGGCCACCTCCAAGAGCTGAGCGTGGCCCCCAGCCTCCAGCTGACAGCCAGCAAGGAAATGGGGACCTCAGTTCTACAATCGCAGGAACCGAATTATTTCAACCACAAGAATGAGCCTGGAAGCAAAATTTTCCCCCAAGCTTCCAGATGAGAACTGTCTGGTTGACACACCGAGTCCAGCCTTGTGACACCCTAAACAGAGAACCAGCCACACCCTGCTGTTCTGATCTACAGGACCATGAGCCAGTACATGGGTATTGTTTTAGCCGGCTAAACTTGTGGTATTAGTTAGGGAGCAACAGAAAGCTAATACAGGCCAGGCGCAGTGGCTCACACCTGTAATCCCAGCACTTTGGGAGGCCGAGGCGGGTAGATCACCTAAGGTCAGGAGTTCGAGACCAGCACTCCTGTGTTTTGTATTTTCGTAAAAATACAAAAATTAGCCAGGTGTGGTGGTACATGCCTGTAATCCCAGCTACTTGGGAGGCTGAGGCAGGAGAATCACTTGAACCTGGGAGGCAGAGGTTGCAGTGAGCCAAGATCACCCCACTGCACTCCAGCCTGGGTGACAGAGCAAGACTCCATCTCAAAAAAAAAAACAACCAACACAATGTTGAGTCCATCTCCTCCTTTTCCCTTCCCACTGCCAGGAGCTGGGTTCAGGTCCTCGCCCTCTCTCATCTCCCTCTCCAGCCTCCTCTCCATCTGTAATCCTATGAATGGCATGAAACTCCTTGTTGCCCTTCAACGCCACTTGTACTGGAAACAGTTCAGTGCTGGAGGAGCCGCCTGCTCTGGCCAAATGGAATGCCTTTCCCCAGCTCTCTGCCTGATCCTTCCAGGCCCGGCTCCAGCACCACCTCCTCTGGGGAGCCTCCCAGACATCTCTCAGCAGATGTCTGCCCCTCCTCTGAGATTCCACGGCATTGGGAACAACTCTCCATTGTGGAATTTTATCACCCCACAGTGCAACCTGCATTCTTACTCTGCTAGACTGAGGTCCCTTAGAGCAAGGAGCACAACTTCCTCGCCAAGCAAGAAGACTCGGGGCCTGGCATTGAGCAGTCACAAAAGCAGCCATTCAACACAGAACATGGAATAACAGGAAATGTTCAGTAAACAATAAAATCATTTATTCAAAATCTGGCAAATATTTAAAGGGCAGGCCCTGTGTACCGGTCTCCAGAATAGGTATTTTACATCATTATTATTTTTCAAACTCCTACAACAGCCTTAAAAGGTCATTATGGATATTATCCCACCACACAGGCAAGAAAAACAAGGATCTGAGCAGTTGACCTGCCAAGCCCCACACAGTACACAGCACAGCCAAGCGCCATACCTGTGTCTGCTAGTGCCTGTCTCTCACCATCCCACACGGCCTCCCCGAGGGGCTCCAAGATATGGGTGGAAGTACTTGGGAAGCTACAAAGTGGGTTAAAGCCCACCAGCTGAAGACCACCAGGGCACTGCACTCAAAACCATAACTTGCTATGGCTCAAGGACATCAGGTTAAAAAGAAGAAACACATAACACATAACTTGTGGTCAGACACAGTGCCTTACACCTGTAATCCCGGCATTTTGGGAGGCTGAGACACGAGGATCACTTGAGGCCAGGAGTTCAGGACCAGCCTGGGCAACACAGTGAGACCCCCATCTCTACAAAAAAATTTAAAAATTAGCCAGGCGTGATGGTGCATACCTGTAGTCTCACAGCTACTCAGGAGGCTGAGGCAGAAGGATCACCTGAGCCTGGAAGTTTGAGGTTACAGTGGGCTATGATTGCACCACTGCACCCAATCCTGGGTGGCAGAGTGAGACGCTATCTTTAAAACAAAACAAAAACCCATAACTTGCAAAACTACATTGACTCCCTGAATTGACACACCATACCAAATCATGACATGCAAGACAAACTGTTTAGCTCCAACTCTTATAACTCGTTCAGACTAGTGTTTCAAGATAAGATCACAGATGAAGTATCTAACAGTAACTCTGCATGGCTCAAGTTGTTCCACAGATCAGACCACTGACTGTTCCAGCAGCTCCCCAGTTGACAAATTCTGACCAGCGCCTGCCAAAACCATCCTCTCACACCAGCCCCTAAACCTGATCCAGGCCATCCCCATCCCTCCCCACTTAGTAAATGCCCCTTGGTTCTCTAAAGTGTGCACTCCCCTTTGCAGCAGCAACTTTAATGACAGGTGTGTTCCTGGAGGGAAAATGCAAACCGCCGCCTCTGTTATGGGATCCTTCCAGGGCTTCCTAAGCCCATAGGATCATCCCTCCTACTTCCCGCCCAGGATCCTAGCCCTCAGGCCTGACTTCCCATCATCACCTGCTTAATCTTCCGTGGCTGTTGCATTGGCAGGCTCAGCAGTTTGTCAGCTGCAATCTCCATGAAGAAGGGGTTGAGAATCCGAATCTGTTTAGGATTGACATCCCAGATGAGGGGAGGCTGTTTCCAGAAACCCTTTCGCACCTAGGAGGATGGGGTCAGAAGAGAGAGACAGAAGCGGGTGAAGCCCTGTTTCTCAAATCCAACCCAGTGGTCCTCAGCGAGGCGAGGGGGTCCAAGCGATGGCAGAGGCCTTCAGGAGCACAAGGTGAGAGGAAAGGGAGGTGAAGTCTGTGCCACAGATGGGAGACCAGGAGAGGACCAGGGAAAGAGAGGAGGAAAGGCACCCCCTCGGGAGGCCAGGTGACCAGGTGTATAGAGTGGAGGGTCTAAACCATGGACCACTTCCAAGAACATCCACACAGGTAGAAGGGACTAAAGTTTTAGGCTGTCTAAACACTTGACAAAAATGCCAGATGGGACAGTTCAGCCTGTGACCGGATGGCAAAGTGATGTAGTGAACTCTTTCTGGGGACCATCTGTTTGGACACAGGCCTCATTGCTCTAACCTGCCCTCAGCCTGGAGATGGCTGCTGGAGGGTTGCTCAGCTCCCGAGTTCCTCACAGGCAAACACCTACTCGGAAAGCTTTCCTGTCACAGACACGCCTGGAGCATGGGTGCCTGTGGCTGCTGCCACCTGACGCCTGCAGGCTTTTATACCCAGTTGCTGGGGCAGCTTATCAGAGCACCACCCTTGGAGGGCAGCCTAAGGCGCTGACTTCCGGGAGCCCGGTTCATGCTGTCCCCTCACAGCCTCTTTAGGACTGCCAGGCGGACATCAAGGAGCGTGAGGTCCTGACTCGGGCAGCGTCCCCACCGCCAGGCCTCAGCCCCCAGTCTGTCCCCCAACTTACCCGCTTCTTATCACTCAGGATGGTCTCAATCCAGTGGAAGTCCATTGCCTTGAAAGCTACCAGGACGAGGAGTGTGTCTGGGTTGTTTTCTACTTTGGGGTCGAAGTGGGCAGATTCAGGGTAGAAGAGACGCATGGTGGTCTTGGAGCCCACGTCACCCTCATAGCCAGCCACTGGGGCATTGTTCAATCTGGGGGTTGGGAGGAGGATTCCCATCACTAGAGGCCTCCTGGGCCTGTCTACAGTCCCTGGCTCGGACATCCAGTTCCCAAACAACAGTAGGAAGAGACAGTCACACACACCTGATGACCACATCGTACTTGTTGATGGCATCTCCCAGTGAGCTGTTCCGCAGCCGGTGCCCGTTCCCCACGACCACACAGCGGCGGCACCTGAGGCTGCCATAGAAAGAGGAGTGGTCTATGTCACCCCACACTCTAACCCAGGCTCGCTGCCCTGGATCTGCCTGGGCCCATCTCAGGACCACTTCCTAGGCCCCCTCAGCCCCTGGTCCCCATGAAGCAGGCATCACCCCGTGGTCCTGCTTAGGGTCATGCTGACTTTACAGCCCTGGGCTTTGTAAGAGGAGGAGACTGCGCAGAGCACAGAAGAGGGCAGAGGAGTGGAGGGAAGGCATGGGGGGGTGTATCAATGAGAAACGCCTGCCCCACTGTTGCAATACCCTCGAGCAGCCTCTGCCCACTCTGCACCCAGATGCCCAGGCTAGGCTACCATGAGAATTGGCTGGGATGGTACCAGTCCATGACTGTTTCACAGAGCGGGGGGGTGGGGAGTGGGGGGAGCGGGCAGGGGGCAGGAAATAGGAGAAGGTGCCCAGACTGGAGTCGGAGTGCCGCCTTACCTCTGGATGTTCTTGGGGATGGAGGAGCTGGTGATGGCTAGCACCCGGAGGAGCAGATCCTCTACAAAAAGTACCAGGCGGAGGGACTGATGTGACAGATAGCATTCTGAAGGCTGCCTGCCCTCCCTCCACTGCTCCTCAGAGCGCTGGCTGCCTTCTTCTTCCCCTGACCCTGGTACCCGAGTCAGGCTCAGAACTTGGGCACTGGGGCCGTGGACGGCAGAGAATAGGAAGCAACGTGGTCAGGGTGAGCCCATGGTTCCCACGAGCCGGGTAGGAACTTACCACTCCCCTTGGTCCCATAGGGCAGCTCGTAAGCAGATGGCGTCTTGACCCAGAAATAATCCTCAAGCCGCAGGAAGATGGGCTGATCCCGGGAGTAGCTGCACAGAGGTGAAAGCCGGGTGGGGATGAGAACAGAATTAATCTTGATGCCAGAAGTAGGGTTAGGCCCATGACTAATATTATAAGGCCTTCTCTTCCCTCCCTGGCTTCACCTAACCCATGTCCACCAACACAGCTGCTCTTTCCATCTACTCCCCACACTGTGAAACCCTCAATCCCAGCTCGCTCCATGCCCTGCTCTACCCTCCTCATCCTTAAGTACTTACTTGCCAAAGAGCTTAGAGGCCTTGCTCTCTGCCTCACCCTGGAGGCACGGCTCCTTCTTCTCTGGGATGGGAAAATAAAAACTGGAGAGAAAAAAGGACAGGAGGCAGAAGCCCCAGTCAGACCCAGGGACCCATGTTCCAGGCAGCCTAAGCCTTCTCCCACGGCATGAAGGTCCCAAGGTGCCGGGGAGGAATCATCTCAAGTTAAGTTCCACTTGGAACCCAAGTCCTTGAGGATCCAGGTCTTCCTGCCCCTGCACTCCCTGGGTGAGGGCCCAGTGAGACATCCCAGGCCCTACCCCCACCCACCCTCATGGAAACACTCCGTACCAGCAGCTGAAGGGATGAGGTCATGTGCCGGCTCTTGGAACCTTCCTGCCCTACTAGGTCCCCCGCTCCATGATGCTCCATCCCTAAGCCCTGTCCCTGACAAGAGCCACTGGAAGGACATGGAAGGTGAACTCACAGCTCGATGTACCTGTCTTCCCGGGAGATGGAATACCACACCATGACGACCAGGACCAGAGCCAACATGGCCAGGAGCTTCCAGCCTGCAGGACACATGCAGAGAGGAGCTAGAGGCAGCAACAGGCAGGTACAACCCCCGTCCACCTTCCCACCTGCCCCCTTCTGAGTCCCTCCGACCCCTAACTCAACAGAAGCAGTCTCTGGCCCTCTCCTGGCCCTGGCTGAGGGCTTGACCCTGATTGTACCCACTGTCCTTCAAGATGAAGAGAAGGGCCCCTGGCTCCCTGTCTGTCCCTCCACAGCCCCCAGAGGTCCCAGGATCCTGCTGAAGACGGCTTCTGAGGCCTGTCCTCCAGGGTGGGGGAGCCCTCGGATGACACTCACGGGACTTGCTGACCATGTTTCTCAGCAGGCAGCAGGATTCCTGGGGAGAGCTGTCATCCCGGCTGCCTCGGGCCACCTAGGAAATAAGAGCCACAGGTGTCCGGTCAGCTTCACAAACTCTCCTGCCTAGACACTGGAGCAGGACACACCCACTGTCTGCCCCTCCCTTCCACCAGAAAGCAGGAAGCTGCTCCCTGGGGCAATCATCCTGAGGGTGAGTTTTCTCATCCAGGATCCTCCTAACTCCTCCAAGGGCGGCATTAAGGATCCAGGTGAGCCCTGCCACGGAAGGGAAAACCGAGGGTCCAGCCAGGGACTCGGGACTCGGTCCCAAGCCAGGCTGGCCTACTCCAGCCTCTCTGGTGTGGTTCTTCTCACCATCTCCTTCTGCATTTTGACCCAGGAAGGGCCAGCTCCAGGAGGCAGACAGCTACCCCCGCCCACTGTTGAGACAAAAAGTTAGCCAACTCACTGTGTGAGGGCTTGAGTCCTCTTTTACCCAACAGAGGGTCACCTATTCTCCACCATCCAAGGCGTCTCTTGGTCTGGTCACTGCCTGCCTCTCCATCATCAATCCAGCCAAACAGGTTTGCTCAGGTCAGGGGTGGGGAGTGAGGGTGGGGCTATGACATGGTCCTCATGAGGCCTCCTTGATCCCTTCTAGGCCCTGACCAAATGCAAACAGTGCTCACGCCTCCCCACCCAGCCATGGGCTAAGCTCAGGGAGGGAAGGTGTTTAAATGGGGAGCACAGGGAGCTGGGAGGGTCTGGCTGGCCAAAGAGAAGTCAAGAGATGCTTCCAGTAAGGGTGAAGGTAGTAAGGTGAGGACTGTGCATGGGAAGGGGTGAGCTGCTGTTCACCCCTGCACACAAGCAGAGGCTTCCTCACAAGCACCAGCTCAGCCAGGGCCACGCTGCAGTCACTGCAGAAGACATTTCTGTAGCTTCTACAGCCACACAGAGGCACCAGATGCCAAGTGCCAGTTTCTTCCATCCACGCCATGCTTCCTGATGATCTGGATCAGAAGAGTCCTTTGGACCACTTCCTAAAAATACATTTCACGGCCCTTCCCTGGAGACCAGACCACCTTGGTCAGCCTGAGTATGGCCTGGGACAGGCATTTTCACAAACAGCCCATGTGAGTCCGACGGTTGATCAGGAAAGGGAGGCAAGCACTAGTGTTTGTGCACCAGTGGAAACTTTCCATGTTTTCATAGGGGCTGGGGACAGCATCTGGATGAGGCCTGGTCCATTTTACAAACCATTAACCAATGATCCTGAGCCCTGTCCTATGGTGGAGTCAGTGTCCTGCTCCCCAGCGGGCTCATTCCCAGGCTCTGCTCTGAACCCACAAACACTGAAGGATCAGAGTCTTGAGTCAGAGGAGACAGCCAGGCAGGGACCAGGGTCAGACTGCCTCAGGAGAGTCAGAAGCACCATCCCCAAACCCCAGAGGGGATGAAGCCTAGTCCTGTCCAGTAAAGAAAAGTGATCAGTTTGTAATCAGCAGGAGTCCCCAGTTAAAGGTATTGTCCTAGTAACTCCCCCGACAGCTCTTCTGAAAGGGGCGTGCCTTACCTACCCCTCACCCCACAGCAATCTCTGAGTCGTTCCCTACACATGGCCCTCCTCGCCTTCATAGCTTTTCCCATCTGTCATCAGCTTAGTTACTTGTTTTCTTTCTGTCTGTCTCCCCAGTTGGGATATAAGCTCTGTGAGGGTTGGAATTGGGTCTGTCCTGTTCGCAGCTCTAGTCCCACATGTAGCATGCTGCTTGGCACACAGTAGAGTACATCAGAAAGTACTGAATGCATATCAGGTTGGTTACCGTGGACGATCACACCTCCCTCTCTGACCTGCAGTTTCCTTGCTGTCAAACTGAGAAGTCAGCCTATTCCCACTGCTCAAAAAAGGCCAGATCAGTCCCATGGGCATCCCAGAGCCCAGACAAGTGGATTCTTTGGCCCCTTCCAGACCTATAAAATCAGAATCTGCATTTAAACACGATACCCTGGCGATTCATCTATCTGTCCAAGTTTGAGAAGCACTGGTCAAGCCTGATATTCTTGATTATGGCTGAAGAAGAGACTCACCTGAAGTACTTAAACAAAAAAAATTTTTTAAATGAGTATTTGGGTCCCAACACCTAGAAATTCTGGGTTAATTCATCTAGCCCAGCACTGGAATTCGCTGAAGCCCGCTGGGTGATTCTAAAGTGCAGCCAAGGTTGAGAACCACTGGTCTGGATGATCTGTGGGTGACCTGAAAGCACACTTCTCAAACCTCGATGTGCACGCCGTGACTCAGAGGGTGCCAGATGGGGTGCAGGGCAGGCGGGGATTTGCATTCTAACCAGCTCCCTAATGGGGCCTGCTGCATGGCTAGAACTACTCTTTTGAGTTGCAGTGCTCCGAACCAGGATCCCTCCAGCTCTAACATTTCAGGACCTTACGAACTGCAGCCTCTCTCACCCTCCCTGCTCCCTCTCTCCATCTTCCTTGCATGACCAGGGTGCGTTTCATCTTCCTTTGTATTCATAGGTCACAGCATTGGCTGCACAATGCAATGACCTGAGGAGCTTAAACATATAAAGTCTAGGCCCCACTCTCCGAGATGTTTATTTAATTGGTTAGGGGTGGGGCCCAGGCATGAATAGGGAATAGTAAAACAAATCAGCGCCGTACCTCCTCTGTGATTCTAAAATGCAGCCTGGGCGGGAAACACTACAAAGAGCTCATTTCACCTTTTGTGAAAGACAGATACACAGGTATCCTCCAGGGCTGCCTTCCAGGGAAAAACCTTTGGCGTCAGAGGTGAGCAGCGTCAGAGGTGAGCAGCGCTAACCAGTCTTGAACAACAAGACAATTAGCCCTTCTTCGACCTCTTCCCCAGTAAAGTTCTACATTGTCTTGTCTTCATTCCAAAACAGCGTCAGTGTTGCGCTAAGCAAACTGGGCGAGTCTTGGGGCTTGCTGGGCTATACCCAATCAGGAATTTCACGAGCCACGCCCTCCCCTTGTGGGGCTGAGGGTGAGGATTGCTCAGTGGCCCCAGGCATTCCAGGGCTTCCGGGGCTGGCTGCTACCTCAAGACAACATGGCGCCTTTCCCCAGCAGCTCCCCCACATTGCTGGTCTAGCTCTGAGCATAAAGGGCAGGAGCAAAGCCACAGTAGAGTACCTGGGTGGGAAAGCAGGCATCGAATCCACTCATGTCCAAGGGGACCAGCCTCTCACCAAGAGGCCAGCTCACCCGACCTGCTGGGCAAAGGTGCCCCCGGGTAGGAAGACAATCTGCTCTTCTTGGTGCTCTGCCAGGAACCAAGATGTCCCTGGCCGAAGGGAGCTGGTCAGTTCTGCCACAGAACTTACCCAAGGGCAGAACTGGGGGACAAGGTGAAGAAATAAGGCCCAGTGGAGGCAGAAACCATGCCTCCTGCTGCCCCAGCATTCACAGCCTAACACACAGTGAGTACTCAGCAGGTACCCGCCCAACCAAGTGGGGCAGAACTAGATATGCCCCCAGGGGCACAGTATGATGCCCAGCCCCTCAGAGCCCCTGGACCCATAAAAGCGATATGGCTTAATGTTCCGGGGAAGGGGTCTGGGAAGACCAGAGGGGCAGAAGCTCGCGGTTTACTTGCTGGTTCTGTGATCACAAGCGACCACTTACTCTTACTGTCCTCAGTTCTTCTTCTTCTTCTTTTTTTTTTTTTTTTTTCAGACAGTCTTGCTCTATCGCCCAGGCTAAAGTGCAGTGGTGCCATCAGCTTACGGCAACCTCCACCTCCCAGGTTCAAATGATTCTCGTGCCTCAGCCTCCTGAGTAGCTGGGACTACAGGCATGTGTCACCATGCCCGGCTAATTTTTGTATTTTTAGTAGAGATGGGGTTTCTCCATGTTGCCCATGCTGGTGTCCAACTCCTGGCCTCAAGTGATCCACCTACCTTGGCATCCCAAAGTGCTGGGATTGCAGGCATGAGCCACCACGCTCGGCCATCACTGTCCTCAGTTCTGTAGGGAAAACCTGGAGCCCCTGTCTGCCTGCTGTCTACGTCTAGACTCTCCTACCTCCCCTCTTTCCCCCAAATCCTTCCACCTAGACACCAGATCCACCTCACCTTCCCAGAATAGTTCCCAATCAATGACTCCTCTTTTCCCTGTGTCTCCCACCTCTCCTTCTCTATTCTCTGACTTATAAACATGCTCAAGTCTCCTCTTCCTAAAATAAACAGCAAACCTCTCTCTGCTCTATCTCCTCCTCAAGCTACCCCTGCATCTCCCTCCTTCCCTCAGTGATCAAACTTCTTCCCCTCTACTACACCCTCACTTCCTACTCTGTCCCCCGACCCCTATGCCACTCCCTCCACTCTTGTTTTTATTCTGAAATTGCTCTTGCTGAGGCCAATGACCTTCTAATTGCCAAACTTAAGAAAGGTCTATTGTCAGTCTTCACTGCGCTGCTCAGAGGCCTTTGATGTTGTTGGCCATGCCTCCTCCTTGGCTTCTAGGTCAAGGTCAAGATTCCCTTCAGGTTTTCCTCCTGCCTCCGGGACAGTAGGCTCTGCTGCCGGGGCCCACCTTTTTTTTTTTCTTCTTCTTCTTTTTTTTTTTCTGAGAGGGAGTCTCCCTCTGTCACCCAGGCTGGAGTGAAGTGGCACGAACCCACTGGAACCTCTGCCTTGTAGGTTCAAGTGATTCTTGTGCCTCCCTAGTAGCTGGGATACAGGCACCCACCACCATGCCTGGCTAATTTTTGTATGTTTAGTAGAGACGGGGTTTCACCATGTTGGCCAAGCTGGTTTCAAACTCCTGACCTCAAGCGATCCGCCCACCTCAGCCTCCCAAAGTGCTGGGATTACAGGCGTGAGCCACCGAGGGTCCACCCTTTAAATGCTGGCATTCTCGGGGGCACTGTCCTTGAACCTCGCTTCTCCCCTGCCACACATTTTCAGGGGACAAGTTCACTCATTTTCAGAGGTTTAACTACTATTCATACACTGATGATTCGAGCTCTTTATTTTCAGCACTAATTTCTCTTCCACACTCCATCCTAGTATTTCTAATTTTCTAGCTGGATGATCTTAAATTCCTCAAATGGAAGAAGATGTTCAAAGCTGGACTCTCTCCTCACTCCCAACCCCCATATTATCAACCCAGTCTCCCAACACCTCCCTCTTTCATCCCCCCATGGTTACTAAATATTATCAGTTCTACCTCCATTTGCTCATATTCTAGCAAATGCTTGCAAAGCTCCTTACCACAGGCCTGGCATCATAGGTGAAACTGGGGATGTCGGATTTTACAAAACTCAGCCCCAGTGTGAAGGTCACATTGTCTAGACTCTGAGAAATACTTCACAGTGCAGCCCTCCAGCTCCTCTTCCGGAGCCACAGCCTGGTTCCAGATCCCACCCCAAGTTACAGGCTTCCTAACTGGTCTCTTCACCACAACTGTTTCCTCACTCATGCCCCTTCTTCGAAACTGCCAACATGGTATCCTTCTAAGAAATGATATGGATCAAATCACCCTCTTGCTTCACTCACTCCGCACTCCTTACATGAAGCCAAGGTCCCTTAGGTAACCAGGCCCCTTCAGTCTGCGGCCATGAGAACTGCAAACGCATCTCTTACCCTCCTCCCAAGCACACTAAGGGAGCCACCTTTTCCCTCCCACTGTAGCTGCCACATCCCTTTTCCACCTTTATTAAGGTGCCTGCTATGGTTTGAATGTGTTGCCCGAAGTCCAAGTGCTGCAACTTGATCCCCAGTGCAACAGTATAAGCAGGGCCTAATAAAAGGTGTTTAGATCATGGGGCTCTGCTCTCATGGATGGGTTAATGCCATTACTGTGGAACTGGGTTCCTTATAAAAGGCCAGTTAGGTCCCCTCTTGATCTGTCTTGCCATTCCACTCTCCACCATGGGATGATGCAGCAAGAAGGCCCTTGCCAGAGCAGCCCCTTGATCTTGGACTTCCCAGCCTCCAGAACCATGAGCCAAATAAAATTCTATTCATTATAATATACTCAATCTGTGGTATTCTGTTACAGCAGCACAAAATGGACTAAGACAGAAAATTGGTGCCAAGAAGTGGAGAGGGGAGAGGAAAGCAGGGGAGGGGAGGGAAAGGAAGAAAAGAGAGAGAGAGCAGAGAGGAAAGAAGGAAGGGAGGGAGGGAGGCAGGCAGGCAATAAAGCGGGATTAGAAGATCTGTAGGGAAAGTCTGAAACTTCTTAGACTAAGTGGTTGTGATCAGAATGGTGGTAGAAATATCGATCGTGAAGGCCATTCTGATGAGGTCTCAGATATATCTGAAGATTAAGGTACTGGAAACTGGCATAACAGTCATCCTTGTTACAAAGCAGCAAAGAATGTGGCTACATTGTGTCCAGGTCCTCAAACTGTATAGCAGGCAGAACTTAAGAGTGATAAACTAGGCTATTTGGTGGAAGAAATACCTAAGCAGCAAAGCATTTTGGTTGCTGTATGACTTATTTTAACTGTATACTGTAAAACTTGAGAAGAAATAAATAATTTAAAGATGAAACTTATAAATAAAAGCAGGGTTGGGCGCAGTAGCTCACGTCTGTAATCCTAGCACTTTGGGAGGCTGAGGCGGGCGGATCATTTGAGGTCAGGAGTTCGAGACCAGCCTGGCTGACATGATGAAACCCCATCTCTACTAAAAATACAAAAAAATTAGCTGGGTGTGGTGGCACACACCTGAAATCCCAGCTATTAGGGAGGCTAAGGCAGGAGAATGGTTTGAACCCAGGAGACAGAAGTTGCAGTAAACTGAGATCGTGCCACTGAACTCCAGCCTGGGCAACAGAGTGAGACTCCATCTCAAAAAAAAAAAAAAAAAAAAAGAAGGAAAGAAAGAAAGAAATTTATAATGAAAAGCGAAACAGAACTTAGAGACTGGAAGGATTCTGAGACCGGCCCTGTAGTAGAGAATGAAAGAACTTTCAGGAGAGGAAAGCAAGGGTGCAGGCATGTTACCGTTTGATAGTTTAATAAGAATATTAGTATGGACCACTTGATAAGGAGATTAGTATTGGCCAGAGCCACAGTTTGATAAGGAGATTAGTACAATAAGAATGAAGCCAGAGGCTATTCATCAAGAAAATAAGAATGATCCCAAAGGTACTGCAGAGATGACCTGTGATCACAGCTCCGGCAGTGCCAAAATCTGAGGGAAGGAACTATGTCAAAAGCCAGGTCTTGGGAGCCCTCAGGACCTGTGGCTCACTGTCCAGGGCCACCTCAAGTCTCTGCTCCCACATTTGGGCACAGTGCTCCTCTGCCTCCCCAGCCATGGCTTAAATGGGCCCAGGTGCAGCTTGACCTACCATTCTAGAAGGTGCAAGTGGTGAGTCTTGGTGGCATCCCACATGGTCCTAATGCCACCAGAGTACAGAATGCAGGGGCTATGGGCCTGGCTCCCTCCAACTAGATTTCAAAGGATATTGCGGACAGACTCGGGACCCAGGCAGAGACTGGTTGCAGGGTCAGAGCCACCACCAGGGAGCCCCTGTAGGGCAATGCCCAGCAGAACTGTGGAGTCTGAGCTGCTGAGAGTCCCCAGGAAGCCTAGTGGAGCTGTGGGAGTAAGGCCATCCTGACACCCCAGAACTGCAGAGCTACCAGTGTGCAACAGCAACCTGGGGGAGCTGCAAGCATGAGACTCCAACCGGTGAGAGCTGCTGCATGGAATGAGCCCAGCAAGGCCAGGGAAGCAGGGCTGCCGGAGGCCTTGGGGGCCCAAGTCCCTACCCGAGTGTGTCTGGAAGGCAGGACATGGAGTCAAAGAAGATTATTGTCAAGTTGGGATTTGGTATTGTTCCCCCTGCTGGGTTCTGGAGTTGTCTGGACCAGTTGCCCCTTTCTTCTTGCCTATCTCTCCCTTTTGGAATGGAATATCTGTCCTATGCCTGTCCCATCACTGTACTTTGGAAGCAGACAACTTGCTTGATTTCACAGCCCATGACTGGAGGGGAATTTGATTCAGGATGAACCATACCTTGAGTTTTACCCACAGCTGACTTAGATGAGACTGTGGACTTTGGACTTTTAATGTGGTGCTGAAACAAATAAGAATTTGGGATTATAGGTAAGAAGCAAATGTATTCTACATGTGACAAGGACATCCATTTTGGGGACTGGGGCAGAATGCTATGGTTTGAATGTGTCCCTCAAAGTTCATGTGCTAGAAACTTGATCCTAAATGTTAACAATGTTGTGAGGTGGGGTCTCATAAGAGTAGGCCATGAGGGCTCTGTTCTCATGAATGGGTCAAGGGCTCTGTTCTCATGAATGGGTTTAATGCCATTATTACAGGAGTGGGTTCCTTATAAAAGGACAATTAGGCCCCTTCCTGCTCTCTCTCTCCACCTTGCCCTTCTTCCATCCACCATGAGACAATGCAGCAAGAAGACCCTCACCGGATGTGTCCTCTAGATCTTGGACATCCGAGCCTCCAGAACTGTGAGCCAAATAAACTTCTGCTCCTTATAAATTACCTACTTGGTGGTAATGGCAGCACAAAACAGACTAAGATAACATCCTAACCCTCCACATCCCGCTCGCTGGGACCATCCCACTCTGGTAATATCGGGCTGAAATGGTTCCTCTCCTACGAAGGCTTGACTTATACTTCCAAATGACTGATGTTTTGGTTCCCATGAGACGTTGTTTATACCTTAATTTCAGCACTTAGAGGTAACAAAATTTTATATTATACAAGGTTTTCATGTCTTGCCCACTATCCCATGACCTCTGAGATTGGAGACATTTTTATACCAAGAGCCCACCAGAGTTAAGTGTACTATAGAATATGCTTTATGGTACAATGTAACTTTGTGTTATATCATTCTGTGCTTTCCTAGCTTGCCTAAATGACCTCTGTGGTCAGGAACTTCTTTGTATCTCCAGATTCTATTAAACTGCCAAGAATGTAGCAGATGTTTTACAAACATCTGACAAATAAGTAATAACATGTGAATAAAGATGTATTGCATGTTCCACTAACAACTGAAATGTACTGCACGCTCAAAACGCGAAACCAGGATCTCTCAATCTCTGCACCACTGACTTGGAGGGGCCAGAGAGTTCACTGTTGCGGGGTCTGTCTTGTGTATTATGGGGTGTTTAGCAGCCATCTCTGGCCTCTACCTACTAGACACCAGTAGGAAATCCCTCTTCTCAGGTGTGACAAAGTGTTTCCAGACATTTCCAAATGCTGAGGACCACTGTGCTAGACACTTCTAAGGGCTGTGAAAGTGTTAAATATGATCTCGACCCTGTGAGTTCAACACGATAATTACCTCCATTGTAGAGCCAGGGAACTAAGGTGGGAAAGGGGTCAGTAACCGGCCCAGGTTGTACAGCTCGTGAGGAGTGGAGCTGGCACTGGAATTCTGGCTCCTTCAGCCAGAACCTCCACATCCTACGGCTTCTAAAACCATCCCGTGCAGACTGGCTCCCTAGACTCCACGATCCCCGGGATGTCCACCCCTGCCCTACACAGCAATTAGGGGAAGGGGTCTCAAGCACATCCAAGTCCTTCGAAGGCTCCGCACAGTGACGAAGAGCCTGTCGAGCCCCTTCTCAGCCACGCTTCCGCACGAGACACAGTCTCTAGCCCCCACAGCCCTGGTGCTCTCTGGAAGCTCTGCAGTACGTGTTCAAGGCACACAGCTGTATTCATGGGACCACTAATGCCTGCCAGCTGGACACCAGACTTCCATGAATCCGACCATTTTTTGCAGCCACATCCCACCACTGGCATGGACTGACTCTCTCCGCTGTAGGCCAGGTCTCCCGGGCTGCGGACTCCTCTGGCTTCCCTGCCGAACCTCAGCGCGGGCCTGGGCTGTACCTGCTTCCACACATTCCACAGCCTGTCCAGGAGTCAGTCTCCACAGTGTCTGCCAACCCACAGCGATTCCTCTCGGCTTAGTGTCCGCTGCCCACGTTCTAGAGGGGACTCAAGCTGGACTGTGCATTTGACGTCATTAATACAACTGCCAGGTACAGTGAGCGCAGGCTACGGGCTGGGGAGTTCTCCCACAGGGTTAGAATCCACCCGATCAACACTCGGATACAGACGGTCCGCTAATTGCAAGTGCCAAGAACAGACCGGTCATCTGTAAAACTCCTCCTCAGCCCCAAAACCCCATGGACTCTTCTCACTCACGGGGAGAGCCCGGGTCCTTGCTCTGATGCACAGAGACACATGTGCTCTACTGGCCAGCACCTCCTCCCTCCTTGCCAACTCCTCCCAACACAGGCTGCCTGCGTTAGTCTGTTTTCGTGCTGCTGATAAAGACATGCACGAGACTGGGAAATTAATAAAGAAAAAGAAGTTTAATGGACTCACAGTTCCACGTGGCTGGGGAGGCCTGACAATCATGGCAGAAGAAAAAAAGTATATCTTACATGGCAGCAGGCAAGAAAGAAGGACAGCCACGTGAAAAGGGAAACCCCTCATAAAACCATCGGCTCACCTGACACTTACTACCAGGAGAACAACTTGGGGGAGAACACCACCATGATTCAATTATCTCCCACCAGGTCTCTCCCATGACACATGGGAATTATGGGAGCTACAATTCAATATGAGATTTGGGTGGGGACACAGCCAAACCGTATCACTGCCCAACCCACACCAGCCTCACCAGGTCTAGGGGGCTAGCTAGGCATGCTCCCTCCTCTGGGCCTTTGCGATTTATGCTCACTCAGTCTAGAATGCTTTTCTGTAGACATGGGCCTGGCTATCTCTCTCCGTCCAGCTCTTTACTCAGCTTCTCTACTTCCCAGCAACAACTCCACACACCCAACACTGCAGGCCCCCTCCCCTGCTTGCAAAGATGTTTCTCTTGTTTTGCTTGCTGCTGTATCACCCATGTTGACAATAGTGCCCGGCACCCAGCAGGCTCTCAATACAAACGTGTTGAATTAATAAATGGATCTGTTCATCAGATGGCATTGCCCCAGTGCAGGTGGAACAGAGTGGAAGAGGCAGTGACAGTAGGTCAGATATCTTCTGGCCCCTGTGGCACAGCCCCTGGCTGGACGCTGTAGCCTCACCCCATCATTGAACACTGTGATCACAGCACGCCTGGGCACGGGGAGGCTTCCTGGCTCATTAGAGTTGGCAGAGAGCACAGTGAGTAACTGACCAGCTAACTGCCTCAGGGTCATGCATGGGAGGATGGAAACATCTCTCAAGCTGTCTGACCTTAGAGGGAAAGGAGCCAGACAGGCTTCCACCTACAGCAAAAGAAGACTCTCTGTTCCCACCCTCGGGCTCCACAGGCTACCCACCCACCCCCCACCATCCGCCCCTGCAGCCTGGCACTGCAGACTCCTGTACAGAAACATTGTATCACCCGTTTATCAGCTGCCAGTCACAAGACACCAACCACTTGAAAATCATACCCAGGGCAGGGCCCCGTGCCTCATGCCAGTAATCCCAGCACTTTGAGAGGCCGAGGAGGGCAGATTGCTTGAGCTCAGGAGTTCAAGAACAGCCTGGGCATCATGGTGAAACCCCATCTCTATAAAAAATACAAAAATTAGCCGGGCATGGTGGCATGTGCTTGTAATCCCAATTACTTCAGAGGCTGAGGTGGGAGGATCACTTGAGCCCGGGAGGTGGAGGCTGCAGTGAGCTGAGATCAGGCTACTACACTCCAGACCAAGTCAGATCCTGTCTCAAACAAAAAGAAAAGAAAAAAGAAAATCATATCCTGGTGCCTGCCTGAGAGGGGCAGAGGCTTTGAATTCCCTTCTCAGGGTGAAAAAGCTGAAGCCACTGTGACGAGGTGGGAGTCAAGAGAGCAGGGCCAGGCCCAGGATACAGGAGAAATCCAGGGCCTGTGTGGACCTGCCCCAGGTCCTGGTCAGGGGCTCCCGGGCGCTCCTCCCTCCCAGGAGAAGCAATGCACCCACCCCAAGGATCTAAAGCCAAAGGTACCAGTGTCTGGGGCTGGAATCTGGCTTCCCACCAGCACAGCCAATCCCCTGCTTCCAGCACAGCCAGTGCCCTGCCTCCCCTGACCCCAGATGCCTGCTGTGAGAATGGTGGACTGCACCAGCCCCACCACATCCCACTTGGTCACCCCAGTCCCAGGCCACTGAGTATTTGCAATGGGGCCAGTCCACACTGACATGTGCTTTAAGTGGAAAATACACACCGGATTTCAAAGATTTAGTACCCCAAAAAAAGAATAAAATATCACCTTCATTATTTTATGCTCATCCCATGTTGAAATGCCAAGATTTTGGCTATATTGGGTTAAAATATTAAAACGAATTTCACCTATTTTTACTTTTTAAAACCGTGGCTAAATTTAAATGTTTTAAAAGTAATTTAAAATTACATGTGGCTTGTATTTCTGGCTCCCATTCTATTTTGACCGGACACTGTTGGGCTAGAAAATCTCCAGGATTCCTGCTAGCTCACACTTCCTATGACCTGAAGACGGTGGTGTCCACCCTCAAGTGCCTACTGGAAGCACCAGGAGAGTTTATTAAGCTTCATCGGCTCCCAAGGCTCCACTTCAGAAAGGCTAAATTAGGAGGGCTGAGATGCCTGTGGAGGGGTCCCGCTTATTCTGACTCGTTTGACTCTGATGTGCAGTCAAAGCACATCAAAGTCAAAAAGACCTCACTCTCCCCGTCCCCATCCCCCTCCTCCTGAGCCATCTGGGCCCTGGGTATGGAAACACATTCAAGGTGACATTGCTCCCCCGGCCCACACAATCACCTCTACTCTGCCTAAACCCAACCTCTTCTGGACCCCCTGATATCCTGCCCCAGTGCCTGCAAGGGGCGGGCCACCCAGCTACCCACCTCACATACCTTGCCAGCCCACGCAGTTGGGCAGCCATGTTTGAGTTAGCAAGCAGGTCAGATGAAACTGGTTCACCTGAGCCTTCTCTCCTCTGGCCAAGACCTGTGCCCTAGGCACTGGCTACCGAGACTAAACCCTGTCTCTGCTACTTGCAAGGCATGTGACTGCAGACTCTGCCCCGTCTCTATAAAAATAAAAATAAAATTAGCCGGGTGTGGTGGCACACACCTGTAGTCCTAGATACTTGGGAGGCTGAGACAGGAGGACCCCCTGAGTCCAGGAGATCGAGGCTGCAGTAAGCTATGATCGTCCCCCTGCACTCTAGCCTGTCTCAAAAAAAAAAAAAAAAAAGAACAGGAGTTGGTCGTGTTACAAATGTTGAGAGATCTGGAATCAGTGGTTGGGACCCAAGCCCAGACCTCTCTTCCGGCCTCCTCTCCTCCCAGCCACAGTTTCCTCCCTGCATGGGGTTCAGACCACCCAGTCCAGAGAAGCTTCCTCACTCCCCCACATCCAGCTCTGTCACATCATGCTGCTTTATTAACTTTGTGGCAGTTAAACCACACTGTCCCAAGTACCAATTAGACCACGCACTCCCAGCAAGCAGGGACTTCTTATGTCCCATAGTATCTCCAGCACTAAATTTAATGCCTGACACATGGTAGATAACTGACAAATATTTAAATGAATGGAGGTCTGAATTCATCAGCAAACAATAAGATGACTGTGAGCAGCAAGTTGCATCAAGTTAAAACAAGCCAGGCTTATTCTGAAAAGACCTGGGCATCTAAGGCACAAGGGGCTTGCTAGAAGCTCACACTGGGAGCTGGCAGAGCCAGCGCACTTTCTGCCAAATGCATGTCGATGAGCTCACAAGGACCTGCTTTATCCCCAGGCAAATGAAGTGGCTTCTGCAGAACTGGAGGTTGTCATGTCCGACTGATCTTAACCACTTACCAGCTCCATGTCTGCTGCACCATATCAGAACTGATGTCCGACAGTAAACTCTGTGCAGTCCCAGGAGAGCTGCAGGCTTGAGGACACCCTAATACCCAGGAAATCTCCTTCCTTCCTACTTACTTCCTCCTAACGGGGGTCAACCTGAGATGAAACCCCAGGACCAAGCCCCAGGAAGCGCAAGGTACATGTGGCCTCCAGGAGGAGCCAGTGAAAAGGGGTACGGACTCAGGCCCACAGGCCAATCCAGCCTCTGCAGTCACTGGTCAGGTGACCTTGACAATCTCAAAGCCTCAGATTCCTCATTTGTAAATTACGTGTAACTGCCTTCAGGTCAGTGGTGTTAAGGAAAATAATTTTATATATACACATACACACACATACACACACACACACACACACACACACACACACACACGACCAAGTTATCACAGGTGTTCTGAGCCTCAAAACACACCCCAGTATTTCCACTTCACAACATTAGGTATGGGCCAAACACAGAGCAAGAACTCTGTATCTGGAGGGTGTCAGTGACGCTGGGTTCTGCCCTCCCCAGACACATGGCAGCCCCTCTCAATTCAAGCGCTGGCCCAGCCCAACAAAGAGAGAGATCCACTGCCACTGGCCCCACCACGACCCCAATCACACTCAGCTCTCCTCCTGGCTGCTGGGTCCACACCAGATGCTACACAGGACCTTGTAGCAGCCAGGGAGGCAAGGAGAGGCACTGCCACCCAGGCTCTGCCCTGCACTGAATGCAGATCCACCTACTGAGACAGACTCAAGGACTCATTCTTGGGGTTAGGTAGGAGAAGTGGTGAGGAAAAGGAAGGAGACCACACTGGGGAAGTCACACTCTGTCTTTCCAAGAGCCGCACCTCCTAAAGTCAGCACCCAAGCCCCTGATTCATCGCTCTCCGAAACAGCACCCCCACTCCAGAACAGACCTTTTCAGAACTGTTCCACCACTCAGCAGGCACAAGGTTGCTAAGTGCTCAAGACATCATGCTTTGAGCAAGTCAGGCATAATGCATGCAATCAACAAATACTTGAATATATCAGCACTCCCATAAAACAAAAAGAAAAAAAAAAAACAAGGAAGCAAAGGGAAAAGCAAGGGACAGGATAGGATCAAGCAACTGCACTTCTGGGTATATCCCCAAAATATTTGAGACCAGGATGTCAAAGAGATATCTGTACACCCGTGGTCACAGCAGCATTATTGACTTTGCAATAGCTAATGTGGAAGCAACCCCCAAGCGTCCATCAGTGGATGAACGGATCCACAAAATGTGGTCTACGCATACAATGGAATATTATTCAGCCTGAAAAAGAAAGGAAATTCTGCTACCAGTATGGATCAACCTTGAAGGTACTACGCGAAGTGAAATAAGCCAGTCCCAAAAAGACAAGTCCTGTATCATTCCATTTAGAATAGATACTTAAAGTAGTCAAGCTCACAGACACAGAAAGCAGAATGGTGGCTGCCAAGGGCTGGGGGGAGGCGGAAATGAGGAGTTCTTGACTAGTGGGTGGGATGTTTCAGTTTGGCAAGATGAAGAGAGTTCGGGAGATGGATGGTGGGATGGTAGCACGGTAGCACATTCTGAAAGTGCTTAATGCCACTGCACTATACACACAGAAAGAGTTAAGATGGTAAATACAACCTCGTGCTTGTGCATTTTACCATAACAACCACCAAAACAATCAAAGAAATAAAAAAAAAAAAAAAAAAAGCAAAGAACACAAAAAGGCAATTCACAGATTAAACCCAAACACTTGGTGGACATATGAAAAGATGCTGAGGCTCACTCGTGACCAGGGAATACATATTAAAACCAAATCTCATTTCCACATTGCTGGCAGAAGTACAAACTGACACAAAGGCTTAGAAGAGCACTTCACAGTATCTAGTGAGGCTGAATATGTGCATATTTTACAATCTGGTAATTCCATTTTGAAGTATATAAGTACAACCCACTCCAGGATATTTATTAGGCAGTGCTGCAATAGCAAAAAAAAACAAACAAACTGGAAACACTATCATCAGTACAGCCATGGCTATATACACTGTGCTACCTGAATACTATATAGCCATGTAAACTGAAGAAATCAATCCATATGGGTCAATTGGGATAAACTTGAAGACATAATGTTAACTTTTTTTTTTTTTGAGACAGAGTCTTGCTCTGTCACCCAGGCTGGAGTGCAGTGGCGTGATCTCAGCTCACTGCAGCTCTGCCTCCCGGGTTCACGCTATTCTCCTGCCTCAGCCTCCCAAGTAGCTGGGACTACAGGCGCCCCCCACCGCGCCCAGCTAATTTTTTTTTTTTTTTTGTATTTTTAGCAGAGACGGGGTTTCACTGCGTTAGCCAGAATGGTCTCGATCTCCTGACCTCGTGATTCACCCGCCTCGGCCTCCCAGTGTGCTGGGATTACAGGCGTGAGCCACCGCGCCTGGCCCATAATGTTAACTTTTTAAAGTCATGCCTGTAATCCCAGCACTTTGGGAGGCCAAGGCAGGAGGATTGCTTGAGCCCAAGAGTTTGAGACCAGCCTGGATAACATAGCAAGATTTCATCTTTATTTAAAAAATAAAAAAATAAAATAAACAACTTAGCTGGGCTTGGTGGCTTATGACTGTGATTATCCCAGTTCCTCAGGAGGCTAACTAAGGTGGGAGGATCACTTGAGCCCAGGAGATGAGAGGTTGCAGCGAGCTATGATCGCGCCACTATACTCCAGCCTGGGTGACAGAGCAAGATCCTATCTTAAATAAAATAATAAAAGTAAAAACTTATGTTTAAAGGTGTTGCAAAAACAAAGTATGCGTCCAAAAACAACATTATTTATGTGTATAAACAGTGTGTGCTTGTGTGTATGATGAAAGAATGAAATACAGGTTGACACCCAACTTTAAGTGATAATTATATTCTGGGGAGATGGGGAAGAATAAAAGAGGTCACAGGGGCATGTCTTTGGTTCTCTACTTGCAATATTTTATTTCTTAAAGGAAAAAAATCTAACGTCATATGAGAGATAATATTCCCATTTGTTCAACCTGGCAGATTATCACATGCAACTCTGTTACATTAATATTTATATAGATGAGATATTTTCATATTAATAGAGATAGTGAAGAAATATAAATTGAGAAGCTAAACAAGGAAAGATGAATATATTCACCTACATAAAATTTAAGTGAGACAGACAGCAAGTGCAAGAGAGAGAGGGAGGAGTAGAGAGAAGACAAATGAAACACTTAAAAGACAACTGAGCCGGGGAGCGGTGGCTCACGCCTGTAATCCCAGCACTGTGGGAGACTGAGGCGGGTGGATCACCTGAGGTCACGAGTTCGAGACCAACCTGGCCAACATGGTGAAACCCCGTCTCTACTAAAAATACAAAAATTAGCCAGGCATGGTGGCAGGCGCCTGTGATCCCAGCTGCTCAAGAGGCTGAGGCTGGAGAATTGCCTGAACCCAAGGAGGTGGAGGCTGCAGTGAGCCAAGATCGTGTCATTGCACTGCACTCCAGCCTGGGCAACAAGAACAAAAATCCGTCTCAAAAAAAAAAAAAAAAAAAAAGACACTGAAAAACTAAAGTACATTTGCAACCTATACCTAACATATCAGTAAATTCACTGAGCCTATGATGTGCTCACGTAAATCAGAAAAAAAAAAAAAAAAAAAAACAAGAAACCTAATTTAAAAATAGGCAAAGGGCCAGGCGCAGTGGCTCACACCTATTATCCCAGCATTCTGGAAGGCCAAGGTGGATGGATCATTTGAGGTCATGAGTTCGAGACCAGCCTGGCCAACATGGTAAAACCCCCACCTCTACTAAAAATATAAAAATTAGCCAGGCATGGTGGCAGGTGCCTGTAATCCCAGCTACTTAGGAGGCTGAGGCAGAAGAATCGCTTGAACCCAGGAGGTGGAGGTTGCAGTGAGCCAGGATTAAGCCACTTCACTCCAGCCTGGGAGAGAGAGCGAGACTCTGTCTTAAAAAAGAAAAGAAAAAAGAAATAAAATAAAAATAGCCAAAGGACATGAATATTTACCTTAATGTAAAGAAATGAATGGCAAATAAGAAACTATGGTCATCTACATCTACAAATTCCAGCGTGATGGAGACAGCATATTTCATTCATCATAACAGCAAAACACGAGGGACCTGAGCTCTCATAGATGTACTAGGAAGAAAAACTAGAGCTACCTCTCAGAGGGAATTTGGCCCATGGCCAGAACTTTATTCTACAAAGTTTCCTATGTTTCTACAGACTTGTCTGTCAGGATCTTCAACAGCACTTTTTCTAGGGGTTAAGATGGAAACAACTTGAAATCTGCTCACAGACAAGGAAACACTATGGAGCTGTGAAAAAGAGGCTGCAAACCTATGCGTGCTGGTATCGTCTAATCTCCAAAACATAGTATCCATAGCATCAAAACTTAGGATGGGTGAAAACAACGATATCCATATCTCCAAATGCACTTTCACAAAACAGTTACATGCATACCCAGATATGTCTGTACACGAATAGGTTTACTCAGAAGGATGCAAAACAAAGGCTATGGCCTCTCAAGAGAAAAGTCCTGGGGGTCAGAGGTCTGGAATGAGAGTGACTTATGCTCATATTCCCATTTGTACTGCTTACCTTTATAATTTTTTTTTTTTTTTTGAGACAGAGTCTTGCTCTGTAGCCCAGACTGAAGACCAAAGGCCCAATCTCAGCTCACTGCAGCCACCCACCAGGCTGAAGCAACCCTCCCACCTCAGCCTCCCCAGTGGCTGCGACCACACGCACATACCACCATGACCAGCTAGTTTTGTAAATGTTGGAGAGATGGGGTCTCACCACGTTGAACAGGCTGGTCTCAAACTCCTGGGCTCAACTGACACGCCTGCCTCTGCCTCCCAAAATGCAAAGATTAAAGGTGTGAGCCACCACACCTGGCCTGCTTACCTTTTTCAAACTGGTGACTGTGATACCCTTTCAAATAAAATTTGATTTAAAAAAAGGAGGAAGAAAAAAAATATTGAAATCTCACACTTGGATGTGAATTCTGGACCAACCATCACTTGTGTGAGTGCAAACGACCTTTCCAGGTGTCAGGTTTTCTTTTGGGTAAATGGGATTTTTAAAATGGCACTATCTGGAAGGGAAGTTGTATGAGCAGACAATGTAGCTCCAAAGACAATTACTGAAATGGAAGCAGCTGATCTCAGACCCTAGAACACGCGTCACCTGCGCCTCTCGCTGACTGGCCCTACTTGCCCTCCTTGTGTCCTACCCTGAGGACAGAAACAGCAGTGGCAGAGCACCAGCCACAGTATGCACCCTGGGCAATCACGGCCTGGCCAGGGCAGCAAGTGAGGCTGGGCTCCAGCCCTCCTCCTACTTGCCAAACTGTATGCTCTGGTGCAGGGCTTCTCCAGCGGGGTGGGGGAGGGGTGTGTGTGTTACCGTTCCTAATTTACAGGAAAGTGCTGTAGAGATTAGCAGCAACACCATTCAGAGCAGCTAACTTCCTCCTCTCCTCTCCAAGTCAAAACAGCGCAGTGCAAAGATCTGGATGTGCACAGACCTGGGCGTTGCCAGAAGCACCCCAGGGGAAGCTGGCAGAGCCACCCACCGGTGTTTGTCTTTCTCCATGCCATTTCCCCTGTACTCACAAGGATACCCTTCTCATGAGCAGGTGTGGCTTCTGCAGAGCTGGCTCCAGCCACCTTTTGTCCAGCTGTACCCACTTCCTAATTCCGGCACAGCTGGCCAGCCCTCTCTAAAGTGAGGTCACCCACAGGACTAACCTGTGTCCCAGGAGAGCCACAGAGGTCACATCACTCCTTCCCTACTTGTTCCACAGAAGGGCTACTGGAATAATACCCCTGTCCCAGCACAGGCTGGGGACCCCAAGGCCTCCCCAGACTGTGAGGCTGGACAGGTCAGCAGAAACAGGAGCCACAAGGCCTGTGGGCCGAATGCAAGCAGGGAGGGCACTGACTCGAGCACTGTGGCAGGACAGAAACAGGGTGACATGCTGGACTCATGGCATTCATCCTTGGGGGGCACAGACACACGGCAAACAGGAAATGGTGGAGATGACGGGGCAATGACAACCACAGGACCACTAACACAGGGCACAGGGGCAGAGAGTGAGGGCCACCAGCCCTTGGCCACTGGGGGGATAGAACCATGTCTCTGAGGAGCCGGCTATAAACCGGAGGCCTACATGAAGGGCAGCCATGGGAAGATGGGGTAGGCAAGAGAAGGTTCCAGACTGAGAGAAGTGCCCAAGACTCTGAGCTGGCTGGGTGCAAGGCACAGAAAGTTCCATATGGTGGCAGACAGCCAGGAAGGAAAGGGGGTGCCAGGGAGGCCACGGGGACACGTGGTATAGATGTCACAGGCCACCCTAAAAGCTCAGATTCTAAGTTTGGGTGTCATGAATGTCACTGGAGGGCATTGATAACAAAGAGTGACACCACTGGATTCGCTTTTTTTTTTTGAGACAAGGTCTTACTATGTTGTCTAGGGTGGCCTCAAACTCCTGGGCTCAAGGGATCCTCCCACCTCAGCCTCCCAAAGTGCTGAAATTACAGGCGTGAGCCACCACGCCCTGTCCTGAATTCACTTTTAAATCATCCCTGGGGCTGTGCTGCAGCTCCTGGCATAATCTTACTGAAGTTTTCAACAAATTGATGGGGGAGTACTCTTTCATTCTCATTTACACAGAAGAAAACTGAGGCACAGAAGGAATACATTAAATGTTCCAAAATCAGACAGGTCGAAAATAGTGGAACCAGGATTTAAAATTCAGCCAGAACTACTTTTAATCTCTATACTCTATGCACCCATGAAATTTGGGATGAGTTGTCTGGAGCTCAGAAACTCACCAGGTGGGTCAGGCGCGGTGGCTCATGCCTGTCATCCCAGCACTTTAGGAGGCCGAGGTGGGAGGATCATGAGGTCAGGAGATCGAGACCATCCTGGCTAACACAGTGAAACCCTGTCTCTACTAAAAATAAAAAAAATTAGCCGGGTGTGGTGGTGGGCGCCTGTAGTCCCCTACTCGGGAGGCTGAGGCAGGAGAATGGTGTGAACCCGGGAGGCAGAGCTCGCAGTGAGCCGAGATCGCCACTGCACTCCAGCCTGGGCAACAGAGCAAGACTCCATCTCAAAAAAAAAAAAGAAAGAAACTGACCAGGTGACCTGGACCAGGTACTTAACCTCTCAGAGCCTCAGAGTCCTCGTCTTTTAAATGTGGATAACAGCAGCAAGTCCTCAGAGGTGTCCTGAGTCTCAAAACATATCCTGGTATTTAATGTCCGCAGCCTCAGCAGGGGCTGGGCACAGAACAAGCACTCAGGACGTGGAAGGTGCCAGCGACACCTGGTCCTCCCTTCCCAGGCACAAGGCGGCCCCTCTCCATTCAAGCTCTGTCCCAGCCCAGCAAAGAGAGGGGTCCTCAGCCACTGCCCCCACCACTACCACAATCACACTCACCTCTCCTGGCCCATATGTGACAAAGGACCTGCCACGGCCAGGGAGACAGGCAGAGGCACTGCCACTCCCACTCTGTCCTGCCCTCGACTCAGATTCACCCATGGCCCAGCCTCAGGAGATGCTGCTGGGGTGTGGTGGCATGCAGAAGGGGAGGGGGAGGAGGCCCCTAGGGAGGTGGCTCTCCATCTGTCTGTCTGGGTGTAGCACATCCTGGAGTTGGTGCCAGGCCCTGACCAGTTCCGCCCCATTCAGCCTTCCCAGAAGGGCTGGCACACGGATCCCTCAGCCTGACCAGACACCAGCCTCCTGTCCATGGTGACCCCACAGGCAGGCCCGCCACACCTGAGCAGAGTCCACTTCCAGAACAGTGCTGCCTCTGCAGATGACACACTCTATCCAAACCCAGTACCCCAAAATCCCCAAGCAGGGACAGCAAAGGCAACGTTCAGCCCTGGAGTCCCTACACAGGTGCCACAAATTCCAGCCCTGCCCCACAGTACAGCCTCTGAATTCAGGCTCTCAGCTCTGGTTTTGAGTGTCTTGGAGCACCGGAGATCTGGGCTCAGAAACCCCTTTCCTCTGCCTCACTCGGCAGACCTTGTACTCCCACCTCCCATCACCAGAACAACTGCTGGGCACTGAGACGGACACCATGGTCAGCCTGGCACTTGATGAACAAGTTTCTGGAACTGTGCAGCGGAGGGTCCAAGGGTCCACACCTGAAATCCCATTAGTCCCATTAGGAGCCAGCAGGGTTAAAGGGGTTGAGCCGGGGAGTATCAAGGCAGGCTCGCCAGAGGAGAGGGCCCTGCATTGGGAAGGGAGAGTGGGGCAGGGCCCCCAGACGAGGACTCGGCAAAGATGAGGGTGGGCAGGAAAAGCAAGCCCTCCACCCTGCAGCAGCCTGTCCCCAGGAACAGAGAAGGCGGCAAGAGAGTCCCTCTCCAGTTTGTCCCCCGCAGGAAGCCCACCCCCTCAGAGTAAAGGTGGGCCATGAGGGAGGGAAGACGAGGGGAGGAGGGGCCCTTCTAGGTGTCCAGGGCCCAGGCTCTGCGCAGTAGCCCCTCTGGTGAATCTGCCTGAACAGGCCCAGCTGCATCCACACTCAGAGCCTGAAGGCATAGACAGCCCCTTCCAGCAGCTCTCCGGTCCCTGCAGCTCACACCGGCCCTCCCATGTCAGTAACCTACACAGGCTCCTCCAGCACAAACACACTAGTCCATACTCAGGCGCCCGCAAGCTTGGTCACACACACACACCTGCCCAAATACACCCACTTCTCAGTCCTCCTCCTCTCTGCCCCCGCCCCCCATGCCCACATACAGCTTCCGGGGCTTGAGGGCCCCCCCAAGCCAGGGCACTCTTTTCCCCCATTCCTCAGGGCTGGCCGGGGGCTGGGCTCAGCTGCTGCTGCTGCTGCTCTACCTCCCTCAGGCCCAGTGGGTTCCTCCCACCCCAGCTCTGGCTCCTGGAGACTCTGTCAGCTTGCAGGTCCCCGAAGCTGTCACCAGGCAGCCCAGAGCCTCTAAGGGGCAGGGAGTGGCTGTGCCAGCCCTCAGGAACCTCGTTCCTCCAAAGTCACGGAAAGGGGAATCCTGGGCTCCTCGCCCTCTGCCCAGCCAGGCTCAGCTCCCAGAAAGATTCTGGCACCTGAGAGGAGACCCAGCCACGCCTATGAGCCCCACAGGTGTGTCCCCAGCAGGCCTGGAGAGTGTCCCAGGGCAGCCTGTGGCCATTTGGCCGAGGGTACTGCAGAGCCTGCTGCCCCATGGAGGGCACTCCCTGGCCTGGCACCCACACAACACACACTCACTGTCCTCTGGGCCTGTCTCAGCCTCTCTGCACCTGTGCCCAGTCCCAGTGACAGGGACTGTCCTCTCAGCCCACCCGGCACCCAAATCCAGGAACCTGCAAGGCCTTCCTCCAGCTGCCCCGCCAGCCTGCTCACACTTTCTGGGCTCAAGCCCTGAGGCTTTAGCAATTTCAGGGTCATCTGCACCCATAACTGGGGGGGTGATGAGAGGGACAGATTCCCGCCTGTCAAGGCCTGGTGACTGCCTGGGGACAGAGGATTCCAGAGCCTACAACTGGTTCAACAGGTCTGGGCTATGGCCCACACCCACCTCTGCACACAGAAGCCAGCCCAGGGTCCCATGGAATACCCCAGGGCAGAGACACTAAATCAACTGAAGGCGATGCCAGGGGTCATGCCAAGTGCCTGAACTCTGGCTTCTCCATCATCTGTGAGGCCCCAACACCAAGCCCTGCGTAATCTAAGGTCCTGGCCAGCGCCTCCTCCTCCTCCCAGCCCTGAGGAACCATCCTTGTCCTCAAGGTGGAAGAGCTCGGCCCTCAGTCCCCTGCAGCCTGGGATGAGCCCCACCCTCAGGGCTGGTGCACAACCAGAGGCTCTTCCCAAGGAAGCCTGGTGCCAGAAAACCCACACACTGAGGCACAGGCCAGACACAGAGCCTGGGAACACCCAGGAGAGCATGTCCCCCAGGGTCCCAGCCCCAACCGAAGCTGGGAGAGCCCAGAACCACCCGCCACCCAGTCCTCCTGGCCGCCCCTGCATGGCTGTTTCCTCCTGCCCAGGAGGAGCTGAAGGGATCTCAGCCCAGGACGTGATCCTCCCACCCCCACCCCCGAGAACACACCCAGGACTGGCAGCTCACCTGACCCTGCAGGGCTGCCAGTCCAGCTGTGCCCCAAAGAGAACATTCGCTTCTTGCTCTATTTGGACAGCTGCAGGGTCAGCGATGCTCAGGAGAGAACGTCTGGTCACAGAGTGGGGAGTGCGGTGATCAGGGCCACAGGCCCTCTGATGGGGGTGGGCCAAGGCCAGAGCTGCATCCCTGGATGAGTGGGCTGGGAGGGGGCCCGGGACCAGCCTGGCAGGGCACAGGGAAAGGCTGCAGTTATTCTGCCCTCCTGAGCACAAGAGGAGTGGTCAGAGGGATTCTGGAACCAGGGCTGGGGCCTGGGGGAAGGCAATGGAAGCCAGGAGTGAGGGAGGAAATGGATTCCCCTTTTAATGGCATTTATTCAGTTACAGGCTGCGGCCAAGGAACAGCCTCCCAAGTCCAGCCCAATACCTGACCTCACCTCACCCCAGACAGGTCCCACGGCCCCTCCTCAGCCTATCCAGGACTGGTGGGAAAGGTCCAAAGAAAAGAAGACAAAGCATCCACAAGCAGAAGTCGGTGGCTGGACTCCACCCTCCCCTCCCCAGGAAGCAGGAGGCAGAACTGGGAGGTCAAGACCAGCACTTCCCCCTCCTGCTCCCACCCTCTCCTCCTCTCTGGCCCTCGTCTCCTGCCCTCTCCTCCCGGTCCCTGTGTCCTTTCCAGCCATCCCATCCTGGTGTCTCCTGGTCCCCATCTCCACCTCCTCCTCCTTTCCTCCTCTGCCCACAGCCCCTGGTTATGTAAGGGGCTTGGGAACACACAGAGGGAGCTTTGTTGTCAAACCAAATCCATATGGAGCCGGAATGGGTCACAGTAACTGGTGCCCATTTTCTCCATCCTGCAGGGTTGGGACTCCAGGCAGGGAACCCCTACACACCTCTGTTTTGGGAGGTGGGGGGATGAACACTGGTCCCAGGGCCCTCAGGCAGCTGAATGGGTGGCCAGGGATCAGTCTCCACTATGAGAGACCACAGCAGGGGAGCAGCTGGTCTCTAAGGCCGAGCAAAGCCACAGTGCAAAGCTAGGGTCTCAAAGCCAACAGAGGCCAGCTCTGGGCTAGGGGCAGGACAGCACCACAGGCCCGGGTTGGGGAGGGGCTGTGCACATGCAGAAGTGCACCCCATGTTCTTGTCTATGCAAGGATGCATGGCCATTACCCTCTCTCACACACTCATCTGCACACTTCCAGGCACGCATGTACAGACAGAAATGCACGCATCAGCCCAAGCCCAAAAGGCTGTTGTGTGCTCACCTGGATATGGTCTGAGTAAAAATCTCCCTACTTTGGCCAACTCCCTCCATTCCTGCAGATTCCTCTGGGTCAAAGAGCTCTGGAGAGAAGAGGGTGGAGGTCACCAGTCAGGGAAGCTCCATGCGGCAGCTCTTCTTTGGAGATGCTCAGGCTCCAGAAAGATGAAATCCCACCTACCTGCCGAGGAGGTCTCTAGTGCTAGGGCAATTCGCTTTATTTGACAGGTTATCCACCAAATAAGAGTTTACAGACCTGACGGCACTATCATTGCCCTCATCACTCTCTCTTCTGGAAAGGCTGAATGCAGAAATGGTATCACAAAACTAAAATTAGCTAAATTAACAGAGTCAACTGAATTACCTTGGCCAAAAGAATTATCACCGACCTTTATGGCAAGAACATCAGCCCCTAGGGGAACACATAAAGTGGCCCTTCACAAAATAAATACTGAACGACTTGTGCCTTTCATAACAGAACTTCATTTATCCACTCTACTGGTGGCTCTGATGTGACTCAATACTGCAAGGTCTTGATGTATGATGCCAAAGTATATCCCACCAGGTGAAGGAGGCTTTCTGTGACCTGCCTATTGATGATCCCACCTTACGTGACCTGGAATCTGGAAACTGGATCTTTTTTTTTTTTTTTTGATACAGTCTCGCTGTGTCACCCAGGCTGGAGTGCGGTGGCACAATCTCGGCACACTGCAACCTCTACCTCATGGGTTTAAGCGATTCTCCTGCCTCAGCCTTCCAAGTAGCTGGGATTACAGGCATGTGTCACCATGCCCGGCTAATTTTTGTATTTTTAGTAGAGATGGGGTTTCACCATGTTGGCCAGGATGGTCTCAAACTCCTGACCTCAGGTGATCCGCCCGCCTCAGCTTCCCAAAGTGCTACCATTACAGGCGCAAGTCACTGTGCCCGGCCGAGACTAGCTCTTTTGTAAAAGACAGCAGAGAACAACTGCCCTTGAGCCCCATTGAAAGACACTACACCAGTTTCAGTTACTATTCTCACCGTAGCAAAATGTCAGGATCTTGAACCTTGGGTACATGTTTCACAGCTAATGAGAGCTCTCTTAGAGTTTTGGACTTGTCAATCCACATGTGATTTAAAATTAAGGATAACAGGCCGGGTGTGGTGGCTCATGCCTGTAATCCCAGCACTTAAGGAGGCCAAGGTGGTTGGATCGCCTAAGGTCAGGAGTTTGAGACCAGCCTGGCCAACGTGGTGAAACCCCATCTCTACTAAAAATACAAAAATTAGCCAGGTGTGGTGGCAGATTCCTGTAATCTCAGTTACTCAGGAGGATGAGGCAGGAGAATTACTTGAACCCGGGAGGTGGAGGTTGCAGTGAGCCAAGATCGTGCCACTGCACTGCAGCCTGGGCAACAAGAGAGAAACTCCGTCTCAATAATAATAATAATAATATAAAAACAAAATTAAGGATACCCAAGAGAAATCCTTCCATAAAAGTAGATGATATCATGAAATAGACACAGCTTTCCCAAGACAATGAAACAAGACTCCATGTGGCCCCCTTCTATTGACTCAGACTTGTTTTTGTTTTGTTTTAGCACAAAAGGTTCACACTTTTATTTTCGTTAGGGAATTTCATTATCCACACTGAATATCCTCTAAGATCTACTGCTCAACATGAAGCCATCCTCACTACTAAGCAAAGCAATTGGTGGCTACGTAATCCTCTAGATAAATGGAAAGAATCACAACTAATATTAGAACCTGCTCCCATACACACTTGAGTGAGCAATTCAGGAAAATGGCGTTATGAAAAGGGTTGGTATCCTTCCCTTGGCAGTTGGCTGATATTTATGATCAACCAGTGTAGCTCTTGGAAGAAGCAACAGAGGCAAAGGGATGGCCTACAACTACGATTGATGTCATTAATGGTAACTTATCTCTACGCACAGAAAACATGAATGGAACTGGGCCAAATCTGGGCAGTGTTCCAGAATCCCTCTGTACTCAAATTCTTAGGTTTGACACAGATTATGAAGACTAGATTCCTACATGAGACACATATATAAAATCTGAACATGACCATGAAAGCCTCAACCATATCATCAGAGAACTTACTAGAACTAGACATTGGTTCAATGGAAATGCTACAGGAAAATCGTATGCCTCAATAGATCCACTACATAATGTACATAACAGTCTTGCTTATTGGACAGATCAATGCTCAGGTCATATTTGGAAAGAAAACCAGTCATCCCTTTGGGGGGCCGAGGAGGGTGGATCACGAGGTCAGGAGATCGAGACCATCCTGGCTAACACGGTGAAACCCTGTCTCTACTAAAAATACAAAAAAATAGCTGGGCGTGGTGGTGGTGCCTGTAGTCCCAGCTACTTGGGAGGCTGAGGCAGGAGAATCGCATGAACCCGGGAAGCAGAGGTTGCAGTGAGCCAAGATTGCACCACTGACTCCAGCCTGAGTGACACAGCAAGACTCCGTCTCAAATAAAAAGAAAACCAATCATCCCTAATTGATGATGGCATACAGTCATTTTATCAAATTCATAGAAATGTTTTTTGTTCCTACTCCAATTGAAACCATAACCATTCAACGTGGCGCTGTGCAGACGCAGATGTGACGGAGAATAACCATGACATTCGTATCACCCCCAACTCGTGGGTAATAGGATGCACTTTGACCCTTTCTATCGATAACACCGAATTATTCATTTTATGCAGCAACAAAGTATGTAAAGGTGTTCTACCTAGCCAGTCTGGATCTGTGGTGTGGGCTATCTTCTACCTAAAATGACTAGATATGACTCTTCAATTGCCATACAAATCCTTAGAGTCATTTGTACATAAAGTGACCCCTCACAAAAGAGAATCATAATATCCCAGACACAGTCTTACGAAGGGGTTCTGGATTTCATACTTCTGTAAGAGCCCGTTTCTCTCAGTTGAGTGAATTGAAAAAAATCAATTAATATTTTACCAACTTCTGAAAAAGTTTAATTGACACTTCGAATTATCTTAAGCAGTACAATCTGGGATGAATGAATTGGCCTCAGTAGTACTGTACAATAGAAGACTTCTTGCTACTTTAACTGCTCAAAAAGGGAGACCTTGTTCCCTAATTGGTAGAAAGGTGTTGCTGGCCGAGCGCATGGCTCACGCCTATAATCCCAGCACTTTGGGAGGCTGAGAGAGGTGGATCACCTGAGGTCAAGAGTCTGAGACCAGCCTGGGTGAAACCCTGTCTCTACTAAAAATACAAAATTAGCCGGGTGTGGTGGCACACGCCTGTATTCCCAGCTACTCAGGAGGCTGAGACAGGAGAATCACTTGAACCCAGGAGGTAGAGGCTGCAGTGAGCCAAGATCACACCACTGCACACTCCAGCCTGGGCAAGACAGAGTGAGACTGTATCTCAAAAAAAAAAAAAAAAAAAGAAGGTGTTGGCCAGGCACGGTGGCTCACACCTGTAATCCCAGCACTTTGGGAGGCTGAGGCAGGTGGATCACCTGAGGTCAGGAGTTCAAGACCAGCATGGCCAACATGGTGAAATCCCATCTCTACTAAAAACACAAAAATTAGCTGGGTGTGGTGGTACACACCTGTAGTCCCAGCTACTCAGGAGGTTGAGGCAGGAGAATCACTTGAACCTGGGAGGTGGAGTTTACAGTGAGCTGAGATTGCGCCACTACACTCCAGCCTGGGCGACAGAGTAAGACTCGATCTCAAAAAAAAAAAGTGTCATTTTTATGTTAACAAATCAGGTATTACCGAAAACTTAAAATACCTTAAAGAACACACATGGGTTTTTCATTAGATGGGCACTGCCTTCTCCATTGATTCACTCAGCTGGTTAAGTCTTGGCTCCTGGGAATCTTTGCTCAGAGGAATTTTTCAATCCTTGGCTATTATTCTCCTTATAATTATTATGTTTACCCCCCTGGTGCCTTGTATTCTCTCAAGGGTTCTAAATGATTTCCAACAGCTGCTCAAATATCAAACAGTTACCATGAGGATCATTCAACTTGAGGAAAGCAACACTGACTATGTAACTGCTAACTGTGGCCATGGAATTCTCATCCCCAACCTACCTACTGATGATGACAACAACATCTACCTGACTCTTTGTCCCAGTGACTACATTGGTGGTGGTAACAGAGAGTAATACTGTGTCATCTAGTCACACTATCAGCTTGCTGAGAGAATAACCAGAAGCAAGGAATTGTTAAAGCAAAATTTGGAGACCAGGCCTGAAAAATTCCTTACCAAACAAAACCAATGAGGCCTTAACAACAGCCTTAACCTTGCTTAAAAGACAGCATAATCAAATCTTAACTGGGGTTATTTATGGTAAATGCTTCTGTTTGACACAAATAAAACTTCAGCCAATCATAAGTAGCCAACTAACATATGGTTATGTGACTAGGAAACTTCCAACAAGGTAAACCAAACAAAGCAATTTTGTAATTGCAACCAATTAAATCAAATAAATTCTTCATTTTGCTTTTACATTCACTCTCCAAACACCTGCCTCTGAAACTGTCATTGGGCCACTAAACCTCTTTCGGTTTTCTGTTTCCCAATTCACTTCTTACACAAATAAACTCTTTAAAATATTATTGTGCCTGAAAAATTCTCTTTCACACAGGTAATATATTTTATTTTATATTTACTGGCTTTCAAATATTGCCCACTATCCTGGGACCTCTGAAACTGAAGACATTTTAATACCAAAAGCCAATCGGAGTAACTTACTATAGAATATGCTCTATGATATAATGTAATTTCGTATTATATAATTCTGTGTTTTCCTATCTTGCCTGTGAGGCTATGAACTCTGTGGTCAGGAACTTCTTTATATCTCTAGATTCTATTAAACTGCCAAGAATGTGGCAGATGTTTTATACACATTTGACAAACAATAATACGTGACTAACGATGTATTGCATGGCGAATTAACAACTGAAACAATGTACTGCACGTTCACTTTGTGCGAAACCAGGATCTCTTACTCATAGCCAGGGGCAAAAAAAAAAAAAAAAAAAAGGAAGAAAAGGAATCAGGATCCTGCAATCTCTGCCCCACTAACTTTGGGGGCCAGACAGTTCATTGTTGCGGGGTCTGTCCTGTGTATTGTGGGACGCTTAGCAGCATCTCTGGCCTCTACCCACTAGACACCAGAAGGAAATCCCACTCCCCAGGTGTGACAGAATGTTTCCAGACATTTCCAAATGCTGAGGACCACTGTGCTAGATGCTTCTAAGGGCTGTGCAAGTATTAAATATGATCTCGACCCTGTGAGTTCAACACGATAATTACCTCCATTGTAGAGCCAGGGAACTAAGGTGGGAAAGGGGTCAGTAACCGGCCCAGGTTGTACAGCTCGTGAGGAGCGGAGCTGGCACTGGAATTCTGGCTACTTCAGCCAGAACCCCCACATCCTACGGCTTCTAAAACCATCCCGTGCAGACTGGCTCCCTAGACTCCACGATCCCCGGGATGTCCACCCCTGCCCTACACAGCAATTAGGGGAAGGGGTCTCAAGCACATCCAAGTCCTTCGAAGGCTCCGCACAGTGACGAAGAGCCTGTCAAGCCCCTCCTCAGCCACGCTTCCGCACGAGACACAGTCTCTAGCCCCCACAGCCCTGGTGCTCTCTGGAAGCTCTGCAGTATGTGTTCAAGGCACACAGCTGTATTCGTGGGACCACTAACGCCTGCCAGATGGACACCAGACTTCCATGAATCCGACCATTTTTTGCAGCCACATCCCACCACTGGCATGGACTGACTCTCTCCGCTGTAGGCCAGGTCTCCCGGGCTGCGGACTCCTCTGGCTTCCCTGCCGAACTTCAGCGCGGGCCTGGGCTGTACCTGCTTCCACACATTCCACAGCCTGTCCAGGAGTCAGTCTCCACAGTGTCTGCCAACCCACAGCGATTCCTCTCGGCTTAGTGTCCGCTGCCCACGTTCTAGAGGGGACTCAAGCTGGACTGTGCATTTGACGTCATTAATACAACTGCCAGGTACAGTGAGCGCAGGCTACGGGCTGGGGAGTTCTCCCACAGGGTTAGAATCCACCCGATCAACACTCGGATACAGACGGTCCGCTAATTGCAAGTGCCAAGAACAGACCGGTCATCTGTAAAACTCCTCCTCAGCCCCAAAACCTCCATGGACTCTTCTCACTTACGGGGAGAGCCCGGGTCCTTGCTCTGACGCACAGAGACACACGTGCTCTACTGGCCAGCACCTCCTCCCTCCTTGCCCAACTCCTCTCCATGGAGGCTGCCCCACGCACCAGCCTCACCAGGTCTAGGGGGCTACCTAGGCATGCTCCCTCCTCTGAGGCTTTGTACTTTCGTTCACTCAGTCAAGAATGCTTTTCCGTAGACATGGGCTTGGCTATCTCTCTTCATCCAGCTTTCCTTTTCTCTATTTTTTTTTTTTTTTTTTTTTTTTGGAGACAAAGTCTTGCTTTGTCATTCAGGCTGGGGTACAATGGTGTGTGATCTTGGCTCACTGTAACCTCCACCTCCCGGGTTCAAGCAATTCTCGTGCCTCAGCCTCCCAAGTAGCTGGGATTTCAGGCATGCACCACCATACCCAGCTAATTTTTGTATTTTTAGTAGGAACGGGGTTTCCCCATGTTGTCCAGGCTGGTCTCGAACTCCTGACCTCAAGTGATCTGCCAAACTCGGCCTCCCAAAGTGCTGGGATTACAGGGGTGAGCCACTGTGCCTGGCCTCTTTGTCCAGCTCTTACTCAGCTTCTCTACTTCCCAGCAACAACTCCACACACCCAACACTGCAGGCCCCCTCCCCTGCTTGCAAAGATGTTTCTCTTGTTTTGCTTGCTGCTGTATTACCCATGTTGACAATAGTGCCCGGCACCCAGCAGGCTCTCAATACAAACGTGTTGAATTAATAAATGGATCTGTTCATCGGATAGCATCGCTCCAGTGCAGGTGGAACAGAGTGGAAGAGGCAGTGACAGTAGGTCAGATATCTTCTGGCCCCTGCGGCACAGTCCCTGGCTGGACGCTGCAGCCTCACCCCATCATTGAACACTGTGATCACAGCACGCCTGGGCACGGGGAGGCTTCCTGGCTCATTAGAGTTGGCAGAGAGCACAGTGAGTAACTGACCAGCTAACTGCCTCAGGGTCATGCATGGGAGGATGGAAACATCTCTCAAGCTGTCTGACCTTTGAGGGAAAGGAGCCAGACAGGCTTCCACCTACAGCAAAAGAAGTCTCTCTGTTCCCACCCTCAGGCTCCACAGGCTACCCACCACGACCCCCTCCCGTCCGCCCCTGCAGCCTGGCACTGCAGACTCCTGTATAGAAACACTGTATCACCCGTTTATCAGCTGCCAGTCACAAGACACCAACCACTTGAAAATCATACCTTGGTGTCTGCCTGGGAGGGGCAGAGGCTTTGAATTCCATTCTGAGGGTGAGAAAGCTGAAGCCAGTGTGAGGAGGTGGAATCAAGAGTGCAGCCTGGGCCCAAAGTAAAGGACAAATCCAGTGCCTGTGTGGACCTGCTCCAGGTCCTGGTCAGGGGCTCCCCGGCACCCCTCCATCCCAGGAGAAGCAATGCACCCACCCCAAGGATCTGAAGTTAAAGGCAAAATTGGGGAAGTTGCACTCCCCACCTCCCATCTTTCTAGATGCAGTACCTCCTAGAATCAGCACCCAAGTTCCTGATTAATCCATCTCCAAAGCAGCACCGCCTCTCCAGAGCAGCACCCCCTCTCCAGAACAGACCCTTTCAAAGTTCCTCCACTACTCAGCCAGGCACAGGGGTGCACAGTACTCAAGACATCAGGCTTTAAACAAGTCAGGTACAGTGCATGTAATCAACAAATACTTGAATATATAATATCAGTATTCCCACGAAACAATGAGAAAAAACATGGAAGCAAAGAGAAAACAAGAGACAAGATAGGATCCCACAACTGTGCTTCGGGGTATATACCCCAAAGAACTGAAACCAGAATATCAAAGCGATATTTGTACACCCATGTTCATAGCAGCATTATTCACAATAGCTAATCGGGAAGCAACCCAAGTATCCATCAATGGATGAATGAACAAAATGTGATCTATGCGTACAATGGAATATTATTCAGCCTGAAAAAGAAAGGAAATTCATGTAAAGGAAATATTATGGAGTTTTGCTGTATAAAATCCAAAGACGGCCGGGTGAATGGCTCACACCTTTAATCCCAGCACATTGGGAGGTCGAGGCACGCAGATCACCTGAGGTTGGGAGTTCGAGACCAGCCTGACCAACATGGAGACACCCTGTATCTACTGAAAATACAAAATTAGCCGGGTGTGGTGGTGCATGCGTGTAATCCCAGCTACTCGGGAAGCTGAGGCAGGAGAATCGCTTGAACCCAGGAGGCAGAGGTTGTGGTGAGCTGAGATCGCGCCATTACACTCCAGCCTGGGCAGCAAGAGCGAAACTCTGTCTCAGAAAAAAAAAAAAAGAAAAGAAAAGAAAAGAAAAAAAGAAATTCTGACATACACTGCAACATGGATCAACCTTGAAGACACTATGCAAAGTGAAATAAGCCAGTTACAAAAGGACAAATACTGTATCATTCCACTTATAGGAGGTACTCAAAAGCAGTCAAACTCATAGACACAGAAAGCAGAATGGCGGCTGCCAAGGACTGAGGGGAAAAGGAGATGAGCCATTGACTAGCAGGAGGATGTTTCAGTTTGACGAGACGAAAAGATTTCTGGAGCTGGATGGCGGGATGGTAGCACATTCTAAATGTACTTAATGCCACTGAACTATACACATAAAAAGGGTTAAGACGGTCAACAGGTCAACAGAACCTTGTGCTTGTGCATTTTATCATAACCACCACCAAAACAATCAAAGGAATAAAAAAGAACACAAAAAGGCAATTCACAGATTAAATTCAAACACCTAATAGACAGAAAAGATGCTCAGGCTCACTAGTAACCAGGGAATACAGATTAAAACCAAATATAGTTTCTCACACATTGCTGGTGGGAGTACCAGTTGATACAAAGGCTTAGAAGAGCACTTCACAATATGTAGTCAGGCTGAACACGTGCATACCTTACAATCTGGCGATTGCATTTCCGGGCACAGCCCCGAGTAACCCTCCCTTGTACGGGACACCCCATTCAAGCATGTTTATTAGCAGTGTTACAATAGCAAAAAATGGAAACAACTTAACTATCGTCAGGAGAGGGATGGCTACATAAGCTGTGCTACATTCACGCAACTGAATATTATATAGCCATGTCAACTGAAGAAATTAATCCATACAGGTCAACTGGGATCAATGTGAAAACATAACATTAACTTTTTAAAGTGTTGCAAATAGATAAAGGATGAATCAGAAAACAGCACTAAGTTTGTGTATATTTGTAAATAGTGCGTGCTTATGTGTATGATGAAAGAATAGGCCAGGCGCGGTGGCTCACGCCTATAATCCCAGCACTTTGGGAGGCCACGGTGGGCGGATCATGAGGTCAGGAGTTTGAGACCAGCCTGGCCAACATGGTGAAACCCCGTCTCTACTAAAAATACAAAAATTAGACAGGCGTGATGGCGTGCGTCTGTAATCCCAGCTATTCAGGAGGCTGAGGCAGGAAAATCACTTGGATCTGGGAGGCAGAGATTGCAGTGAGCCGAGATCGCGCCACTGCACTCCAGCCTGGGCAACAGAGTGAGACTCCATCTCAAAAAAAAAAAAAAAAAAAGGAATGTGGGGAAGAATAGAATAGATCATAGTAGCACATCTTTAGTTCTATACTTGTAATATTTTATTTCTTAAAGGAAAAAATATCTAATATGGGATAAGGTTCACACTTGATAAATCTGGCTGATTATCACATGGAGGTCTGTTATATTAATTTTTACATATTTGAAATATTTTCATATAAAAAAAAGAACGAGGGCCAGGCACAGTGGTTCACACCAGTAATCCCAGCACTTTGGGAGGCCAAGGCAGGTAGATTGATTGAGTTCAGGAGCTCGAGACCTGCCTGACCAAAATGGTCTCTACTAAAAAATACAAAAATTAGCCGAGCGTGGTGGCACATGTCTGTAGTCCCAGCAAATCGGGAGGCTGAGGCAGGAGAATTGCTTGAACCCGGGATGCAGAGGTTGCAGTGAGCCGAGATCGTGCCACTGCACTCCAGCCTGGGTGACAGAGCGAGTCTCCATTTCAAGGAAAAAAAAAAAAAGGAATGGAGATTGAAGAAATATAAATTCAGAAGCTAAATAATGAAAGATTAATACACTCACATAAAGTTTAAGTGAGATACAGAGAGCAAGTGAGCAAGCTCATACTTAAAAGAGTAAAAAACTAAGAAGTGCATTTGCAAGATGTACATATATTAACTTATCAGTTAATTCCCTTAGCCTATAACATACTCATGCAAGTCTACCCCCCACTCCCCAAACAATGAAGGAACATAATTTAAAAATAAGCTAAGGCTATGAATATATACTTTACTGTAGAGAAATATAAATGGCACATAAGACATTTATCTACATTTAAAACTTCCGGTGTGGTTGAGATACCATTTTTCACAAATAGTAACAGCAAAAAACAAGGGTCCTGAGCTACACAGTGCTGGGGGAGTGTGGGAAGCAGGACCTCTCACAGATGTATGCTGGAAGTGAAAACCAGGCCACCTTCTGGGAAGACATTTCACAATATTTATCAAAATACCCTTTACCCCGGGGCTTCCGTGCCAGAAGCTTATTCCACAGAAAAGTTTCCTATATTTGCAAAGAGACTTGTCTGTTAGGATCTTTACTGCAGCACTTTTTCTAACAGCATAAGATGGAAACATGAAATCTATGCACAGGCACCTGTTTTAAAAAATTAGGCACACACAACGAAACACTATGCAGCTGTGAAAAATAGGATGCAAATCGATGCATGCTGATGTCAACTGATCTCCAAAGCATAATATTAAGATGTAAAAGGCAGGTGTAAAACAGTGATCTCCAAATGCACTTTCACAAAAGAATTACATGCATATTCAGATACATCTTATGTGAATAGAGTACTCAGAAGGATGCAAAACAAGGCTATTGCCTCTCAAGAGGGCGGGTGGGAGAGTGACTTTCTCTCATATTCCCATTTGTACTGCTTAACTGTTTCAAACTGATGAGTGTGATACATTTTGAAGTAATAATTTGATTAAAATAAAAAAAAGGAAGAAGAAAAAATAAGGAATGTAAATGTTGAAGTCTCACACTTGGACCTGAATTCTGGACCAACCATCACTTCTGGGAGTGTGAATGACCTTTCCGGGTCTCAGGTTTTCCACTGGGTAAATAGGGATTTTAAAAAATGGCACTATCAGCCAGCACGGTGGCTCATGCCTATAGTCCCAGCACTTTGGGAGGCCAGGCGAGCGGATCACCTGAGGTCAGGAGATCGAGACCAGCCTGGCCAACATGGGGAAACCCTATCTTTACTAAAAATACAAAAATTAGCAGGGCGTGGTGGCACACACGTGTAATCCCAGCTACTCGGGAGGCTGAGGCATGAGAATCGCTTGAATCCAGGAGGCCGAGGTTGCAGTGAGCCGAGATCACACCACTGTGCTCCAGCCTGGGCGACAAGAGTAAAACTCTGCCTCCCCCCCCCAAAAAAAAGAGAGAGAGAGAAAGAAAAAGGCACTATCTTGAAGGGAGGTTGCTTGAGCAAACAACGTACCTCCAAAGACAATTACTGAAATGGAAGCAGCTGATCTCAAGCCCTAGAACACGCATCACCTGTGCCTCTCACTGACTAGCCCTACTTGCCCTCCTTGTGTCCTACCCTGAGGACAGAAACAGCAGGTGGCAGAGCACCAGCCACAGTATGCACCCTGGGCAATCACGGCCTGGCCAGGGTGGCAAGTGAGGCTGGGCTCCAGCCCTCCCCCTACTTGCCAAACTGTATGCTCTGGTGCAGGGCTTCTCCAACGGGGTGGGGGAGGGGTGTGTGTGTTACCGTTCCTAATTTACAGGAAAGTGCTGTAGAGATTAGCAGCAACACCATTCAGAGCAGCTAACTTCCTCCTCTCCTCTCCAAGTTAAAACAGTGGGGTGCAAAGATCTGAGCGTGCAAAGGCCTGGGCATCGCCAGAAGCACCCCAGGGGAAGCTGGCAGAGCCACCCACCAGTGTTTGTCTTTCTCCATGCCATTTCCCCTGTACTCACAAGGATACCCTTCTCATGAGCAGGTGTGGCTTCTGTAGAGCTGGCTCCAGCCACCTTTTGTCCAGCTGTACCCACTTCCTAATTCCGGCACAGCTGGCCAGCCCTCTCTAAAGTGAGGTCACCCACAGGACTAACCTGTGTCCCAGGAGAGCCACGGAGGTCACATCACTCCTTCCCTACTTGTTCCACAGAAGGGCTGACGGAATAATACCCCTGTCCCAGCGCAGGCTGGGGACCCCAAGGCCTCCCCAGACTGTGAGGCTGGACAAGTCAGCAGAAACAGGAGCCACAGGGCCTGAGGGCCGACTGCGAGCAGGTGACTGACTTGGACACTGTGGCATGGCAGAATCTGGGATTTCTTTTTAGTAGAGATGGGGTTTCACCATATTGGCCAGGCTGGTCACTGACTCCTGATGTCAGGTAATCCTGTCTCAGCCTCCCCAAGTGCTGGGATTACAGGCATGAGCCACCACACCTGGCCCTGGATTCACTTTTAAAAATCATCCCTGGGGCTGTGCTGCAGGTGCTGTGCATAATCTTTTTTTTTTTTTTTGTGAGACAGTCTCACTCTGTGGTCCAGACTGGAGTTCAGTGGCGTGATCTTGGCTCACTGCAACCTCCACCTCCTGAATTCAAAGGATTCTCCTGCTCAGCCTCCCAAGTAGCTGGGATCACAGGCGCGCGCCATTATGTCCAGCTAATTGTTGTACTTTTAGTAGAGATGGGGTTTCACCATGTTGACCAGGCTGGTCTCAAAATCCTGACCTCAAGTGATCCACCTGCCTTGGCCTCCCAAAGTGCTGGGATTACTGGTGTGAGCCACCACACCCGGCCTGCTATGCATAATCTTATTGAAGTTTTCAACCAATGGATGTGGGATTACTCTTTCATTCTCATTTACAGATGGGGAAACTGAGGCACAGAGCAAATACATTAAGGGTCCCAAGATCAGAGAGCTCAAAAATGGTGGAACCAGGATTTAAAATTCAGCCAGAACTACTTTTAATCCCTACACTCTATGCACCTCAGATCTTCAGAGTCCTCGTCTTTTAAATGGGGGTAACAGCAGCAAGTCCTCAGAGGTGTCCTGAGCCTCAAAACACATCCTGGTTTGTAACGTCCGCAGCCTCAGCAGGGGCTAGGCACAGAACAAGCATTCAGGACCTGGAAGGTACCAGCGACACCTGGTCCTCCCTTCCCAGGCACAAGGCAGCCCCTCTCCATTCAAGCTCTGCCCCAGCCCAGCAAAGAGAGGGGTCCTCAGCCACTGCCCCCACCACTACCACAATCATACTCACCTCTCCTGGTCCATACGTGACAAAGGACCTGCCACGGCCAGGGAGACAGGCAGAGGCACTGCCACTCCCACTCTGCCCTGCCCTCGACTCAGATTCACCCATGGCCCAGCCTCAGGAGACGCTGCTGGGGTGTGGTGGCATGCAGAAGGGGAGGGGGAGGAGGCCTCTAGGGAGGTGGCTTTCCATCTGTCTGTCTGGGTGTAGCACCTCCTGGAGTTGGTGCCAGGCCCTGACCAGTTCCGCCCCATTCAGCCTTCCCAGAAGGGCTGGCACACGGATCCCTCAGCCTGACCAGACACCAGCCTCCTGTCATGAGCGGTGCTCCATCTCCACCACGGTGCCCCCTACAGGCAGGCCCCCCACACCTGAGCAGAGTCCACTTCCAGAACAGTGCTCCCTCTGCAGATGACACACTCTATCCAAACCCAGTACCCCAAAATCCCCAAGCAGGGACAGCAAAGGCAACGTTCAGCCCTGCAGGTGCCACAAATTCCAGCCCTGCCCCACAGTACAGCCTCTGAATTCAGGCTCTCGGCTCTGCTTTTAAGAGTTTTGGAGCAGTGGTTTCTGCGCTCACCCTGCCTCCTCCCGGAAGGAACCCTCACTCGGCAGACCTTGCACTCCCGCCTCCCCTCACCAGAACATCTGCTGGGCACTGAGACGGACACCATGGTCAGCCTGGTGCTTGATGAACAAGGATGTTTCCAGACCTGTGCAGCTGAGGGTTCGAGGGTCCACACCTGAAGTCTCATTAGGAGCCAGCAGGGTTAAAGGGGCTGAGCGAGTGAGAGGCAGACTCGCCAGAGGGGAGGGCCCTGCACACGGGAAGGAGAGTGGAACAGGGCCCCCAGATGAGGACTCAATGAAGACGTGGGAAGCGGGGTGAGGAAAGCAAGCCCCACCCCTCCCCATGTCAGTAACCTACACAGGCTTCTCCAGCACAAACACATTGGTCCCTACTCAGACACCCGGGAACCAGATCACACAGACACAGGCATGCGCACACACACACCCAGCTCTCAGTCCTCCTCCTCTCTGCACGCCCCCACCACCCCATGCCCACATACAGCTTCCAGGGCTTGAGGGGCTCCCCCAGCCAGGGCACTCTCTTCCTCCATTCCTCAGGGCTGGCCGTGGGCCGGGCTCAGCTACAGCAGCTGCTGCTGCTTTACCTCCCCCAGGCCCACTGGGTTCCTCCCACCCCAGCTCTGGCTCGTATAGACTTTGTTTGTCAGCTTGCAGGTCCCTGGGAGCTATCACCAGGCAGCCCGGAGCCTCTAAGGGGCAGGGAGTGGCTGTGCCAGCCCTCAGGAACCTCGTTCCTCCAAAGTCACGGAAAGGGGAATCCTGGGCTCCTCGCCCTCTGCCCAGCCAGGCTCAGCTCCCAGAAAGATTCTGGCACCTGAGAGGAGACCCAGCCACGCCTATGAGCCCCACAGGTGTGTCCCCAGCAGGCCTGGAGAGTGTCCCAGGGCAGCCTGTGGCCATTTGGCCGAGGGTACTGCAGAGCCTGCTGCCCCATGGAGGGCACTTCCTGGCCCGGCGCCCACACAACACACACTCACTGTCCTCTGGGCCCGTCTCAGCCTCTCTGCACCTGTGCCCAGTCCCAGTGACAGGGACTGTCCTCTCAGCCCACCCGGCACCCAAATCCAGGAACCTGCAAGGCCTTCCTCCAGCTGCCCCACCAGCCTGCTCACACTTTCTGGGCTCAAGCCCTGAGGCTTTAGCAATTTCAGGGTCATCTGCACCCATAACTGGGAGGGTGATGGGAGGGACAGATACCGGCCTGTCAGGGCCTGGTCACTACCTGGGGACAGAGGATTCCAGAGCCTACAACTGGTTCAACAGGTCTGGGCTATGGCCCACACCCACCTCTGCACACAGAAGCCAGCCCAGGGTCCCATGGAATATCCCAGGGCAGAGACACTAAATCAACTGAAGGCGATGCCAGGGGTCATGCCAAGTGCCTGAACTCTGGCTTCTCCATCATCTGTGAGGCCCCAACACCATGCCCTGCGTAATCTAAGGTCCTGGCCAGCGCCTCCTCCTCCTCCCAGCCCTGAGGAACCATCCTTGTCCTCAAGGTGGAAGAGCTCGGCCCTCAGTCCCCTGCAGCCTGGGATGAGCCCCACCCTCAGGGCTGGTGCACAACCAGAGGCTCTTCCCAAGGAAGCCTGGTGCCAGAAAACCCACACACTGAGGCACAGGCCAGACACAGAGCCTGGGAACACCCAGGAGAGCATGTCCCCCAGGGTCCCAGCCCCAACCGAAGCTGGGAGAGCCCAGAACCACCCGCCACCCAGTCCTCCTGGCCGCCCCTGCATGGCTGTTTCCTCCTGCCCAGGAGGAGCTGAAGGGATCTCAGCCCAGGACGTGATCCTCCCACCCCCACCCCCGAGAACACACCCAGGACTGGCAGCTCACCTGACCCTGCAGGGCTGCCAGTCCAGCTGTGCCCCAAAGAGAACATTCACTTCTTGCTCTATTTGGACAGCTGCAGGGTCAGCGATGCTCAGGAGAGAACGTCTGGTCACAGAGTGGGGAGTGCGGTGATCAGGGCCACAGGCCCTCTGATGGGGGTGGGCCAAGGCCAGAGCTGCATCCCTGGATGAGTGGGCTGAGAGGGGGCCCGGGACCAGCCTGGCAGGGCACAGGGAAAGGCTGCAGTTATTCTGCCCTCCTGAGCACAAGAGGAGTGGTCAGAGGGATTCTGGAACCAGGGCTGGGGCCTGGGGGAAGGCAATGGAAGCCAGGAGTGAGGGAGGAAATGGATTCCCCTTTTAATGGCATTTATTCAGTTACAGGCTGCGGCCAAGGAACAGCCTCCCACATCCAGCCCAACACCTGACCTCACCTCACCCCAGACAGGTCCCACGGCCCCTCCTCAGCCTATCCAGGACTGGTGGGAAAGGTCCAAAGAAAAGAAGACAAAGCATCCACAAGCAGAAGTCGGTGGCTGGACTCCACCCTCCCCTCCCCAGGAAGCAGGAGGCAGAACTGGGAGGTCAAGACCAGCACTTCCCCCTCCTGCTCCCACCCTCTCCTCCTCTCTGGCCCTCGTCTCCTGCCCTCTCCTCCCGGTCCCTGTGTCCTTTCCAGCCATCCCATCCTGGTGTCTCCTGGTCCCCATCTCCACCTCCTCCTCCTTTCCTCCTCTGCCCACAGCCCCTGGTTATGTAAGGGGCTTGGGAACACACAGAGGGAGCTTTGTTGTCAAACCAAATCCATATGGAGCCGGAATGGGCCAGCGCAGCTGTTCCCCATTCCCTCTGCCTTGGCAGGGTTGGGACTCCGGGCAGGGAGCCCCTGCACCCCGCCATTTTGGGAGATGGGGGACAAACACTTGCCCCAGGGCCGCCAGGCAGCTGAATGAGTGGTCAGGGATCAGTCTCCACTGTGTGGAACCACAGCAGGGGACCAGCTGGTCCCTAAGGCAGAACAAAGCCACAGTACAAAGCGAGGGTCACAAAGCCAACAGAGGCAAGCTCTGGGCTGGGGCAGGGCGACACGGTGCCGGGCCTGGGAGGGTGGGGAGTGTATCCAGACCCTCACACAGAACACTGTTGTGTGCTCACCTCAATGGGGTCTGAGAGTAGAAAACTGTGTTGGCCAACTCCCCTCATTCGAGCAGCTTCCCCTGGGAGAAAGAGCTCAAGAGAGAGGAGGGTGGAGGGTTCAGGTCCCAGGCTAGGGAAGCTTAGTCAGCCCATCTTTGGAGACCCTGAGGCCCCAGAAAGACAAGATCCCACCGTCCTTTGCAGGAAGATGTCCAAAGAGTTGCATGAGGGCTCAGGAGCTGAGCTAAAGATAAAAGCATTGCATACTTTGGGCAGGCACTGTCTCTTCGCCAAACTCAACTCCTGGAAGAGCCATTTTTGTTCGAAAATGCTGGAGCTGCCAACAGGAGGAGCTGACTCCTGCTCCCATGGGCTCCCAATGAAGGCTCTCCTGAACATTCCCGGCCTCCAGGCAACCCAACCCAGCCACCCCCAGAGTCCCAGTTCCACTATGAGGACAACCTGAATGCTGAGGCTGGAGAAAAAAGGCAGATCAGAGAAGCAAGGGCAAGGAGAGAATGCAGAGGAGGCAGAAAGGAAGGAGGAGGGATCACTGAAGATGGTGAGAAATCTAGGGGTGGAAAGAGAAGGCAGACAGAAAGGGATTGAAGAAGAAGAGCACGGCTCAAACAGGGACAGGAAGGAGATGGGGGCAGGAGGTCTAGAGAAACGGCCCACACTGCCTGTGAGGACAATCTCCCATACTCCATCAACACCCGCTCCTCGGCCAGCCCCTCATTCAGTCCAGCCCAGCTGGGGAGGGATTTCTAGACCACTCATCTTAGCCCACCCAGTCCTAGGGGCCTGGAGAACAGACCAGCTGAATGGGCCAGGCATAAGGTAGGGGCTGGAGAGGCAGAGAGAGAAGGGTTACTCCTGAGGCTCAGCCCAATTACCGGCTCCCTGCCTGTGGGGAGAGAGGTGCTCTGTGACCTTAAACAACTAAGTTACTTTTCTGAGTCTCTGCTCCCTCGTTTGCAATATGACAGCCAACCTCTGAGGCCTCTCCCAGCCTAAAAAATGTTTGTTTTGTTTGTCCATCACCAGGCTGTGAGACGTGGCAGATACTCTTACCCCAATTAACACAGATGCTAATTGAGTGCCAGAGTGCAAGACCTGCCCGAGGTCACATAACTGGTAAGTGGACGGGGACAAAGGATGCCAGGACAGCTCCTAGTGAGCCACCTGCCCCTCTTCCCCTGGGCCAGAAAGCAGACCCTCTTCAGTCTCTGGACCCCACCCTGGAATCCCAGAAAAGCACACCAGCCAGCATTTATAGAGTGCTGGAGTCCGGGCACTGGATGTTATCTGAAACATTATCCCATTAAGAAGTGTTGGCCAGGCGGAGCACGGTAGTTCACACCTATAATCCCAACACTTTGGGAGGCCGAGGCAGGTGGATCATTTGAGGTCAGGAGTTCGAGACCAGCTTGGCCAACATGGTGAGACCCCCATCTCTACTAAAAATACAAAAATTAGCCGGGTGTGATGGTGGGCACCTATAATCCCAGCTACTCGGGAGGCTGAGGTAGGAGAATCTCGCTTGAACCCGGGAGGCAGAGGTTGCAGTGAGCTGAGATTGTGCCACTGCACTCCAGCCTGGGCAACAGAGTGAGACTCCGTCTTAAAAAAAAAAAAAAAAAAAAAAGGAAGAAATGTTGGCCAGACACGGTGGCTCACTCCTGTAATCCTGGCACTCTGGGAGGCTCAGGTGGGCAGATTACCTGAGGTCAGGAGTTTGAGACCAGCCTGGCCAACACGGTGAAACCCCATTTCTACTAAAAGTACAAAAATTAGCCAGGAGTAGTGGCACACACCTGTGATCCCAGCTACTTGGGAGGCTGAGGCAGGAGAATCACTTGAACCCAGGAGGCAGAGATGGCAGTGAGCCGAGATCGCACCACTGCACTCCAGCCTGGGCAATAGAGCCAGACTCCATCTCAAAAAAAAAAAAAAAGAAGTGTTAATTTCTCGGAGAAGGAAATGGAGGCTACAGTGGCAGGCTGCAAGCTGTATCCAAGGCCATGCATGGAGGGAAGGGCTGAGAGCCTCCAACCTGCTTCTAGGAATACAAATCTCACAGCTCCATACAACCACCTCAGGCACTACCCCCAGAACCACCTACCTTTGGTTCAGCCTGAGCCCCACTGAGGTCCATGCTGGGGTCACCCCAGCACAGGGTTCCCTCCCTGTCACAGGCATAGGACCTGCAGGGAGTGGAGAACGCAGGGGGAGGAAGGGGGAGGAAGTGCCGGTGCTGGGTGGCCACGGAGGCTTCCCAGGACTGGGGCTTCAGTTGATACTGAAGGACATTTGCAGTCTAGCAAGGTCATTACCAACAATGCCCAAGCCATGTGAGGGGGCAGCAGAAGCAAAGGCGAGGAGGTGAGACCCCACACGGCATGCTACCAGAAAATGAGAACCACAGGGGGGTCACAACTGGAACTCAATGGGGGTTTTCAAAAAAAAAAAAAAATTAAAGCCAAGAAACCCTCTGTCACAGTTTCAAAAAAAAATTGAAGTGGAAACGCAATATGTACAAGGAATAAAAGTGGAGCTGTTCAGGAGGAGGCAAATGTGGGTGAACCCCTCGCTCTTCCAAAGCTGTCACTCCCTCTCAGGACCCAAGTGAGGGTTCCACCGTAGGGGTACCTTTCTTGGGCCTCAAATAAGGAGAGGACTGACATAGGGATTGGAGCTGAGGTCAGGACCTGTCTGCAGGGACCTGAAGGTTACTAGGGAGGGGTGATGGGTAGAGAAATGTGGCCAGCCGACCCTGTGGTGGGTGGAATGGGGCATGCACTCCTCAGGGGACAAGCTCCTGCCCATCCTCACCTGGGTTCCTGCCTGCCTCTCTGAGGTCTGAACAGAGACCCCCAAGGTGGCAGCACACAGATGGGGCCAGACCTTTCTCTGGCAAACAGCTCAACTGGCAAAAGGGAAACTTTTTCCCTTTGCCCTGGGAGGAGGAAGCAAAGTAAAGATGCAGCAAAGACAAATCAGCATACCTGAGCTGCATTTCCATCACTCATCACACAAGAATCTATTGAGTGCTTATTGTTTGCTAGACATCATTCCAGGCATTAAGAAAATACACCAGTGAACAAGACAGACACGCTCGGCTGGGCACGGTGGCTCACGCCTGTAATCCCAGCACTTTGGGAGGCTGAGGTGGGCGGATCACAAGGTCAGGAGTTCGAGACCAGCCTGGCCAACATGATGAAACCCTGTCTCTACTAAAAGTACAAAAATTAGCCAGGCGTGGTGGCGGGTGCCTGTAATCTCAGCTACTCAGGAGGCTGAGGCAGGAGAATAACTTGAAACCAGAAGATGGAGGTTGCAGTTAGCCGAGATCGCGCCACTGCACTCCAGCCTAGGAAACAAGAGCAAAACTCTGTCTCAAAAACAAAACAAAACAAACAAACAAAAACCAGCCTGGGCAACATGGCAAAACCCTGTATCTACAAAAAATAGAAAAATTAGCCTAGTGTGGTGGCGCATACCCACAGTCATGAGCAAGTCAGCTGCCTCCTCGCCTGCCCAGAACTCCGCGGATCCCTCAGCCTCTGCCCTCGTCAGTCCCTTGCATGACTTCCCTCCAAATGATCAGAACCCAGTGGGAACCCAGGGTATACCCCGGCTGGCCCCTAATTCTCTCCTGCCAGGAATCCCTCCTCCCAACCTGAGCAACCTCTAAGAGACAGGGAGGGCTGCCGGTGCGGAGCTTGTCTGTGGGCAAAACAGCTCACCATGTTGGAAGGAGAATTGGGTCTTTGGGAGCCTCTCTGGCCTTGAGCCAGCCCAGGACGGGCATCAAGGAGGGCCAGGCAGCCAAGGTGCTTCTGCCTGGCAGGAATCAGGATGCCAGACGCCAGGAGCAGCCACTTTGGCTGGGTTCCCTGTGCTTAGACCCCATAGGGCCCCTCCCCTTCCCCACGTGTGGCCGTGGTTGCCTTGCAGCCATGTGGGCGGCAGCCACATTTCCAAAGGAATAGGAGCTGCAGGCAGGCCAGATGGAAGCAATTGCCAAGGGAAAGCAGCAGAGGTGGGGGCTGGGGAGGCTGGGAGGGCCCACGGGGAAGGAGGGAAGGAGGGAAGGAGGGAAGGAGGGAGGGAGAAGAACCTTGTCCTGCCCCGCCCCGCCCAGCTGAGAAAGCGGACAAGCGTGTGCTCAGGGTACGGCCCGGCCGGGATGTGGGGTTCGGGAGAGCACTCAGAGGTCAGGGTTTGTGTTCCACCTTTGACACTAATACACTGTGGCCTTGAGCAAACCCCTTCACGCCTTTGAGCTGGGATCTGTTTCTTCATGGGGCAAAATGAGCAAACTCCAGGGGGCAGTTGAGAACTGGGCTGAAAAGTGAAGGTTTTGGAAGCAAGCCTGGATTTGAGTCCTAGCTCAGCTGCTTACGAGCTGTATGACCTTGGCCAAGTAACTTAATCCTTCAATCCTCCATTTCTTCATTTATAAATGGGCTTAATTACAGGGTTGTGTGAAGCTCACATGAAGGGACGTAAAGTGTCTAGCACATCTTTTTTTTTTTTTTAAGTTTATTGGGCCAGGCTTTTAATAAGTGCCTGATTGCTAAATGGTAATATTTTTGTTATTTGCTGAGGCCATTTTCATTATGGGGACAGATGTACAGATGTTCACCCATGCTGCAGTTGGCAGAGGACGCAGAGCACAAGTAGGGTCGCTGCAGACCAGCATTCCTTAGCACTCTCCAAACTGGTCCCAGCACTCTTTGGGGCTGCCTCCCCTAAACAGGAAAGCAAGATCCTGAGGACCCCAACCCCCATGCACAGGCTTGAATGAGCTGCAGGTGGGACAAAGGAACTCTCCTACTCAGGTGCTTCTGGGCTTCTGCAGCCAGGCCAGGCCTTCCTCACAATCAAGGCCCAGGTGGGAAACTGGAGGCCCAGCCAGACCCACACCTCACTTCAGCCCGAGCAGCAGCAACCTCCTCCCTGCTGGGCCAGCAGTGGCACCCAGGGCTTCAGTATAGGCAATCCTACCATCTTATCACATCCTATCACAGGGCAGTGTGGGGTACAGGGGAACAGAGATGGGGTTGTGGCCAGGCTGTAGGTCCCAGGTAAAGGGCTCAGCCAACACTAAAAACCCACAGCTCTGGACACCCACACCCTCTAACCCCGAAATGCAACAACCCAAGCAACCTTTGGGGGAATTCAGCCCCTGCAGGGCTCAGGGGCTCCAGTCAGAAAGCTGACCAGCACTTGGCTAGGGCCTGGGCATCGCACGCTGCTGCTCTCACGTGAAGCTACACTGACCACTTCCTCAGTCTGTAGAATAAAGGACATCATTCACACACCTCCCTCCCCGAAATGTGGCAGGGGTTGGGGTGATTCTGAGGCCAGGGACAGCCAGTAGTCCATCCAGGGCCACTCAGGACACTCATACAGAAGCCTCTGGGAAGGGGGCAACAAAGAAGAGGGGGTTAATAACAAGAGTCACCCAAATCTGCCTACACTCACCATTTCCTCCCGGCAACCAAAAGCTTCAGGTCAAGGTCGTGGGTCTTGAGTAGGAAGGAGGATCCCAGCGTGAGGGAAACACGGAGCGGGAGCTAAACCACCAGCAGGGGCCTGTTGCAGGGAAACGTCCAGCCGGCCCAGTGCGACTGAACTGAGGGGGCAGGAAGCAGGGGCTGTTTGCTCGGGGTGTCCCACCCTGCACTGCTGGACTGCCCCGCTCTCCAGCATCTAAGGTCCATCTCCGAGGGGCCAGGAGCTGGGCTAGGCTCTAGCGGCTGCCTTGATGGCAATCTGTAGGCTTGGACTTCAGACCCCACTTGGGGCCCAAGCTCCCTCTCCATCCCCTGCAGGCCCCCCAGCCAGCTCCTTTCCCTATCGGCCCAGGGTCTGGAACTTGGCAGGCACGGAAACATTTGTATTAGTCCAAGATAGAGGGATCCCTTCCCTCCAACAGATGGTGCAAACCTTTGAGCCATTCTGAGAAGAATTCCCAATTCCATTGGGACAACCCCAGGAGCAGCCTCTCTGAGGAGAGACCCAGAGAACGTGCCCAAGTCAGACCTGGGGTAGCCCCCAAAGCAAGGGCAGATGGTGGCCAGTGGGGAGTTAGGACAGAATGACAGCTCAAGATGGAGCACAGAAAGGGGGTTTGGTCTCTCTGCTCCTGCTGGGGAAGGGAGCCCTTTCCAGGATTAAAAGTCCAGAAAGGAGCAGATTCTTAGTTCTATCCAGAAAACCGGATTCTAGGAGTCTAACGAGGTTGGGAGGCTGGCGGGGGCACGGCACTCTCTTCCTGAGAAGCAGAGGGCCAGTCACTGCTTCCCGTAGGGAAGGCAGCCCAGAGGCACCTCAGCCTGGGCCGCCAGCTCACAGAGAAGGCGGCCCTGTTGTCTCTGAACAACAACCCATCCCCAAGCTAAAGACACCCACTCTGCCCAAAGTCCAAGCTGGCAATTTCCAATTCACTCTTCTAACTCTTCCTTCCATGTGCACCCTCACAACCTCGGTTACCATCTTGGAGTCTGGGGGATCTGGCCCCAACTCCTGGCAAGCTCCCCATGTCTTGACAGAGCCCAGGGCCCATGGGGCAGCTTAGGATCACCCACCCAGCGCAATGGGGCCAGGCACAGGAGCAGTCTGGGAGTGGGCCAGGAGCAGGGCAGGGAACGGTCAAGGGGCATTCCCAGACCAGCTCTCAGCAAGCAAAACAACCTCCCGAGTTCATTTCTAGGCCCCAAACAGCGGGCACGTCCCCGGAACCCACTCTAGAATTATCGGGCAGCTTTGGAGAGTAACAGCATGGGAGAAATATTACCAATAGTGAATATTTATACAGCTCTCCCTCCGTGCAGGCGCCTTTCAAAGCACTTAGCATATATCAACTCATTTAAAATCCCCCTGGCAGATGCCAGGGCCAGGACCTAGAGGAGGTGGAGTCTGTAGGACGGGTCCGGCACAGCTCAGGAGACAGTGACACGGGTGTGTGTCTCTTGTGAGAACTCAGCCTGTACCAGGCCTGTTCCCAAAGTTCAAAAAGAATGAGTCCGCCTGAGCCTGGCTTCCACGCGGTACCCGCCTCCGGCGGTGGAAAGTACAGGCTTCCCCAAGAGGCCTGTGGGGGGTGCCAGCTTGTGGGTGGCCATGAGGTCAGACAGGGCACAGCTGGGCACCCGAACACTGCCTACACTCCCAGCCTTCTGGCAGCAGTTCCCTTAAGCCAGGCCCTCAGGACCCAGGCTGGGGAGCAGAGGAAGCAGCCACAGTAGGTCAGGCCTCAAGCTGCCCAGACAGAGCCTCCCCCCAGGACTGGGAATGGAGGGGCAGTGCTGGCAGACATGTTGGCAGTTCTGGGCTGGCCGGGAGGTCCCTGCCAGCCAGGTCCCCGAGGAAACACCCACAGCAGACAGCTGAGCCCACTCCCCCCATCGCATCCCTCCCACTGCTCACCACCCATGCAGCCCTGAGGCACAGTGGCCTAGGCCTGACGACCCCCATAACGTGGCCCTAGGACCCTGGGCACAGCCGGCCTCCCACTGACAACTCCACCTTTGGGTCCTGCTCAGCGACCTTGCGACTCCTGCACACAGGCGGACCCCGCAAAGCCTGTCACCTCCAGCACAGTCAGCTCCCAAGTGCTGGACCTGACCGGGGTAGTTGTGGGAGAAACCATCGCTCGAGGATGCTGGAGGTGGGGGCCGCCGCTTCAGTCCGGGCGCAGGGCTGGGGGATTGGGGGCGGAAACTTTCCGCAGAACTGTCCCGCTTGCTCACTCCAAGGGAACGGAGAGGATCCGGCTTCCCGCGAAAATCTGGTCCAGGGAAAGGGACCCCGGAAAGCAGCTCCGCAGGGCTGTGGCAGCCCCACCCCGACCCGCGCTGCGCCCACGTGCAGGGCCCGACCCCCTCCGGGAGGCGCGGCGCCGGCTGGGGTCAGGCGGCCGAGGACCCCGCGGCTCCCCGCCCCGCCCCGCCCCGCGGGCCCCCGCGCACCGCCGCCGCGTACTCACCCTCACGGGTGGAGCGGGGCGGGGCAGCACGGTTCCGCGCGCAGCTCCGATCCGCTAGGCGCACCGACCGGCGGCGCAGCGCTGGCGCGACGGCTCGACTCGGCCGGGTCCCTGTCCCGGGCGCGGGTCCGGCCTGGGAGCGGGCGAGTCCGCCTGCAGGGGAGGCGGGGACCCGGGCCCGGGTTGGGGGCGGGGAAGGGGCTGGACACGCTTGCGCACACGGCGGCCCGACTCCCAGGAGCTCCCGGGAGGGGTAGAAAGGGCGGGGTGGAGGAGGGGGAAGGGCGGGGGTGATGCCGCGCGGTCGCAGGCTTGGGATGGTGTTCGCGCCTCCGAGACCCGGACAGAGGCAAGCAGGGGCGCCGTGGGTGCCAGAGAGGCGGAAGAGGAGGCCTGATGGGGTGAGCACAGGGCCAGGGCAGGCACTGCCTGTGAATGGCGCCAGGGTGGGTATGCCCAGCGCAGCCAAGGCGCTCGCTCCCGGGAACAATGAGAATCAAGAAAGGGTGCAGTGCTCTATCCCACGGGGAACGGTGTCCTTCCCTCACTGGGGAAACTGGGGCAGGGTCCTGTTCCGGGAGCCTATGCTTCCCGTGCCCCATGCACGCAAGGCAGCCAGTCAGTCCCCTGGGCCCAGACGTGGGCCCTTCCTCTGCTTCGGTTGGGGCCTGCTGCCCCTAAACTGCTCTCTCTGCACCCCTCACTTGCATACTCTTTATCTTGGCCTCAGAAAGTTTCTCAGTTTCCTTTCCGTTATTGAAGGCGCCAGGCATCCTGTCTCCAGGAAGAAACCCCTGGGCCCCTGACCCTGGTTCTTTGGACCCAGGCATCCCCCCAAATAAACCTGGGAACTGCCCAGGCTGAAGAACAGTTCAGAAGTCACCCTACAGGACAATCCACAGCCCCTTAGGCCAGTCCCTTTCACAGGTCAGCACAGTGTTTCCGGAGCCCCACGTATCAACAGCCCAGTGCCGGGAGCGCCAGGGGCTCCAAGGAAACTATCAGACCCATTCCCTGTCCCCAGGAAGCTTACCATCCAGCGGCACAGAGAAGGCTCACCATGGACTCCATTCAAGAACGAGGCAGGATAGGATGTGAATAAGTGCAAGGTGTGAGTGACTGACAGTAAGTGCAAGGGGGTTCAGAGAAGTGGCAGCTCCAAGCCTGCTTCTGCTGAAGCTGGAGGGCTTATCTGTCAAGAACCCCCAACTCAGGAAGCTCTGCTCCAAGTGAGCTGAGTAAGGAGAGTCTGCCTCCAAGTTGTTCCTCTGCAGGTGACTGTGCTCCATGCTAAATCATTCCTTGCACGGGCAGAAGCTGTTTGGCATTGCACCAGTGTCTGATTTTGTTTGAATATGGTGCCTTTGGCTTAATCAGTCAGACATGCATTCAACAACTATTTATTTATTTATTTATTTATTTATTTATTTATTATTTTGAGACAGAGTCTCGCTCTGTCGCCAGGCTGGAGTGCACTGGCGTGATCTTGGCTCACTGCAACCTCTGCCTCCCGGGTTCAAGTGATTCTCCTGCCTCAGCCTCCCGAGTAGCTGGGACTACAGGCGCGTGCCACCATGCCCAGCTAATTTTTGTATTTTTAGTAGAGACGAGGTTTCACCATGCTGGCCAGGATGGTCTCGATCTCTTGACCTTATGATCCGCCCGCCTCGGCCTCCCAAAGTGTTGGGATTACAGGCGTGAGCCATTCAACAACTATTTATTGCATGCCATCTCCAGGCCTGGAATTAAGCTGGGTATAAAGAACACAATGACTAAGTCCCTGCCTCGGGCAAGTCGAGGAAGAGGGAAGAGCCTCCTTGTTCTACAGATGGGAAGACTGGCCCAAAGGGAGTAAGCAGCTGCCCTTCATAACTAAGTGAATCTGACAGAACTGATCCAAGCGTCAGCCCAGCCTCTAAACTTGGCCATTTGATGAACTAGATCTAAGCACAGTTTGCAGTTCTTGCCGTGAATCACGTAAATGTCACTCTACCAGAAAATGGAACTTAAGAACCAGCATTTGTTCCTGGAGACCTGAGTTCCAACTCTTGTCTCTGCCACTAAATAGCTTTAGTTTTCTTACTGGGGTGGGGGGAGGGGAAAGGAAATAACTGCTTATTCAAAGGGCTATTGTTGGCATTAAATCAGGCAATGGATGCGAATTTGGTCTGAAAGCATAACCTGCTATATATAAGTGTGTGCTGTTACTATGCAGGTGGCGTGCCTTTTCTAACCTATAAGCTGTATTCAGGCCTCTCCCCCAGCTTATCCCAAGCCTGGTTACTAGGTGCCCAGAAGCTAACCGTAATTCTGCTCCCCTCAGGTTAGGCCACAATGTGCTTACTCATGATGATCTTTTCCCTCCAGTTTCTTAACAGCATGGCCACAAGCTTAGCTCACTGCCTAGAAGCCATGTCATCTTTGGGGCAGGAGGGAAGCAATTCTGGTGCCTTTCTCCTCTTCTCTTCTCTCTTTTTCTTTCTTTCTTTTCTTCCTTCCTTCTTTCCTTCCTTCCTTTCTCTCTCTTCTTGTCTTTCCATCTTTCCTTCTCCTCTTCTTTCTTTTTCTTTCTTTCCTTTCTTCCTTCCTTCTTTCCTTCCTTCCTTTCTCTCTCTTTTTCTTGTCTTTCCATCTTTCTTTCTCCTCTTCTTTCTTTTTCTTTCCTTTCTTCCTTCCTTCTTTCCTTCCTTCCTTTCTCTCTCTTTTCTTGTCTTTCCATCTTTCCTTCTCCTCTTCTCTTTTTCTTTCTTTTTCTTCCTTCTTTCCTTCCTTGCTTTCTCTCTCTCTCTTCTTGTCTTTCCATCTTTCCTTCTCTTCTCTTTTTCTTTCTTTCCTTTCTTCCTTCCTTCTTTCCTTCGTTCCTTTCTCTCTCTCTTTTCTTGTCTTTCCATCTTTCCTTCTCCTCTTCTCTTTTCTTTCCTTTCTTCCTTCTTTCCTTCCTTCCTTTCTCTCTCTTTTCTTGTCTTTCCATCTTTCCTTCTCCTCTTCTTTCTTTTTCTTTCTTTTTTTTTCTTCCTTCCTTCTTTCCTTCCTTCCTCTCTCTCTCTCTTTTCTTGTCTTTCCATCTTTCCTTCTCCTCTTCTCTCCTCTCTCCTCTCCATGTGCTTTTTTGGCCCCAGGCCCCCCTTTGGTGCAACTACAACACATGATGAGCGGCTCAGCAAGAGGCAGTAGGATGGGATAAGCAGGGCTTTGGCCCATGGGGACTGTTTCTTTTGGATGTTAACTGTGCCAAAGTGGGACCAAGGCAACCAGAGGAACAACAGGTCTTAGTCCCCTTCCAAGCCATCAGTGCTGCCTCCATTCCCATTTCCTTTGCCTCCCAAACTCTCCTGTGTTTCTGCTTGGTGGAAGTGGCAGGACACCTCTGTGCTGGGGCAACCAGAGGGGCCTCAGGAGCAGAGGGAGGAGCAGGTGCATCTAGATCTGGGAAGCCCTGGCCCTGCGGCCCCTCTCTGGCAGGAGTGGGTGTGAGCAGCAGCGTGGAACAGCTCCTGTATCATGTGCCACGTTAGCATCCTGCCCACCAAGAGGAGGAAACAGCAAGATGTGTTTGAGGAAGAAATATACCCCATCCAGCATCTCAGATGATTTTAAAAATAGCAACTCCAGGATGGTATTTCAGCTCCTATTTTTATCAGATTTATATGGCTGGACCATGGAGCTGAGCTGTTCCCAGGGTTCTCAGTAGCAAGGGACATCACTCTTGTAGTGTTAGCTGAAATGCATTCCAGGAACCTGTAGGCTGAAAGAGATCCTGAGAAGTCATTGCACACAGCCCCTGCCTCTGTTTAGGACCACAGTCAGTTAACCACCAAAAGTTTACGGCTTTTTTCCTTGAAACCTCTTGGTTGGCCAGGAGTGTTGGCTCATGCCCGTAATCTCAGCACTTTGGGAGGCCGAGGTGGGTGGATCACCAGAAGTCGGAATTTCGAGACCAGCCTGGCCAACATGGTGAAACCCCATCTCTACTAAAAACACAAAAATTAACTGGGCGTGGTAGTGGGTGCCTGTAATCCCAGCTACTCAGGAGGCTGAGGCAGGAGAATCACTTGAACCCGGGAGGCGGAGGTTGCAGTGAGCCGAGATTGAGCCACTGCACTCCAGCCTGGCAACAGAGTGAGACTGTCTCAAAAAGTAAATAAATAGAAACTCTTGGTTCCATGCGTAGTCTAGCATTTTGTAGCACTTCTAATCACGAAGTTATTTTTAATATTTGTTTGGTCTGTTATACAAAATGTAGACTGGATGGCTTATAAACTACAGAAATCTCTCACAGTTCTGTAGGCTAGAAAGTCTAAGATGAAGATGCCAGCAGCCTGCTTCCTGGTTCATACAAGGTCATCTTCTCACTGTAACCTCACAGTGAGAGGAAGGGCCTAGGGGTGACTCTGGGATCTCTTTTATGAGGCACTAATCCCATTAATGGGGGCCCCCCACCCTCATGGCCTAATCACCTCCCAAAGGCCCCACGATTGCCTTGGGTGTTAGGATTTCCACATATGAATTTTAGGGGAACACAGACGTTCAGGCCATAGCAAATATCTTGCCCAAATATCTCTAGTTCCATCCTTTTGGTCACTCTCAGACCAGAACATTTACTGAGTGATTACTATGTCCCACAAAATTCTTATTTAACCCTCAGAAAAACCGTCTGGGGGAAGCATTGTTATCACTCCTATTTCATGAGCAGTTATGTAACTTGCCCCAGATAAGACTTGGTTATGGCACAGATTCTGTGTTGGAGCCTTCAGACCACTCTACTTCCCAAGCAGGGGAGGAACAGAACATTAAAGATTTTCTTGGCCTTGGCTTTCATTTCTTCATCGTGGTTCTGAAAGGAAAATTGGCTACAGTCTTAAATGTATGTGTGGGCCCACGCTAGAAGCTCAGCTCTCAGTGCCAGCCACACTGAGCCCTGGTCTCCCTAACTTCCGGGCCTTTACTCTGCTTGTCATTGGGCTGATAACCAAGATCCAGCCTAGAGCACAAGAAGACAAACGCTGCGTGATCTCGTGTGTAGAACCTAACAAAGTGGAACTCACAGAAGCAGAGAGTAGAATGGTGGTTGCCTGTTGGAATGGGGAGATGGTCAGAGAATGCAAACTTTCAGTTGGATGGGAGGAAGAAGTTCCAGAGATCTATTGTGCCACATGGTGACAATAGTTAATAACAATGTACTGGGCGGGGGGTGGTGGCCTACGCCTGTAATCCCAGCACTTTGGGAAGCTGAGGCAGACAGATCACTTGAGGTCAGGAGTTCTAGACCAGCTTGTCCAACATGGTGAAACCCCGTCTCTACTATAAAACTACAAAATTAGCCAGGTGTGGTGGTGTGCGCCTGTAATCTCAGCTACTTGGGAGGCTGAATCGCTTGAACCCAGGAGGTGGAGGTTGCAGTGAGTCGAGACTGCGCCACTGCCCTCCAGCCTGGGTGACACAGTGAGACTCTGTTTCAAAAAAACAAAAAAAGCAATGTACTGTATACTTGAAAATTGCTCACAGAGATTTTAAATGTTCTCACCATTACAAAATGATAAATATGTGACATAATGCATATGTTAATTAGCCCGATTTAGTGATTCCACAGTGTATACATATAACAAAACATGTTGTACACCATAAATGTATACTATTTTTATTTGCCAATTAAATATATTTTTTTAAAGTTTTAGCCTGCAGGTTTAGCTTTTTGGGGCTGAAGCCCCATAGCCCCCTCCACTTCAACACACTCATCAGCATTGTAATTACTTTGTAATTAATGCCTGTGTTCCTACTAAATTGTAAGCTCCACATGAGCTCTGCCTCCAGGTGCTTGCAAAAAAACCAAAAGGGGGTGGGGGTAGATGCTCAAAGCCTGTTTATTAAATTGTATTGAAATTGAAACGCTTGAAACAGATTTCATTCCTGCTTATTTTCTAACAGTGGTTAAAACTTGGTAACTTCAAGTTGACATGGATTTCAGAATTCAATGTAATTTCAATAATATTATAATAGAACAAACTTAGGGTTGCCAACATTTATTTTGCTAAGCAAGGCTATTTTAAAAACAACTATCAATAATTATCTTATTTTAAAAAATACATTTTAACCTTATATATACATGTTTGGAATAAAAACAGTCCTTCCTGAGAAGGAAGAGTTGGCAGACCTACATCAATAAAATAAATATATTCAAATGCTTTGGATATGGAAGTATTACAAGAGAAACATTTTCAAGTATTACTTCGTATGTAGTTGTTTCTTATTTCTCAGTTCGGGGATCTGTATTCAACAGGGACATGGAATATGGAGCCTGAGATGGTATTTTTCTGTTTCATGTTGGTAAATAGAGACCACTCAGCAATTTTGCTCTATTAGGAAAGTTTGAGACAAATGGAGAGAAGCCAAGGAACAATAGCAGTCATGCCTCCAACTGCTTCTTTCCTTCTCCAACCAAGCCAGAAAGAATGTAGGCCAAGTGTTGAGGGCTAAAAGCCAGTCGTGGAGCCGTCCAGGATTTATCTAGGAAGGGTGACATCTGCCACTGCTCCAGCAGAGCGGGGGCATGGCATGCTTCTGAGGGCACACAGTTCAACACATGAGGCACTCTGCAGCACACAGGACCAAGGTGTCATGCTGCCAGAGGGGCTGGCATTTGCCATTTTGTCAAGGCAGGGCTGCAGCTTGTGGCTTGCTCAGGACAGAAGGATGTTGGGCTCTTACGAGATAGCAGGAAGAAAGCATGAGGTAGAGGGGCTGGTCCTTACTCTCCATCCCCTGCGTGAGATCCAGGAGGCCTCATTCAGAGCCTAGCTCTGGTCCTCCATTCGCCACATGTTTTTTGAGCACTTATAGGTGAGTCACCACCCTAGGTTCTGGGGAAATGGTGAACAAAGGGCCAGAAGTCTCTGCTTCCTGGAGCTGACGTTCACTCCATAATGCTGGACAAGACATCCTGAGCCCATTTCTTCGTAAAAAGGAAGGAGAATGTGGGTCATGAAATGATCTGCTATATGAATGTAGTGTTATAATGTTGCTTTGTCTCAAAGGTTGGTTTGCTGAGCCAGGTAGTGTCTTAGGGGCCAGGGATAGAGAGATAACTAAAACAAAGCTCCTACCCTCAAGACCCTCTCAGTCTAGTGAGGAAAGCGGAGAAACTCACAAATAGGAATAAAAGGAGGCACTATATTGCAAAGCTATCATCTTGAGTTACCTGGGAGTCTGATATGAAGGTCACCCTAATAAAGACAGACTATGCTTTTGGAGTCTCAACAGGACTTGGCAGAGCAGCCAACCCTGGTGCACTCTAGACCTTGAGGGTGATAAGCCCAAAGAGGGTTGGATTGAGGGAGGGAGCTGCATGGGGGCCGTGGCCGGCAGGGTCCCTGGAGATTACAGCAGCAGAGCACTGGCTGGCTCTGAAGGGGAACCCTTGCCAGGCCTCTAGCAGAGGCTTGTCTTTCCATGTACAAGAAAAGTTAAGTGGTGAGGCCTGGAGAGGGGCCCCCTTCTGTACTGTGGTGAAGATAAACGAGGCTGGGAGAGGAGTGAGGGGACGCTATCCCAGAGAGGCTCCTCCCCACAGAGTGGGCAGAAGGAAGACAGAACTGGCCAGCCCCTCGGGGGAGTCGAGAAACCTTCCAGAGTGTGGGTCCCTGTCTCCATGCCCTGCCTCTCCAGACCTGAGTGCCTGCCCTCTGCTGTGACTGCCAGCCTCGTCTGTCCTGTTGGGTGAACTCTGTCCCATCTCTCTTGCCCCTCAAACATTTATTTATCCGGTGTCAAATTCCTACCCACCTTCCTCCAGGGGCCAGGCGCTACGAGATGAGGGGAAGGAACGGCAAGGTCAGCGGGAGCCCGTGGAGTCAGACCCTCCAGCAGCACCACTGGGGGCTGGGCAGGAGGGCATGGGCTGAGGCCACAGGGAAGGGCTGCTCCACAGGGAGGCCTCCCTCTGCTCCGTGGCAGTTGTGGTGCTGGAGATGGAGACCGTGTTTGCTTGTTGGGACCACATCTGCTTTCAGAGGGGAAGCGGGTCACTTCTTTCCCCTGGACCTGGAATGGGCACAACTGAGACGCAGGGAGCATTCCTGCAAGCTGGACACTGCTCTGGGAGAAGACCTCCATCCAACCTCCTGCCAAGACCCCAGCAGCTGCCAGTGTCACTGCCCACAAAAGTATTTGCTTAGCCCAAGAAGGAGTCAGTCAGATGTGTGGTGGCCATGAAATGGATCCTGCTGATTCTCTGTCAGACCTCCCTGCATTGGTCACTACCTCAAAGTTCCTTGGCTGCAACTCCATGTTGCCTGAATCTAGGGACTGTTGACGTATTGCAGGGGCTGGGCGCGGTGGCTCACGCCTGGAATCCCAGCACTTTGGGAGGCCGAGATGGGTGGATCACCTGAGGCCAGGAGTTGGAGACCAGCCTGGCCAACATGGTGAAACCCCGTCTCTACTAAAAATACAAAAATTAGCTGGGCATGGGGGCGCACCCCTGTAGTCCCAGCTACTCAGGAGGCTGAGGCAGGAGAATCACTTGAACCCAGGAGGCAGAGGTTGCAGTGAGTCGAGATTGTGCCACTGCACTCCAGCCTGGGTGATGGAGCGAGATTGTCTCAAAAAAAAAAAAAAAAAAAAGAGCTGCAGGGAAGAATGGCTGAGTGGAGGCCAGTGGCTTCATTGTGCCTCATCTGAACTCCCTGAAGGCTGAAGCAGGTCCCTGAGGCTTTCTGACCACACCCTCCACTCCCCGGCTGTTTCTATTTTTTTAATTTTTTTTTCTGAGAGGGAGTCTTGCTCTGTCACCCAGGCCAAAGTGCGGTGGCTCACGGCAACCTCCGCCTCCCGGGTTCAAGGGATTCTCCTGCTTCAGCCTCCCAAGTAGGTGGGATTATAGGAGCCCACCACCACACCTGGCTAATTTTTCTGTTTTTTAGTAGAGATGGGTTTCACCATGTTCGTGATTCTGCTGTTTCTAAGGAGTCTCTCCCAGGACCATGGGGGTCCACAGCAGGCCCTGAGACCCTGAAGCAGGTTGGCTGCACCTGGGCTACCACCTGCAGTAAAGGGGCTAATCTCTGAATGAGGCTTCCTGGTTCTCAGGCAGGGGATGGAGAGTAAGGACCACCCACTGTGCCTCAAGCTTCCCCCCTGCTGTCACTTAGGAGCCTGCCATCCTGCCATCCCTGAGAGCTTCCCAAGCAAGGCACAAAATCCACAGCCCTACTCTGACAAAGTGGCAAACACCAGCCCCTCTGGCAGCATGATGCCTTGGTCCTGTGTGCTGGAGAGAGCCTGTGTGTTTACTTGTGTGCCCGCCCATACAAGCCATGTCCCTGCGCCGCTTGAGCCCTGTTGGCTGCCTAACTGCTCATCAGCCTCTGACGCTTTGAGGTCCCTTCCTGGTCTCAAGATCCTCTGAACATCTGCCTCTGATAGGCCTTGAACCCGAGCCGCCTCCGGGCTTTTGTATTCAACTGCAACCATATCATTTGCCCTTGCTGATTCACTGTTTTGCACTTGATCTTCTGGCTGCTTCATGTGAGTCTGTTTTGTCTTCCTGCCGAGATAAAAACTCAAGGCTGGGGACTCGCTGACCAAATAACAGAGCAAGGCAGGCTTTTCGGCCTTGCATAATCTGATTCTTATTAAAACCCGCCGATTTCCAGGCACCAAGCCCCTATCCTCGTCAACAAGAAGTTTATCAGCAGGGTTGACTGACTCACAGGGAGGTGTGACCTCACTGCTGGAAGGAGGAAGTGCCATCAGAAACCTGTATAGATAATTTCCTGAAAGCTTCCAAGTTTGGTTTTTTGGGGAACTCCTCAAAGGAGAGGTGGATGGCAGGGGAAGGAGGAGGGGTGATGGGGAGGAGCAGAATAAGAAGTTGTACAAACAGGAGAGGCACAGAGTGGGGAGAAGGAAGCCACCACGGACGGTGAGCCCTGGGGCTTGGAGAAGGCCCTCGGCACCCTTCCAGGGCAGCTCCCACCTGTCAGTTGAAACCACCACCTGGAGACTTTCCACCATTCTCAAGGCCTTCCCACAGGTTCTACCCACCCACTGTCCCCCACCATCTGTCTGCCTCCCAGGCCACGCTGTCCACACTGAGTGAGCCCGCTAGTTTATTCAATACTAGGAATAAGCCGGTATAAAATACATTTTTAGAAAATTCACTTGGAGATAAAAAATCTTGTCCCCACTCCTCCCCCAATCCCACACATCTGTGCTCTTCTGCCTGAGTTAATTCAGCTTTGCTGAGCCTCCTGCAAGAGCTTGAGCAGGGGGTCGTCAGCCCTGAGGGCGAAGGTGAGCGTGCGCTGCTGGTAGTGCCTAGGGTCACACTCCAAGTTCTCGATCACCTCAGCCAGCAGGTGGGCCCGCTCCACGCCTGAGCCGGGGGCCTCGAAGCCCAGGGCGGTGAAGTGCACATGCAGGTGGTAGTAGGAGGGCAGGTAGTGCAGGTATACTCGCAGATGGTCTCCCTTCATCCGGTAGCGCTGCAGGATGGCCTCCTGATGAGACAGGGGCAGGCAGGTCAGGAGTCACCGTGCTGCCTGAGGCCCGGCGCCATGTCCCCACCTAGACCCTCCTCCCATCTGAATCCTGGATTGGCCTGGGACAGCTCACAAAAACCCTCCAAACAGCTCTCTACCTGCTGTCTGCTTCAGCTTCCTCTGTCTTCTAGTCTAGGAAATCCACAAGTGCAGGTGACAGCAGCAAAGCTGAGACTCTCCCAAAAGAAGTGGGGAGCGGCCTCAATCAGCATTCCCCACCCCAACGTGGAAAAAACACTGGCTTCCTCAAACAGTTGCTGCTGGGAATCTTGGAAGGCCCAGTGTCTACAGACAGGCCCCAGATTCCCAAGACTATGGGGACTTTCATGATTTAGAAGCATTTCATCAGTCATGAAGTGGATGGGAGGAAGCCTCATTCTCTCTTTTAGCATAGCACAGGGTGGAGCTTGGAAACAATGAAGTTGGGGATGGGGCTATGCTGAGAACTTGGTGAAAGAGCAGGGACTGTGGAAGGGGTATGGGAGGGGCTGCTCCCACACAGACCTGGCGAAGTCTCAGCGGGCTCCTTGCAGAAGAGGAAAGCATTGACTTTGGCCCTGGCTCCCTTTGCCCACCTCCACCTTGCTCAGGGGTGGGTCTTTTTCTACCAACCTCCACCTTCAGGAGGCTGTGAGGCATAGAATTAAGCGGAGACTCTCATCTCCATTGTGGGCAAATCCCTGAGGTGGTCAGAGGTGAAGAGAAAAGTACTAGGGCCTCAGTGGGCTCAGTATATACCCCAGAACTGTGTTCTGCATTTGGAGCTCACCCCAGGAATCCCTGCAGCGGGGCGAGACCAGGGCCAAGGCACCCGAGGGGCTTCCTGGAGTAAGTGAGGTCTGTCTGCCAGGGTGGAGCTGTCTGAGCTGCTAGGGCAGGTCAAAGTGTTGGCCTGGCATCTCCCCAAGAGAAAGACACCATTCTTTGCCATTTGTAATATCCAGAGACTGCTTCAGGATCTGAACAAGTCACCCCACAAAGATAAAGGCAGCCAAGGGGTGGTGCCGTGGGTGAGCAGGAGGGAAGATAGATCGGGGCCCAGCAGCAGGGGAAGCTGGGTATGGGCAGAGCCTTGCCTCCAGGTCTGCATTAACACCTCGAAGCATCACTGGTCAAAAAGGGGCAAACCTCTCTCCTGGCTGGGCATCGTTGTGACTGCTAGCTCTGGCGTGTTAGGCAGAGCATCACATTTCAGAGTGGAAAAAAGACTCAGACCCAGCCCCTTAGGATGGTGGATTTAGAAGGGATCCATCTAGATAATGTGGTTTAGGGAGGTGAAGTGACCTGCCCCAGGCCACTCAGCTGGTTAGGGTCCAAATGTCAGGCCAGGACCACACCCAAGATTCTAGACACTCTTCCCCCATCTCCCCGTGCTCCTGGGCTCTGTTTAGAGCCCCGATAATTTCATTCAATTCAACAAATATCCCAGAGAGAAAGTATCCCAGAACACCAGGTGCTACAGAATTCAGCCTGTCTTCAATCTAGACAAGGAGACACACGTGTACACACATATCGAAGTCATGTGCCCATACTCCCAAGAAACTCTGGCATGATGTGGTTGTCATGGTTGTCATGAGAGAGACAGGTGATCCTGGAGTAGGAGGGGCCAGGACTTAAGGACCAGAGTCTATGGGGTGAGGGGTGGAAGTGCATCCCAGATGGAGAAAGGCCGAGGAAGGCGTGTGAGGGTGAGGAAAGGTGGCAGGACCAGGGACAAAGAGCCCTGCTCTTCAACCTCAAGAGCCTAATGGGGTCCCCAAGACTGGCATCCAGAGAGAAGTCTCTCCAAGATGGACTCTGGGAAAGGTGAGGAAAGGGGCCCAGGAACACACTGGAATCTGAGTCTAATTTCTCTGAGCTTCCACGTGGTTTGGTGAAGCCACTCACCTGCCCCTGGTGGAGGATGTTCCTGAGCAGCGGCAAGTGCTCCGGAGTAAGGTCGCGTAGGGATCTGATGCCCCGGCGATGGCAGATGGCGATCAAGTACAAGTCATCGAGCTGCGTAGAGAGCAAGGGGAGACCAGGCTCAGCAGGGAACAGACCTGGGGAGGCTGCCAACCCTGGAGTTCTCACGTAAGCCAGGAAGCACCCACCCCTGAGGCCTACAGCACCAGGAGAAACCCCGCAGGGCATCTGCATACCCCGGGCGTGTGGGATGGTCTTAAGGAGCAGGCCTACTGTGTACGCTTCTTGCTAGAGAATACCATGTGAGAGTCCTTTTTTTTTTTTTTTTTTTTGACAGAGTCTCGCTCTGTCGCCCAGGCTGGAGTGCAGTGGCGCAATCTTGGCTCACTGCAACCTCCGCCTCCTGGGTTCAAGCGATTCTTCTGCCTCAGCCTCCCAAGTAGCTGGGACTACAGGTGCGTGCCACCATGCTCTTTATATTTTTAGTAGAGATGGGGTTTCACCATATTGGCCAGGCTGGTCTCAAACTCCTGACTTCATGATCCGCCTGCCTCGGCCTCCCAAAGTGCTGGGATTACAGGCGTGAGCCACCGCGCCCAGCAGAGAGTTCTATATGCTCACTCCCCAGAGCTGTCGGGGCAGGGAGCCAGGAGGTTCAAGAAAGAGCAAGGGCAACTCTCTCCCTCCGAGAGTTTACAGTCTTATCGCATGTATGCAAGTAGCTCTACTGTAAGACACAAAATAATCCCAGTGCAGGAGGAAGGAAAGACTCTAGCTACCTGGATGAACCCAGGAAGGCCTCCTGGAAGAGAAGGCAGAGGATCAGGTCTAGAAAAAAGGTAGAATTTGGAGAAAGGGTATTCAGGTAGAGGAAACAGAGCAAAGACTCGGAGGCAAGAATGTATAGGGCATAGAATGTATACGGAAGGGGAGAGGAAGCAACTTGATTTGTTTGGAGTCAAGGCCCATGAAGGGGTGGAGTGGGGTCTGAAGGCTGAGAAGGGAGCCAAGGGCCAGCTCAGCAGCACACACAACACCAGGGCAGTTAGCTTGTTTCTCTCTTCCCCTATCGCACAGGATACCTTCCTGCTGTCCTTCCTGAGCACAACCTGGCTGAAAACCTGGAGGTCACAACAGTACAAAGAATCAAAGTCAAGATCTTGTGCCAGAGAGCAAATGAACTCTTCCTCTTGCTGAGAAAACCCACCCTGCTCACCTAAACCCTGGCCTTGCCTGGTAATTCCATCCATGCGCCTGGAAGGCCCCAGACATCAAGGCTCTGAGGGGCCAGGCACGGGGAGAACCCAGCAGTGCCCTGCCCTGCAGTCTGAGCTACCAGATTCCTTGTGAAGATAATTTGAGGACCATGACTCACCCAACCACATTTCCTGGGGCCTCAAATTGAAAATTCAGGATGGGCTTTTCTATATGACTGGCTGATATCCAACTATGCCATGGTCTTTACATGCCATGAACATTCTTTCCTGCCAGAGTTCTAAGAATCTGTGTTCTCTGCCTTAGACCTTCTGCAGATGAGCCCACAGGAAGCTCCACGTGTAGCTGAGCTACATGCACCAGGCCTCAGTTTGCCCCAAGTCCCCTGTGTACTCTCTCATGGCCTGTGGCCAAGAAATGTATTCTCTCACTTTGGACTTAGGAGTCCAAAGAGAAGCCCAGAAACAAAATTGCTTGAACTTGAATTTGTGTGCGTGCGCACGTGTGCACGTGGTGGTGAAGGTGTATGTTTTCGGCTGTTCTATGCGTCACTGTCACCAAACTCCCAAATAATAGTAACATTTGTTTAGATGATGTCTGCTGACAAATCACAAACACGACGCTAACTCGCAACTCTCTGCTCCACTGGCACAGAATAGGGCATGGAGCCTGGTGCTGGGTGTCAGCCCATGGTGTTGGGTGTCAGTTCACAGGCTGGGTAAGGGAGGGAAAATAATCCATTCTTTGATATTAGACATGACCCAAAATTTCCTGCTGGCAGCCAAAGGCCTCCTCGCTCAGAGAAGTCATCTGAAAAAAGCTAGCCCAGGGGCAGGAAAGGGCCTCAGGCTGGCGCCCCAGAAGGTGGCCCATCAGTCACTCTGGGAAGACAGATAGACATCGTCAGTCTCTTTTTACAAGTCAAGACAGTAAAATCAAAGTAATAGTTTCCTGGCAGGAAGAAAGAGAATTGCTGGAGCGTTGGAGAGCCATCTCTTAACCTCTGGGGTGACTCAAAGGAAGAGTTGCCTGGTCTGAGAACTTTAGACCAAAGAATTTAAATCATGTGAACTGAAAATGCATGTGTATCCATATATACATGTACATATATGTTTATATACCCAATATAGAAAGGTTACCAGAGACAAAGAAATAGCAACAATAGTTGTTTTGGGGAAGGGAAAGGAAGGGCTGTGGGGTGAGGAAGCATACTTTCACTGAATATCCTCTGTACTGTGTGCATTTTTGCCACATGCATGAACTAAACCTACAAGAAAATAAACAAATAAAAAAAAAGAACACACAGGTGATCCTTTAAGAGAACAGAAGAAGGGATGTTATAACCTCTAAGGAGGCACAGTCTCTAGCAAACAGGCACCTGATAAATACATGTTGAATGGATGAAAAAATGGATTATCTCTTTAATTCAGGGGCATCAGTTTGGAGACAGTAACTTCCAGGACCAGTGGCAGGAGGAGATTCAAGGTGGCTAGGAAAGCTCCTCAAAGCAAACACCAGGGTGCCTCCCTATCCCCAGCCCTTCCCTGTCCCAAAGACAAAGGATAGAAGCCCAGGCATGGCCTATCTTCCTGCTGGATACATTGCCTAATTCAAAGAGAGCTACCAATTCAGTGCTGTCACAAGTCAAAGATTTGAGACGCTAAAATACAGCATCATCAAAAGTCAAGTAAGAATTAAGGTCGGGCGCGGTGGCTCACGCCTGTAGTCCCAGCTACTTGGGTTGCTGAGGCACGAGAATTGCTTGAATCCAGGAGGTGGAGGTTGCAGTGAGCTGAGATCACACCACTACACTCCAGCCTGGGCAACAGAGTGAGACTCTGTCTCAAAAAAAAAAAAAGAATTAAGCAAATGTTAAGAAGGACCACACCTGCATCGCTATGAAGCAAAGTGTGACGTTTAAGCTGGCCCTTTCATGACCCTTGAGGACAAGTAATTCCAGCCCTGTGGCTGGCAGCCAGAGTGCAGCTCCTAAAGTCTTTCCTGTCTTAAAGGGGACAGAAAAAGGGAGGTTCCACTGGCAGCTGAAGCAGAGCCTGGAGGCACTGGGGTCAGAAGGACGGCAGATTTCTCTTCTCTGCCGTGGGCTCAAATGCATTCAGGGCTTCTGGAATACAGACGGACAAGTCTATTGTTGTCCCTCCATGACCTTAAGACTGCGATCCCCTGGCAAGCTCTTCAGTCTTCAAGAGTCTGGTGCGGCAGAAGGTCCTCCTCCTACCCCACACCTCTATGGCCCTGCTGGGATTCTCATTAACGGTGGGCCCCGCCTCCTGTGACCCAGGCTCTGACCCCGGATCTCTAGGTGCAGGGCAGCCCCACAAGACAGATGGGGGTTTGCAGAGCCACCACTCAGTTTGAGACAAGGGACCATCAGGTCCTACCTCTTCAAATGCCTACAGAGCCAGTCCTGGCTCCCTCCTTCAAGGCCTGAAGGTGGCACAGGCAGAGAGAAGCTGCAGGGAAGGGCAGAGTGGATGCAGGCGTCCCCTTAGCCTCTCACTGCAGCGCCCCACACAAGGAGAGCCCTCTTCTTTGAACTTACTTGGCTCTAGGGAATCATCGATCAATGCTGCAACTTCGGAAAATCCCTTCAAATTCTTTCCCACCCCTTGGGTCACATTTGGGAATTCCCACAAGCCTCTTGTCAAGAGACGAATTATGCTCACTTGCCTGTGTAACCCTGAGCCACAATCCCACCCCTTTACCCCACGTCAAAACTGAAGGTGTCATAGGCAGCCACAACTGGGAAAGCACAGGGAGCGAGCCCGCGGAGGGGCAGACGAGGCTCACTCCAAGGCACCTTCTCTACAAGAGTCTCTCCAGCCTTTGACGGGTGCAGAAACTAGACGGGCCCACCGAAAGCAGAACGGCACATCTGAGCCTGGATTACTCCACAGGTGAAAGTGCAGGAGAGAATATGTCTGTCTGCTCCCAGCACCCATGCCTGCCTGCCTACCTCGGCCTTATCCAGGCCCTTCTTCTGTTGCAGGCTGAGCACAGCCAGGTTCCAGTCTGTGTTAAGAACAGCACTCTCTGCAACACAGTGGCTCTGCCTGTTTCTGACCCTGTCAGGGTATAAAAGCTTCTGATACTCTCAGGTATAAAAGAGGTGGTGGTAAGTGATAACTCTGGTGGTGGGCTGGTCTGGGAGAGACAGAAGACCATAGGGAACTGGAAAGGGATACCTGTGAGGGAGGACGGCTCCTCCCAAACCTGCTCCTTAGGAAAGTAGGAGAAGCAGAGGTGCTTGGAGGCAGGGCACGGGGCCAAGGGGCCTGAGTAGAAGTCTGGGCTAAGCTACTCCACAGCTCGGGCTGAGGAGGAGATGCCTTGGGTTGGTCACCATGGTTCCTGCCTGCCAGTGCTTCAGAACACGGGCCTGCCTGGATCTGCTGGTGTCAAGGGGAATGGAGAAAATGGAAACACCCCACCCGAGGGCTCCAGATGCGGGTGGAAGCACAGGTGGCTGCCCAGACCACTTGGCTGGTAAGGAATGGCCTATGTAGTCATGGGCACAAACATCACCCCATTTTACCTCTTGGGTGGGAGGACAGCCAGAAAGGGCTTTAAGCTGACCCATTAAAGCAAAAGCACTTATGTATGACAGGTATCCACCCAGTCCCCACAGAGAGCTCAGGCCAACCCTTGTTGGTTAATTATAATCTGCTTAGAGACAGGCCAGCGTGAGAAAGAGGGCAGTCAGAAGGACCAGCACTTACAGCAGGGTGGCCAGAGATCAGGACATTCCAGCCAGAAACCTTTACCTGCTGTTGGTTCCACTTGAGGTCAGGGATGAGGACAAAACCATCAGAGGGATCTGGGTTCTCGAAAACAATCCGGTCCGCTTCAGCCTTCTTGTCGAGAATGTTATACACCCACTGAAAGGAGGGGGAGAGAGATGGTTCACAAATCCACTCATCACCCCTTGAGAGATACCCCAAACTGAGCTCAGGGCATTCCCTGGCCTCTCCAGGAGACAGAACCAAGCCATAAAAGGCCGCCACGCTCAGAGGATCTACATCCGGGCTGCCCTGTCCCCAAGCATCTGTTCTTAGGGGTCCAGAAGGGACTTCCCCCTTCCCACTCCAGCTGGCACTCAGCCATGCGTCATCACAAGGGTCTCTGCAGCTTGGAAGGGGCCAGGCTCTTCCTGGTCAGCATAGTGCACATGCTCTGCGGAGGCCTCCAAACCCAGGCTGTGTCTGCCCTCTATAGCAGTGACCCCCTCCACCGCTCACAGGACTCAGGGGAAGAGCTGCCTCCATGGATCCTATTTCACTCTATTCAGGACTATGGGGCAAAGAGAGGTAGGAGGCTGAGGGCACCACGGTTTCCTTCTGTGGAGGGGCCAGCTACCCACCAGAGCAGTGAGAGCCTTTGCCTCTAGCAGCTCATGTGTGCACGTTTCCCGCCGCACTGGGATTCTCATCAGCAGTGGGCTCAGCACCTCTGCCCGCCTGGAGCCGCTGCAGATGCCGGTTTATCAGCAGTCTCTGCTGACACAGACCCCGCATGGCAAAGCAGAAACGAAAGCTATGTAGAGACACAGAGACAGTGACCTCACCAAGACCTTTCAGGGCTACCCAGGGCTCCCAGCCCTTGTGTCACCCTTGGATCAGCTGCTGTCAACAGTCTGCAGAGGACCTTTCCCAGGCCTGTGTTGACCCAAGGACATTACTTTACAGAGATGGTCCTGGAGGCCTGTCTGAGGTTAGGAGGCTGCAGGAGGTTGGGCTGAGAAGGCCCCTGAGCTCACAGGCCTCAAACCCCAGTACCCCCAGCTCTCCTCTACTTCCCCCGGCTCTCAGGGCCCTTTGCAAACATGAACTCATGCAGGACAGTGAACTCTGCCCTACATCTGGGGGAGAGACCTGCTAGGAAACCAGAGAGGGGAGTGGCTGAGGACATACTACTGCCCCTTCCTCCTCACAGTCAGAATGGTCTCCGAGCTCACTGATGTAGGAGAAGGAGCCATGGACACGAGGTGGGATGGGGAGGCCAGGGAACCGACACTACCAGGCAGCCATCCATGGTCCTCCTTCCACTCCCAGAAGTGCTGGACAGGTAGCATCACCGAAGGCTAGAGGCACGGGGACTGCCTTATGGTCCACACAACCTCACACCTTGAGCCTGGAGGGCTGAACACACTGCATTGCATCCTCGCCTCTCAGCTGGGATGGACCGGGGGAGAGGGCAGCTGGGCCTCGAGGTCTCCTGCAACTCTCTACCCACAGGAAGCATTTCAGCTCAGAGGGCCCCAAACCCCTGACAAGACCCACAGGCCGGTCACAATGTGGTCCATTCACAACAAAAGACAGGCAGTTCCCAAGAAACCGAATGAGGCCCCTTCCTGGGAGGGGTCTGGAGGACACCTGGCAGCCACTTCCTCATGCAGTGCCGGGGCCAGAGCAATGCATGGCCAGTACATCCACAGAGGCATTTCCTCTCTGACCTGAAATCTCCTGGGAATGTGATGCCAGAGGAAGCCAGCGGAAATACAAGGGAGGGAGGGAGACGGCATTCCCTACAGACAGCCCCAACGCACCCCATAAGCAGGCCTCCCCACGGCCAGTCCCTGATTCACAGAAAAGGGGCATCTGCCTGTGACTAGTATAAGAGTGAGAGTGAACAGGTTCTGAGCCAAGGAGACCTGGTTTCATCTCCCAGCTGTCACTGGGTGAGCGACTGATGCCTCCTTTGTAAAATGGGGCTGATGATATCTACATAAGGGTGGTGAAGGTTTTCAGAGAACACGCACATGAAAGCACCTAGCACAGCCAGTATAAGGGAGACCCCCACGAGTGGCAAAGGTGGTGGGATGGTATGCCAGAGGCTACAAAACTGACTGGGGACAGGAAAAGAGGGAAAGGCGGTGAGAGCAAAGGAGGTGGTGAGAGAGGAAATAAGAGCGGGGCTGGAGGACGAGTGACTGCAGGAAGGAGTGATGACTGTGAGAGCAGCTGCACTCTGCCTGGCACTGCTCTCAGCGTCACAGCAACCCTGAGAGGTGGCTGCTATCATTGTCGCCATTTTTTTTTTTTTTTTTTTGAGATGGAGTCTTGCTCTTTCGCCCAGACTAGAGTGCAGTGGCGTGATTTCGGCTCACTGCAACCTCCGCCTCCCAGGTTCAAGCGATTCTCTTGCCTCAGTAGCTGGGATTATAGGTGCCCACCACCACACCCGACTAATTTTTATATTTTTAGTAGAGACAGGTTTTTTTGTTGGTTTTTGTTTTTTGTTTTTTCTGAGACGGAGTTTCACACTTGGCTGGAATGCAATGGCGTGATCTCAGCTCACTGCAACCTCCACCTCCCAGGTTCAAGTGATTCTCCTGCCTCAGCCTCCCAAGAAGCTGGGATTACAGGCGTGTGCCACCACACCCAGCTAATTTTTGTATTTTTAGTAGAGATGGGTTGCGTCATGTTGGCCAGGCTGGTCTCAAACTCCTGACCTCAAGTGAACTGCCCACCTTGGCCCAAAGTGCTGGGATTACAGGCATAAGCCACCGCGCCTGGACATTGTCCCCATTTTACAGTTAAGAAGAATGCAAGTGCAAGGAAGTTCACGCTGGGTCAGCCAATTCCAACCATGAGTATCTGGCTCCTGAGCCTGCACCCTGGGCCAAGGTACATCCTGTCTCCTGGGAGAGGCCTCTGGGACAGTGGCAGGGAGCTGCATCCACGGGAAGCCTCCAGGCCAGGGGCCCAGATAAAAAAAAAGGAGAATGAAAGAACAAAATTCACACAAACACAGAGAGCTATGTAATGGGGAGTGCCACCATCTGAAACCATGCCCAAGAACTTGGCCAGCCCTGCTGATAAACTGGGCAGAGGGTGATGCCATCAGCTTTCTGCAACTCACCTGGCTGGACTTCTTTGCAGTAGGTGACATTGGCAGCTCCCTCGGTACCCTCTCTCCCGCCTTGACCTCCCGTGAGACATCTTGCTCCTTCCTCATCACCTCCTGCTCTCTGCTTCTGCCTGCTGCCTTGCACTTCCCCTCCAGCCATGTGTGGCCTGGCCACGTCTCCCAGGTGTCTTAGCTCTGCCCATTGCTGTGCCTGTCCCTCTGAACAGTTACCTAGAGTAGGGGATGGTGGCTGCCATCCTGGCATCATTCTGTGCTGGAAACAATAGCAGGCACATGATATATGGCACCTCTCTCAATTTCCACAACACCCAGGAGGGAGGAGCCATTAGTTACATTTTTCAGACAAGGAAACCAGGGCTCCGAAATTAAGGACAATGTCACGCTGCTCTTAGATGACAGACTGAGAATCCAAACACCAGGCTGAGGTTGAAGTCTAGCTGGATGACTCACAAACAGACATTTGTAACTAGATGATCTCAAAGGCTCCAGATCCAGACATCCCACTGCAGTTTTTACTGGGAAGTTATAAGTACCTCACATCTAAGGAGCCAAATAGTATCTCTGGCTTAGGGCACAGATACTGGGACCAGACTGCCTGGCTTTGAGACCTGTCTCCAAAAGGGCTGCTGTGAAGAATAAATGAGGTGTGAGGCTGGGTGCGGTGGCTCACACCTGTAATCCCAGCACTTTGGGAGGCCAAGGTGGGCAGGTCACTTGAGGTCAGGAGTTTGAGACCAGCCTGGCCAACATGGTGAAACTCCGTCTCTACTAAAAATACAAAAATTAGCCCAGCATAGTGGCGGGCGCCTGTAATCCCAGCTACTTGGGAGGGTGAGACAGGAGAATCACTTGAACCTGGCAGGAGAAGGTTGCAGTGAGCCGAGATCACACCATTGCACTCCAGCTTGGGCAACAAGAGTGAAACTCCATCTCAAAAATAAATAAATAATAAATAAATAAATAAATGAGGTGTGATGCGCATAAATGCTTAGAGCAGTTCTTGGACTATACATAGTAAGTGCTCAATGAATTCCAAACTGAACTCACTGTCTTCCATGCAAACCCACTCTTCTGTTTCTGTCCCCTATACTGGGTCATGAATTATCCTTCTATCCACTCATCACCCAACCTCTTCCCTCCCCTCTGCACGTCAATCAGTTGCTAAGCCCCATCCAGCCCTGTGAAGACCTACCTCTTAAATTGCTCCAGAATCCTTCCCCACTGTCCCTACCTTGGTTCAGACCCATACTGGTTTTTCCCAGTCTTCCTGTTCTATGCTCACCCCCACTCCACCAATTAATTCTGCAAATCGGGCCATATCATCCACATGCTTAAAACCGTTTAGGGCACCCTCACTGCCTATGGCAACTGTTCTCACATCTGATGGTTGTCAGAAATATCAGAGAGAGAGAGAGAGAGAGAGAGAGAATTCCCAGCTCCACTCCCTGAAGCGTGAGATTCAGCAGATATGGAATAGTGCTCTGTGCTCGGTATTTATGAAAACCCCCAGGCAATCCTGATGGTAAGCAAGGTTCAGGAACTCCTGGCCCCCTGGACAAAGTCCACGTGCCTCCGCCTGGCCCCTGCCTACCATCTCAGTGCTGTCTCCTCTGACCCTCCAGCAGCCCAAGCCCCAGTCACACCAAACTCCTTGCAGCTCCCCCAAAGCATCGGATGATTCCAGCTCTGTGTGCCTCTGGACTTGCTCCTCCCTCCCCTTGTGCACCTGGTAAACTTCTATTTGTCCTGTAAGACCCAAGGGGAGGATCCTCTCCCTGTGAAGTCCCAACTGTCTGCGCTGGTCACTGTCCCTCTGCATCACCACGGTAGTTCGTCTAGGCATCAGAGTGCTTATCCCATTGTCACAATTGCCCGTTTACAAGTCTATCTTCCCTGTTACACTGTGAAGATCCTGTCTAGGTTTCATCATCTTGGTGACTCTCCAAAGCCTGGCATAGGACCAGGTCCATAGTAGGTACTCAGTAAACATAATGAGTGTTGCCAGTTAAGCTGAGTGCTTGTAAACTAGAAATAGCCAAGAAGGAATACATGAACGGCTCCCGTCAGTCAGGAGTTGGAAGAGTAGTGGAGTTTTCATTGTGCTCTTCTCCGAATGGAACTGCATAATGGTATATAATAAGGAATATACATGGCCAGGCACAGTGGCTCACACCTGTAATCCTAGCACTTTGGGAGGCCAAGACAGGCGGACTGCCTGAGCTCAGGAGTTCGAGGCCAGCCTGAGCAACATGGCAAAACCCCATCTCTACTAAAAATACAAAAAAGTAGCCAGGCATGGTGGCAAGCACCTGTAATCCCAGCTACTCACACCAACCACATCAGGGCTTCCTTACTTGAATCTCAGGTCTGCACAACCAGCACAACAGAACAACTGTTCCAGGAGATTCCCTAGGACCCTGAACAGCAGAAACTCTAAGAAGGTGGAGATATAGTTCCTTTTCACTTGGAAAACAGAACAAGTGCTGGGACTTTAAAAACAAACAAACAAACAACAACAACAACAACAAACAAGTCAGCTTGAGCCAGATGCACCCCACGCAAACTGCTGCCCAGGGAGACCAGGGCTGAACCAGGCTGGGGAAGGGGGCTGGCGGCACACAGGTCTCCCAAGGAAACTTCATTCCTGCAGGCCCTGTCAGCCTCCCTTTCCTTACTCCTGTCAAGTACAATTCACCTTGCAGTGCCCACACACACAGCGTACCCTCCCTTCTTCTGGGCCAGGGAGGAGTGGCTGTGAGTTCCTCACATCACAACACCCTCCACCACAGTGACCTGAATCTTGGGGAGAAAAGTGAGAAATGCTCGAAGAGAACAAGGGTGAGTGATAAAGACAAGGCACAGTGTCAGAGTCAGTGAGTGGGCAAGAAACTGACTCATCAATAAGCATCAGTCATATTTAACTCTGAGTACTCACATGGGGCCAGTTCCAGGCAGAGGCTCCAGTTGGCGCTGGGCCTAGGCCCAGGGAGGAGTCAGGATCTTGGAGCTAAATGGCCTTGCATCTGGCCTGGCCAGACGACTGCCAGCTTGTGAATGGAGTCCCTGCACCAAATCCCCGGGGCCAATGGGGTCCTGCCTTCTTTTGGACGAATGCAAGGGGGAGTCGGTGAGGGAAGAGTTTTTCCTCTGAGACTGAGATCCTGCAGGCCGGTTTGCCGCAGGTGAAACCAGGAATAAGAGTCTGGACAGGGTGGGACTCACTCAACATCAGCCTTTTACCCATTCATGGACCCAAAGCAATGGCACAGTCATCCCGAGGCTGGATCAAGGCTACTGCAGAGCAGACACACATTCTTCCAAAGGACTGGATTGCTTTGAGGTCCCCAGAGAGCCTCCATGGCATGCCCAAGCACATCAGGTGGGACCAAGACCAGCATCAGTTCCCCCACCCCCAAAGCCTTCTCTCGCCATGCGATATAAAATGGCAATTGCCCGCCCCAGGCCTTCTGGTCCCACTTATCCTGTCTATTTCTCTCTGCAGCCCTCATTATCTCACAGAGCACATAGATCCTGAGATATCTGTGTATGGTCACACACCGTGTGACTGTGCATGGGATGTAAGCTGCACGAGGTGGGGATTCTGTCCGCCATGCTCTCTACTGTACCCCCATCCCCTCGCCCAGCACAGCGCCTGGCCCCTAATATGACCCCAATAGACACTCGTAAGAGGAGGCACCAGCCACGGGAGCAGTGCTCTGCGTCTGAGACATGCAGCCAGTCACCTGGATGCTGAGGCTCTGGGACTCCAGGTGGGGTAAAGTAATATTCCTGTAGTCATCTCCCGTCTCTCGGATCAGGCGGAGGTCCTGGCGCAGGTACTTCTGCAGGTGTTTCTCTGTGGCAGGGTAAACCACGGTCGTCTTTACATCTGCAATGATACAGCACAGCCCGTGACAGGGAAGCAATGCCCACTCTCTATGCCACAGGCACCACGGTGAGGAGAGAACTCCCACCCTGGCTTTGATTCCCTGAGGGAAGCCAAAATCCAAGAGGATCATGCACCCAAGATCCACTCCCACAGAGTGCCTTGTGCCACTGCATTCACGAGCTGAGCCACACTCAGAATCTGGAAAACACAAGGTTCTTACCTGTGGGTCACTGGGCCCCTCATCAGGCAAACCCCAGCCCTTCCTGCTCCATCTTCCAGGCACAGGAATGAGAGGTCTCTAACTCTTCTCACATACCAAATTTCTAGGTATGTGGCTTTCTGGACCCAAAGCTGAAAATATGGCTTAAAGGCCGGGCGCAGTGGCTGACGCCTGTAATCCCAGCACTTTGGGAGGCCGAGGCAGGCGGATCACCTGAGGTCAGGAGTTCGAGACCAGCCTGACCAACGTGGAGAAACCCCATCTCTACTAAAGATACAAAATTAACCGGGCGTGGTGGCGCATGCCTGTAATCCCAGCTACTCAGGAGGCTGAGGCGGGAGAACCACTTGAACCTGGGAGGCAGAGGTTGCAGTGAGCCCAGATTGCACCATTGCACTCCTGCCTGGGCAACAAGAGTGAAACTCTATCTCAAAAAAAAAAAAAAAAAAAAAAAAAAAAAAAAAATATATATATATATATATATATATATATATATGGTTTAAAGCCCAGTAGTCCCCTTAATGATGGGCAGTGCAGCAGAGCGCAGTGGTTCCAGGCACAGACTCTGCAGCCAGACTGAGTTCAAGTCCTGGCTCTGCCTGCTCCTTATTCTGAATGGGACCTTGGCCCCACCCGGGAGCACGGTTCAGCTGTTTAACCTCTTGGTGCCCCTACTTCTTCATCTGCCAAATGAGGATAGTAAAAGCTCCTGTGTCATAAGGCTGGGAGGATTAAACAAGTCAATTACCTGTGAAGTTCTTAAAACAATGTCTGGCACACAGTAAACACCACATAAGTGCTGTGATGTTTAATCCAGGGTTTCTCAATCTCAGCACCACTGACATTTTGGCCTGGATAATTCTGTTGCAGGGGCTGTCCTGTGCATTGAAGGATGTTCAGCTGCATCCCTGTGGCCTCTGTTGGGATGTTAGTAGCACCCTCCCCAAGTTGTGACAACCCAAAATGTCTCCAGACATTGCCAATGTGTCCCCTGAAAGGAAAAAGTGTCCCCAGGTGAGAAGCACAGTTTTAAACTAGAAGGATGTCTTGCAGTTTTCCTAAACAGACTCTAGGCTAGCTTCCTGGTCCAAAACCACCTGGTTTTGGTTAAGTCCTTTCCTTTATTTTTAAAAACATCTGGTACAATTGTCATCATTACTCTAACATGTATACATTGTGTTTTAACATAGATCTTAGGGGTATTTCCAAATCAGCTTGGATCTTTCTCAAAAGACCCATGGTTCCCTCTGACTTTCTTAATCTGGGTTCGGATAGGCTCTCCCAGGGAAACCCGAGAGAGCTGAAAACCCAGCGGGCACATTTCACCACCACGAAGTCCTCATACTCACTCACACACCGCAAAACCCGGCTAAGAACTATCAACCTATACTTTCATATTTGGTCTGAGGTCATAGGTGGTTTTAACCCCGCTTTCATACGTCAGTGAAGAGGGTGGGCTGGGACTCAAAAGAGTCATCCAGTATCACACCGTGAAACGTGGCAGAGGCGAACCTGGAACTGAGGCCATCTCACCCTAAAGCCAGTGCTCCTGCAACACCACAGGCTACTTCCAATTTCTACTTCCAAGTCCCAGTGGGGATGCACAGAGATGACATACCAGGCACGTGGCTTCTGTCCCATCAAACATCCCAGGCCCTCAGCTCTGGGTGGCACAGCAGCACAGTGGGAAGACATGGCCACTGGCCCCAGGCTGGCCACATGACTCTCCATACTGGCTGTGTACCCTTGGGCATGGGGCTTAACGTCTTAGAGCCTTGGCTTCCTCACCTATTAAAGGGTGGTCATCAAATCTGCCTCACAGAGTTGTTTACATTCAATAAAACGTGTCAGCTGGATCACGAGTTGCTAAATAAATGTCACCCAATCCTGGGAATCCCCGGATCTGACCCTGAAAAAGGGGCATGAAGGCCTCCTCACAACTCTCTGAGGAGCAGCAAAAGACTCTTTCTTGCTTCTCACTCTGTTCTCTAACAGCTCAGCGTCATAGGTCATGGGCCAGAGGTCAGAGGTCAGGCACACCAAGATCTCAAGAGGCGGGAGACTGCTTGAAGTAGACTGAACGGCACCACCTTGGCCCTTGCAGTGGACCTGAGGGAAATCCATACATCTGCAGTGGAGCTTGGTGGATGAGAACAGAGATTTTGGAGCCAGTCAGCCTGGGTGCAAGTCCTGGCTCTGCACTTATTAGTGGCGTAACCTCAGGCTAGTGACTGACACTGTCTGTGGCTTCAGTCTCCTGACTTCTACAATCTGGGGTAACAATAACAGCACCTACCTTCCAGGGCTGTTGGGAGAATTAAACGAGTCAGTAGAAGGAAAGATTCAGGAAGTGCCTCACATGGAGAAAAGCGCTCCCCCCAGGCTAGCTTGGATTCTCTCCGCTGTTGCCTCCGTTGCCTGGGTTGGGCAGTGGAGCTCCCTGAGAGTGGGGGAGAGATGGGCAGGGCACAGAGGCAGAGCGGGCGCTGGAGAGCAGCCGGGTTCTGCGGGCAGGGTCACCCAGCCGGGCTCCCAGCCTGGGGCTCCTGGCTGCTCCAGATCAGAAAGCCACCCGGCCTGTGAGCATGCCCTGGTCTGCCGAGGCCTGTGGGAGACCTGCCCCAGCCACCCAGGGTGCAGGGAAACTGGCGTCTCACCCAGCCAGCCCCTCCCGCCTCCCCTCAGCAGCAAGAGCATCCACAGGTGCTTATTTTCCAACTGCTCACTTCCTGCCATCCTCCTGCCTTTCCTGAGGTGCACCTGCAGGGATGGGAACCTGACTGCAGGACTCTCAGAGCTCCCCACGTCCCCCTAGAGCACTCACTCCTAAGGGGCCTGGCTTCCCTCAGGTCTCCACCGAAAGCCTCAGTCAGGGCCACACTGAGGTGGGAGCTGCCACCCTCAAACTGTCCCCTGCTCCACAGCTCCCGCGCTTCCTGCCGTGGACTACGAGGCTGTTGGTCACCTCGCCCTGGCCCTCTTTCCACCTTCATGCACTGCCTCTCTCCCGCTTAGGGCCTCTGCTCCAGCCGCGCCGGCTCCCCACTGACCCACTAACTCGCGTCAGCCATGGGCTCCTCTCCAGGCCGTGCCCTGGCCGCTCCCACGGCCGAGCTGACCCTCCTACCCAACGAGCCACGCTGCTCCTCGCTTCATCCAGGCCTCTGCTCTGAGGCCAGCTCCTCAGGCTCGGTCAGCTCTGGTAAAACAGCAGCCCTAACCTCGGGGTCCTCTGTCTCCTCCACCAGCTTGCTTCCTCTTCACTTCTCACTCCCTCACAGCAGCAGGTGGATGGACTGTCTGACTCCCCAACTACTATGCAGCTTCCGGAAGAAAACAATTTGTCCCCAGCACCTGGAATAGTGCCTGGCATACAGTAAGCACTCAGTAAATACTTAGTGAACAAATGAATCAATGAATCTGGCCTTTTCGACTTAAACCCAGGAAGAGCATTTTTGTCCCAGATGAAATAAAACCTCTCTGATACAAATCAATATATTTCCTAATGCTAAGGTTTACGATGGCAGCCAAAAAACAATGAACGCTGGTGTTTACCTCAATGCCCGTCAAGATGTTGACCTGCAGCTGAACTTCAGGAGGAGTTTGGTCAGGAGTCAATGCTCAATAAACAATCAAACCATCAGGTGAAAACACGTTGGGAAACACGATACACAGGCACAGTCTCAAAAATATCTCCCATAGATTACTTATTAATTACAAAGGGAACACGAGTCGCTTTACAGCAGCAAAAGGCTACCACCTCGGCCAGGCCATGGGCGTCACCGTCACCCCTGCTGGGCACGCCGACATCATGTGCCTCCTGATCATGTGGAATTCTGGCCAAAAACGCATAACCTGAGTCCAGTCATGAGGAAATATCAGCAAACCAAAATCCAGGGGCATTCAACAAAACTAGTGGCTTTATAACACTACAAAAATGTCAAAGTTAGGAAGGACAAAGAAGGCTGAGGAATTGCTCCAGATGAAGGGAGACTAAAGAGACGGGACTAAAGGGATTGGATTAGATCCGGGGTTGGGATCCGGGGAGGGGCGCCCTGCACTGAAGCAACTGGCACAACTTAACTATGGACTGTATGTCACAGAAGTCTCATACGAATGGGAAATCTCCTGAAATTAATAATTTTACCCTTTTTTATATCCATCGTTATCATTATTCTACGTATATGTGGAGACAGAAAAAGCCAATGTGGCAAATGTTAACAGGTGAAGTCCTTTTATTTTGTTTTTTGTTTTTTTTTTTTGAGACAGAGTCTCGCTCTGTCGCCCAGGCTGGAGTGCAGTGGCGTGATCTCGGCTCACTGCAAGCTCCGCCTCCCGGGCTCACGCCATTCTCCTGCCTCAGCCTCCTGAGTAGCTGGGACTACAGGCGCCTGCCACCACGCCTGGCTAATTTTTTGTATTTTTAGTAGAGACAGGGTTTCACCGTGTTAGCCAGGATGGTCTCGATCTCCTGACTTCGTGATCCACATGCCTCGGCCTCCCAAAGTGCTGGGATTACAGGCGTGAGCCACTGCGCCCGGCCGTGAAGTCCTTTTATAAGGGAGTTCTTTGTACTATTCTTACAACTTTTCTGCAGGATTGGAATTTTTTTTAGTAGGAAAATTTTTTTTAAGGTGTCAATACCTTTCGGAACCTCAGCCCTATAACACTATTCTAAGCCTGACACGCAAAAATGAACTCATTTACTCCTTATGACCAACATGAACGGGTATTATTATGATTGCATTTTACATATGAGGAAACTGAGGCCCAGGGCCTGGAGTGGCCCCCAAGGACCCACAGCCCCGTGTGGTGCTCAGGGCCGGGACCCACACTGGCAGCCCCATCTGCCCACGGCAGGTCAGCAGAAGAGGCCCGGTGGCCTTGCCAGGCTCTCCCTGCCATACGCTGTCTGGCAAGTGGACTGAGGGCACCGCCTGCTCAGGATGAGTGATACCTGGCAACACCCCTGCCCAGAGCTCTTCCTGGTAGCCAGAGAACTGACCAACTCCCCAGTCCCACCCTCCTGCTGGGATTCTCATTATTTATTTATTTATATGTATTTTTTGAGATGGAATCTTGCTCTGTCACCAGGCTGGAGTGCAGTGGTGCAATCTTGGCTCACTGCAACCTCCGCCTCCTGGGTTTCAGCGATTCTCCTGCCTCAGCGTCCCCAGTAGCTAGGATTACAGGCCCACGCCACCACGCCTGGCTAATACTTGTATTTTTAGTAGAGACAGGGTTTCACCAAGTTGGCCAGGATGGCCTCGATTTCCTGATCTCGTAATCCGCCCACCTCAGCCTCCCAAAGTGCTGGGATTACAGGTGTGAGCCACCGCGCCTGGCCTTCCTGCTGGCATTCTCCAAACACAGCCTGGGATAACCATAAACCCTCAAAAATCTATCCCTGGAAAATCTTCACAATATATTAAGAGCACCTCCAACACTCCTTACAGAGTTCCCCTGTCATGCTTTTTAACACTGTGTTTGTCTTTTTAATTCAAATTGTACTTGCATATATGTCAAAGAGTCAAATGAAGCTTGTTTTCAAAAACACTTTTCTGCTCCTCCCTGCTCCCAATTTCCAGCTCCTTCAAAGGCACCACTTTCAACACTTCTGGCCACCTCTTTGGTTATATACTTCCAGAATTCTAAATTATACTTTTATATCTTGTTCCTACTTGACTTTTAACTTCTACTATTACTTACTGACTTCTCATTAAGGAAGATGAGAATTTATCTCTTTTTACCATCCCTTCACCAAATGCACACACATGCACAAACACACACATATACACAGATACTTCCTAACCCTCAACCTCACAGTACAACTTTACCACAATTTTTGATAAATCAGTATTCAACACTGATGCTATGATGATGATGTAAATGCTGTTCACTGCCATAGTTACTGTGATTATTTTCTTCTCTTCAGCATAATTTTTGGTGTATGGAATAAGTCATTACATTTTTACTGTTTAATTTTTTTTCTTTTTTCGAAACTGAGTCTCACTGTGTCTCCCAGGCTGGAGTGCAATGGCACGATCTTGGCTCACTGCAACCTCCACCTCCTGGGTTCAAGCGATTCTCGTGCCTCAGCAACCCGAGTGAGTAGCTGGGATTACAGGTGCCCACCACCATGCCCCGCTAATTTTTGTATTTTTAGTAGAGATAGGGTTTCACCATGTTAGTCAGGCTGGTCTCGAACTCCTGACCTCAGGTGATCCACCCGCTTCGGCCTCCCAAAATTCTGGGATATAGGTGTGAGCCACCGTGCCCAGCCAGAGAAGGCATCTCCACCCAAATTCTGGCCACTTGTTTAATTTTCTATAAACATGTCACTAATTCATCCCCAAATCCACTTCCCTGTTTACATAAATCTCCTCTTATGTGTTAAACTCATCAGGCAAGCCAGGCACAGTGGCTCATGCCTATAGTCCCAGCAATTTGGGAGGCCAAGGCAGGGAGATTGCTTGAGACCATGGATTTGTGACTAGCCTGAGCAACATAGTGAGATCCCGTCTTTACCAAAAAAAAAAAAAAAAAAAAAAAAAAGGCAGAAAAATTAGCTAGGCATGGTGGTGCATGCCTGTAGTCCCAGCTACTCAGAAGGCTGAAGTGGGAGATCCCTTGAGCTGCGAAACGGAGGTTGTGATGAGCGCAGATCTCGCCACTGCACTCCAGCCTAGGGGACAGAGTGAGACCCTGTCTAAAAAAAAAAACTCAACAGGCACATGAACAATGTGTCTTCCCAGAACTTCCGGTTGCCACCCCCAGAAGTAATTCTCAAACTTTAGTGTGGCATTATTATTATTATAAATCCAATTCTTGGAATTTTCATTAGGAAAACTGTGAAAATATTTTCAATTCTCTGAAATAATTTACCAAGTAGATCAGCAGATAGGTATTCAAATTTCCACCAGAGCATAAAACAGAAATCATTATGCACAATTATTTGTCAGTTAAAAATAAAATTTAAACATTATACTAAAAAAAAATTTTGCTACTGCAATCTGTTATGTGAATACAATAACTGTAGAAATACAACTTTAGGGCTGGGTGCAGTGGCTCACACCTGTAATCCCAGTACTTTGGGAGGCCAAGGCGGACGGATCACCTGAGGTCAGAAGTTCAAGACCAGCCTGGCCAATATGGTGAAACCCCATCTCTACAAAAACACAAAAAAATTAGCCAGGCATGGTGGCTTGCTTCTGTAATCCCAGATACTCGGGAGGCTGAGGCGGAAGAATCGCTTGAACCTGGGAGGTAGAGGTTGCGGTGAGCCGAGATGGCGCCACTGCACTCTAGTCTGGGCAACAGAGCAAGACACCATCTCAAAAAACAAACAAAAAAACAACTTTAGGGTCAGGTTTGGTGGCTCATGCCTATAATCCTAGCACTTTGGATCACCTGAGCCCAGGAGTTCGAGACCAGCCTGGGCAACATGGCAAAACCCTATCTCTACAAAAAATACAAAAATTAGCTGGGTGTGATAGCACATGCCTGTAGTCCCAGCTACTCTGGTGGCTGAGGTGGTGGGAGGATCGCTTGAGCCTGGAAGGTCAAGGCTGCAGTGAGCTGTGATCGTGCCACTGCGCTCCAGCCTGGGTGACTGAGCAAGACCCTGTCTCAAAAAAAAAAAAGAAAAGAAAGAAATGCAACTTTAATACATTTAGAATTGTTTGAATGCCTTACTTGTTCAAAGAACTTTCTGCATCATGTGTATTTTTTTAACCATTAAAGTACACCTGCTTTGAAAAATACATGCATCAGCTTGCATATATAATATTACAATGGAAATAAACACAATGTTTCTAAAGCTGAACTTTCTACCGCTCAAGGTAAAACAATAATTGTATTTTGAAAATTGTTTCCCAGATAAGAGGATTAAAAAGGTCTCTTGTAACTATTGGTAACAGTACAGAATTATCAAATTTGTAAACTGTGAATCACAAACTCAAGTTGTGCCCAGAGACATGGTGCAAGCAAGATATATTTTGAGACTTGAAACATCTGAAAATATATTTATTCTACTGTCACACTTAGGAATTTGGTGGCTGGGTGTGGTGGCTCATGCCTGTAATCCCAACACTTTGGGAGGCTGAAACAGGGGGGAAATCTATTGAGCCCAGGAGTTCGAGACCAGCCTGCGCTACATGGCAAGACCCCATCTCTACAAAAAATAATAAATTAGCCACGTGTGGTGGTACCTGCCTCTGGTCGCCACTACTCGGGAAGGTGAAGTGGGAGAATCACTTGAACTCGGGAGTTTGAGGCTGCCATGAGCTATGACTGTACCACTGGACTCCAACCTGGCAACAAAGTGAGACATTGTCTCAAAAAAATTTTTTTGCTTCTTGCTAAAGAATTTTAGGATAGACTGGCCAACATGGTGAAACCCCGTCTCTACTAAAAATAAAAAAAATTAGCTGGGCGTGATGGCACGCGCCTGTAGTCCCAGCTACTCAGGAAGCTGAGGCAGGAGAATCACTTGAACCTCGGAGGCGGAGGTTGCAGTGAGCCGAGATTGTGCCACTGCACTCCAGCCTGGCAACGCAGTGAGACTTCGTCTCAAAAAAAAAAAAAAAGGAATTTTAGGATAGAAAGAAAATCTGAATGCTGGCTGGGCATAGTGGCTAACACCTGTAATCCCAGCCCTTTCGGAGGTTCAGGCAGGCAGATCACCTGAGGTCAGGAGTTCAAGACCAACTTGGCCAACATGGCGAAACCCCATCTCTACTAAAAATACAAAAATGAGCCGGGCGTGGTGGTGTGCGCCTGTAATCCCAGCTACTAGAGAGAATGAGACAGGAGAATTGCTTGAACCCAGGAGACGGAGGTTGCAGTGAGCCAAGATGGCACCAATGCACTCCAGCCTGGGCGACAAAGTGAGACTCTGTCTCAAAAAAATAAAAATAAATAAAAATAAGAAGATCTGAATGCTGTTGTTGTGGAGTCTGAGATCATTATGATGCCCAGTTCTTTGTGACCTGTTTTCTTCTGTCTCCAATGCCCTGATGGTGTGGTTGGATCTCAAAGTGGTTTTATCTTCATCCATTGTGCTAGGTAATTGCTGAGCCCTTTCAATCTTAAAAATCATGTTCTTCAGACCTGGGAAACTGTCTTGAATTATTTCTTTAAAGACCTTTCTTCTTCATTTTCTCTGCCTTTTCTTTCTGCAACACCCATTTGGATATTTAACTTCTTGGATTCAGCGTCTGACTTTCTTATCTTTTCTCCATCTTCCATCTCTTTTGTCTTTGTGCTCAACTTTTAAGGAAGTTTTCTTCACAACTTCATCTTCTACTCTTCTATTTTTTTAATTTTCCATTTCTGCTGTATCTTTAATTTCCAAGAGCTTTAATAAAATTCCTTATTGATAATATTCTTATACATTCAATATAGCAGCATAATTTCTCTGAGATTAATTATAGTTCTTGAAATGTCTTCTCCCCACACAGTTTCTGTCTCCTCTAGGTTTCTTTTCCTTCCCTTCTTTTTCTTGTCTTCTCTTTTTCAGCTGAGGCTTTATTTAGAGTCTGCTCACCCTTGCCTGTCCACTCCCTCCTGAAGGGCAGCTCTGTGGGTGTCGCTGTGGTCACCTGGAGCTTCGTGTTAAGGTGGTCAGGCTGTTCTTTTGTATTAGGGAACCTCAATAGTTTAGGTTTTCTCTCGGGCTGGGCAGATTCTCCACAAATGACTTCCAATTGCACATATGGAGCTATAAGCCTGGCTGACAGTATTCTGGGGATGAGAAAGGGCAGCAGCTGGATGGGGGCCGGGGGATCACGGCAACACTGCAAATGCTCAAGGTGTAAACATCCACTCATCTCTCCACACCTCAGTGCCCTGACCCCACTCTCAGCTGTACCTTGAATCTCTTCCAGACCTGGTGTGTCACCCTTCGTGTGATTTTTTTTTTTTTTTTTTTTGAGACAAGGTCCCACTATCACCCAGGATGGAGTGCGGTGGCGCCATCTTGGCTCACTGCAACCTCTGCCAAACAGACTCAAGTGATCCCCTTGCCTGAGCCTACTGAGTAGCTGGGATGACAGGCATGCACCACCATGCCTGGCTAATTTTTGTATTTTTTGTAGAGACAGGGTTTCCCCATGTTGCCCAGGCTAATCTCCAACTCTTGACTCAAGGGATCTGCCCACCTCAGCCTCCCAAAGTGCTGGGAGTACAGGAGTGAGCCACCTTCCCTGGCTACCTGGTATGTCACCCTCTCCAGACATTTCTGCTCTACTCTCCTGCTGGGGCAAGGAAGGAGCAAGTTCCATATGAAATGGGAAAGCAGACTTGAGGGACTGCTGGCCAAGGTGTCATCTCTCAGATCCAGTTACTGCTCCTCCCTACGTATCCTAGGTTTGGAAATTTTGTTGTCTCCTCTCCTTTTTTTTCTGGAGACAGGGTCTGGCTCTGTCTCCCAGGCTGGAGTGCAGCCTCTATGTCCTGGACTGAAGTGATCTTCCCGTCTCAACCTCCCAGGTAGCTGGAACTATAGGCACACACCACTACACCTGGCTAATTTTTGTATTTTTTGTAGATATGGGGTTTTGCCACGTTGCCCAGGATGGTCTCAAACTCTTGGGCTCAAGCAATCCACCCACCTTGGCCTCCCAATGTGTTGGGATTAGGGGCATGAGCCACTGCACCCCGCCCTTGTAGTCTTGATGGGTTAATTTTTTTTTAAGAATATTCCTTTAATATCATTGTCAGAGCAGGCTATAAAGGAAGTAGGTGGGCATTCAAACTGTCCCCTTTGCACTAGAAGCCCATGTCCCTGTCCTCCTGTCTCCCTTATGATGCTTTACTTTCAATCTTTGCTGTTTGTTGCCACGTGACATACTTGCTTGTTCTTTAAGATCATCTCCAGTGGAACATCAAGTCCACGAGAGCAGGGACTCTGTTTCGTACACTGTGTGTGCAGTGCCTAAGATAACACCCGACACTGATTAGACCTCACAGTACAGTCTGTAGAACAGAATATATTACGGCCAGGCACCGTAGCTCATGCCTGTAATCCCAGCACTTTGAGAGGCTGAGGCAGGTGGATCACTTGAGGTCAGGAGTTTGAGACCAGCCTGGCCAGGATGGTAAAGATGGAGAGTCAAGACCGCCTCACTACACTCCAGCCTGGGTGACAGAGCAAGATTCCATCTCAAAAAAAAAAAAAATCTGAAAGGACATACTCTGAGATGTTAAGAGAGATCAATCCTGGATGATGGAGTTATATATATTTACATATCACTTGTGTAACAAATACGTTAAAAGGAAGCTACCCCTTAAAACTGAGCCCCAGAGATGTTGAGTAATTTGCCCAAGGACACACAGCTATTAATAGTGGCAGAGCTGAGATCTGAACCCAGGCAGTCTGGTTCCTCTATGCAATACTCCCGTATCCCAAAGGCCCAACCTCTTTCGGGCCGTTCCTAAGATACCTGTGCTGGGGCCATGTTTTCCAAAAGCAGCCCTATCAGATAGGAGAAACATGACTAGTTCCAATTCTTCCTAGAGACACGTAAACAGCTGTCAGCGAAACCAGAGGGCAAAATGAGGTGCCAGAGCAAGTGAGGTCCAGACAGGGGGTGTGGTCAGACATGCAGAGATGACACTGCTCATGCTCTGCTTGTGCCCTCCAAGATGCTTCCTGGGGAGCTCAGGGAAGGAGAGTCCACTCCCCTGAGCTCTGGAGAGCCGTGTGAGGACAGCCTTACCAGGGGATACTGTGGCCAAATGCTGCGGGACAGCAGGTTCTGGGGGGAGCACAAAGGGACGGAAGAGGACCTTGCTTCCAGACTGGCTCACAACTAGAAACAATAGCTGTTTTGGCCTACATTTGTGGTACCATCCTGTCCCCTACCACCTCCCCTACCAAGTATAGCAGTGTTAGATTATGGGGTGGGAGGCATGAAGGGGGAAGTCCCAGAAGAGGGGCCTGGTGGAGTTCAGGGCAGCAGCTCTTCATCTACAGGATGTTCTAGCGGCGAGAATGATGATAGTGATGCCTCCAGCTGAAAAGCGCCCCTCTAGGCATATGTTCCTTCTCTCTGCAACTCAGATGAGCAGGCTGATGTGCCCCGGACTAACACAGCTCTGACTTGTCCATCAAGACCCTGAGGATCTGCTGCAAGCCCTTCCCTAATATATAAAGCCACCCTTTGTCCCCCGTCTAGACACAAAAGCCCAACTGCTCTCAGAGGTGGGAGGCAGGGCTATCTAGAGGAAAGTTAAGAGCAGCTGCCTCTCTGCTCCCTGCCAAAGCTAGCTTAGCCAAATCCCCAGGAAAATGCTGCTGCACATGAAACATGAAAACACAAACCACAGACAGTCTGCTCTCCTTCCCATACACATGTTCAAACAAGACTGCTTTCCAGCCGTTGCTGATGGCTTCTACAGGATGAGCTCATCTCTATGGCTCAGTCTGTGGCTTTTGCTTCCCCTTTGCTCAGAGGAGCCAGCTTAACTTATTTAACCCAGATGTGCAGGCCCAGGAGCACTGAGAAGAAGCAACAGCAATGCATGATCTGAGTCGAAGCCCACCCGCCATGTCCTCTCCACAAGAGCCAGGCAGAGCCAGCCAGGGATGGGTCAGATAACCGGACTTCGCAAGGCATGCCAGAGAAAGCCTGAAAGAACGAGAGGTTGGTGGGAGGCTCTCCTGGATCTGCTTTCTCTTTCCTCCTCTGTGGGATGTCCCCTGGCTAGGCGACACTCTCCTCAGCCCTGGCTGCATGGTAACGGGGAGACCAGGCCAGAGGGTGGAGGGAAGGCTGGCTGCCGTGGATCTTAAGTCATCCTCTGGTCCCAGGCCAAGCAAGGCAGGGTGTTCTCTGTCCTACATTACAGAAATACTGAAAGTGCTCAAGTGAAGCCCGAAGAGACCTCCACATCAAGGATAAACACGGCTGAAGGGTGTGGTCAGGATCCTACTGGAAACTTCAACCACTCCACAGCAAGCCTCTAACCACTAATTACCTGTCTCTAGGAAAGCACAGAGCTGCTATTAGAGACAGAGGAGAGGCAGACGCTGACTTTAGCAAGACTCTGGATCTGACAGGCTTCTTGTACAAACCCTCAGCTCCTTCCCTCCCTCTCGCTAGTCCTCTGAAGTCCAGAAAGCAGAGGGGGTAGGGAGGCAACAGGACCGGATGGCAAAACTCCAGGGTCTCCTGGCCCACAAGCAAATTTGGTAACTCCAAATGCAGCCCTGGGGTGGCAGGAGAGGCCCTCAGTTACAATGGATAGAGAGTGGGAAACGCGACTTCAGGATGGCTGTGGGGCTAATGGCACTCTGCAAAGCTCCGTGTGAACAGGAAGAGCAAGAGCTAATGTGCAATGTGTCAGGGAGCTATGAAGTGACAGGCTTGGCCTTAGAGCCGCGAGCCCCCCCACTTCTCCACACACAGAAAGAAACTATGCTGGGGTTGAGCAGACCAGACCACAATAAAAGCTGTAGGATGAACACTCCAAAATATGGCCTCTCTCAACTTCCTGCCTGAAGGCATGTCTTTAATTCACTCTGAAAGGGGCACGGGTACCAAGTCTCAATGAATGTCACTGGACATGCCACACTGTGCTGCACTGTGAAATATGAGTGAACTCATGTGAATCAGCAGCCATTGAAAGAAACCAGCAGCCTGAATAAGGATGACCAAGATAAACAACCAGATCCCAGAGGAAATAAAATAATTTGAGGGTCAGGAGATAATTTTAAAAATAATTCTAATTAGTGTGCCAGAGAGATTCAACACAATTTGGCCTCAATAAAAAAAAAAAAAGAGCAAAATGCTATGAGAATGAAATAATCAGAGAACCAGAGAGAGGAGAATTTAAAATATGACTGTCAAATTAACACCTTCACTAGAAGGTCTAGAAGACAAAATGCAGACAATCTACCAGACTATAAGAAAGAGGCCGGGAGGCCGGGTGCAGTGGCTCACGCCTGTAATCCCAGCACTTTGGGAGGCCGAGGAGGGTGGATCACGAGGTCAGGAGATCGAGACCATCCTGGCTAACATGGTGAAACCCCGTCTCTACTAAAAAATACAAAAAATTAACTGGGCGTGGTGGCACGCGCCTGTAGTCCCAGCTACTTGGGAGGCTGAGGCAGGAGAATGGCATGAACCTGGGAGGCGGAGCTTGCAGTGAGCTGAGATCGCGCCACTGCACTCCAGCCTGGGTGACAGAGCGAGACTCCATCTCAAAAAAAAAAAAAAAAAAAGAGGCCGGGCATGGTGGGTCACACCTGTAATCCCAGCACTTTGGCAGGCTGAGGTGGGCAGATCACCTGAGGTCAGGAGTTCAAGACCAGCCTGGCCAACAAGGTGAAACCCTGTCTCTACTAAAAATACAAAAAATTAGCTGGGCGCGGTGGCGGGTGTCTGTAATCCCAGCTACTTGGGAGCTGAGGCAGGAGAATGGCTTGAACCCGGGAGGCGGAGGTTGCAGTCAGCTGAGATCACGACGCCACCGCACTACAGCCTGAGCGACAGAGCGAGACTCCATCTCAAGAAAAACATGAAAAAAAAAAAATGTACTTCAGCTAATCAAGAGAGTAAAACAAGAAAGAAACAGACGTAGAATACAGAAAACATCTAACTCACAGAAGTTGCAAAAGGAAGTCTCAGATTGAGACCTGAACAACTTGCTTAAAGAATCACCTGTCCAGATTGGAGAAGCAGGAAAGAGCTTTCTGGAAACAATGTTACCAGCAAGGAAGGAAATATGATGTAATACAAGGGTGTCCAATCTTTTGGCTTCCCTGGGTCACACTGGAAGAAGAACTGTCTTGGGCCTTACATGAAATATACTAACACTAACAATAACTGATGAGCTGAAAAAAAAAAAAAGAAATCACGGAAAAAATCTCATGTTTTAAGAAAGTTTATACATTTGTGTCGGGCCGCATTCAAAGCTGTCCTGGGCTGCGGGTTGGACAAGCTTGATGTAATGGATTATCACACTGGATAATTTCAAGAGCAGAGTAAAGGTACATTATTCCTTTAACCACAATGAAAAAAGAGGCAACTAAAAACTCCATGAAAAAGTAAAAGCTAATAAAACAGTGGTTCAAATATGAAACAAACTAAAAAGCAGCATGATTTGAAGGACTGTTGGAATGCAAGAAAAGAGAATCCACTCGACCTGGACATCAAAAGCACTCTCCAGCCAGGCGTGGTGACTCACATCTGTAATCCCAGCACTTTGAAAGGGTGAGGTGGGCAGATCACTTGAGGTCAGGAGTTTGAGATAGCCTGGCCAACATGATGAAACCCTGTCTCTACTAAAAATACAAAAATTGGCCTGGTGTGGTGGCAGGCACCCGTAATCCCAGCTACTCGGGAGGCTGAGGCAGGAGAATCGCTTCAACCCGGGAGGTGGAGGTTGCAATGAGCTGAGAGGTACCACTGTATTCCAGTCTGGACAACAGACTGAGACTGTCTCAAAGAGAAAATAAAGCAATCTCCTTTGAGTGGCATGGAGATGATACACTGGGCAGGTGGAGGAAAAACTAGAAACTTAGCACTCTGGTTGAGCATGCATATTAATATGGCCTCAATCATGTAAATACTCCTTAATGGTTTTACTGGTTTTCTTTTCTCTTTTTATTTTTTTTTAAGAGACAGGGTTTTGCTCTGCCACCCAGGTTGGAGTGCAGCGGCATAATCATAGTTCACTGCAGCCTTGACCTCCTGAGCTCAAGCAATCCTCCAACTTCAGCCTCCTGAGTAGCTGGAACTACAGGCACATACCACCACACCCATCTAATTTTTGTATTTTTAGTAGAGAAAGGGTTTCACCATGTTGGCCAGGCTGGTCTCGAACTCCTGACCTCAAATGATCCACCTGCCTCGGCCTCCCAAAGTGCTGGAATTACAGGCATGAGCTACTGCACCCAGCCCAGAAATATTCTTTTTATTTTTTTTAATTCTTATTTTAGGTTAAAGGGTACATGTACAGCTTTGTTTACAGGTAAATTGTCTCGCAGGGGTTTGGCATAGAGACTATTTCATCACCCAGGTAATAAGCATAATACCTGATAGGGAGTTTTTTGATCCTCTTACTCCTCCAACCCTCCACCCTCAAGTGGGCATTTAGGTTGATTCCATGTCTTTGCTATCATGAATAGCTCTACAATGAACATATGTGTGCATGTGTCTTTACGGTAGAGCAATTTTTTTAAATTTTTTTATTTTTTTATTTCAATAGGTTTTTGGGGAACAGGTAGGAACTTACGTGAATAAGTTCTTTAGTGGTGATTTCTGAGATTTTGATGCACACATCACCTGAGCAGTGTACATTGTACCTAATGTATAACCTTTTATCCCTCACCACTCCCCACCCTTTCCTCTAAGTCCCATGTATCATTCTTATGCCTTTTCATCCTGATAGCTTAGCTCCCACATATGAGTGAGAACATACAATGTTTGGTTTTCCATTACTGAGTTATTTCACTTAGAATAATAGTCTCCAATTCCATCCAGGTTGCTGCAAATGCCATTATTTCATTCCTTTTTATGGCTGAGTAGTATTCCATGGTATGATATATACCACATTTTCTTTATCCACTTGTTGATTGATGGACATTTGGGTGGGTTCCATATTTTTGCAATCGCAAGTTGTGCTGCTATAAACATGTATGTGCAAATATCTTTTTCATATAATGACTTATTTTCCTCTGGGTAGATACCTAGTAGTGGGATTGCCGGATCAAATGGTAGATCTACTTTTAGTTCTTTAAGGAATTTCCACACTGTTTCCCGTAATGGTTGTACTACTTTCCATTCTCACCAACAGTGTAGAAGTGTTCCCTTTTCACTGCATCCACACCAACATCTAGACTGAATAAAGAAATGTGGTACATATACACCATGGAATACTATACAGCCATAAGAAAGAGTGAGATCATGTCGTTTGCTGCAACATGGATGGAGCTGGAGGCCATTATCCTAAGCCAACTAAGGCAGGAACAGAAAACCAAATATGTGTGTTCTTACTTATACGTGGGAGCTAAACGTTGAGGACATACGGACACAAAGAAGAGAACAACAATCATTGGGGAGAAAAGCGGCTGGCCCAGCCATCCCCACACCCCAAAGAAGGGGAAGCCTGCAGAAATGAAAGTCCACAAATGCCTAAAACCCAGAAGTAGGAGGCTGAAACCAAATACCTTCACTTTGAGAACTGTGACTGAAAACCACACTTCAGAATGAGGATGCAGCCCTTGAAATTCATGGGACGATCTTTCTAGTCCATCTAAGGACCTGCCAATTTGTCTTACCTTTCAACTGGGAAATACATTATACATATAAAACACAGGTGTGTATGTATATAAAATATGTACCACTTAAAAACCTAAGTAAAATAAAAAGAATACATATGCTCAGAACACACAATCCAAGAAACAGAATATAACCAGAAATTTTAACATTCTCTCTGTCCTGCCACACCCCGACCAAGGATAATCACCTCCCTGATTTGGGGGTTAATCATTTCCTTTTTGTCCTCATAGTCTTATTACACATGTATGCATCCCTAGGCAGTATATTGTTCAGTTCTGCTTGTTTTTCAACTTTGTACCATTTTAATCGCACCATGTGTATTCTGTGTCATGCTTTTCTTGCCCTACATGGTGAGATTTATCCTTCATTGATACAGGCAGCTGTAGTTCATTTTCACTGCTGTAGCTAGGCACTGTAGGACTATACCTCGGTTTATCTACCTACTCTACTGTTATTTGATTGTTTCTAGTTTGTTCTATCATTAACAATGCTACCAAGCAAACTCTTCTGAGAATGACTTGTCTTTTAAAATGCTCCTTCCAAACAAGTCCTCACCCCTCCCTCAGGAGGTCCGGGTTTTGCCTCTGCAAATAGCACAGGGCGGAAAACCCTGGCCTGTGGCTACAGTACCGGGAGTTCCCTGCAACCAGAGAAACGATTCCCAGGATCCCACCCCTCTGCTCCCCGCCCTGGCCTCACTCACAAATGCCTGTCTCCTCTTCTGAACTTGAGATTTCACCTCCTGGTTTACACGGGGAAACAATTGGCCTTTGAAGAGGCAGCCTGGATTTCTGAGCCACACCTCTCTCCCTGCTATCTCCCCCTTCTTCCCCAGGTAAAGGAGAACAGACCGCAATAAAGGGCTCCATTGACAGGCCGCAGGGTGACAGCTATGGCAGAAAGGAGATGCAGGCCCTGCCCAGCCTGGAGGGTCAGAGGAAGCTCTCAGGTGCCAGCCTTCGGGCCATTAGCTCCTCACATGTGCCACACAGCAACAGGAAGAAGAAAGGAAACCTACCCATGGGCAGAGCCAGTCACTTTTCCATGTTATATATATTATTCCATTTAAAGCTCACATAAATTGAAAGGTGGAAAAAAATAAGAGGCAACACCATAATTACACTTATTGGATACAGACCATATGACAGCTACTGTGCCACGTGCTCTATACACCTTCTCTTAATGGGTCCTAATCCAGGACAGTGGCCATGAAGTCAATTTAGGGGATTAAGACCAGCATTTTAAAAAAGGAAACCAGCTGGGCGTGGTGGCTCACTCCTGTAATCCCAGCACTCTGAGCAGCCAAAGCGGGCGGATCACCCGAGATCAGGAGTTTGAGACCAGCCTGGCCAACGTGGTGAAAACCCATCTCTATTAAAAATACAAAAAAATTAGCTGGGTGTGGTGGCGGGTGCCTGTAGTCCCAGCTACTCAGGAGGCTGAGGCAGGAGAATGGCTTGAACCCGGGAGGTGGAGGTTGCAGTGAGCCGAGATCGCACCACTGCACTCCAGCCTGGGTGACAGAGAGAGATTCTGCCCCAAAAATAAATAAATAATTTTAAAAATTAAAAAATAAAAAAGGAAACCAATAAGGCTGAAACTAGATAGGAAATACTACAGAGTATGCCATAGCGGATGGGTAAGCATTGTTTAAAGTTTCACTTCTGGCCAGATGCGGTGGCTCACGCCTGTACTCTCAGCACTCTGGGAGGCCGAGGCAGGTGGATCACCTGAGGTCAGGAGTCCGAGACTAGCCTGGCCAATGTGGTGAAACCCCATCTCTACTAAAAACACAAAAATTAGCCAGGCATGGTGGAGGATGCCTGTAATCCCAGCTACTCGGGAGGCTGAGGCTGGAGAATCACTCGAACCCGGGAGGCAGGGGTTGCAGTAAGCCAATATCGCGCCATTGCACTCTAGCCTGGATGACAAGAGCAAAACTCCGTCTCAAAAACAAACTAACTAACTAACTCAATAAATAAAGTTTCATTTCTATTCATGTCTATTAGTCCATGTGTAATAGACCATAATGTGAAACATATCTCTCACTGCGGGCAGTGGCTAAAGTTGTGAAAACTTCCTTATGTGTTTCATAACCTACCCACTGAGGTAAGTTCAGTTTCTAACCTAATTTAACAGAAAATAACTGAAGCTACTTCCCCAACTTCATCTGTAGTACACACCCCTGCCACCATCCCACCCCATCACTCCTGACATAACAGCCTCATTTCTGTTCTTCTTTCCATCCCCAGAACACGTGCTATTCCTCAGCCCAGAGTGTTCTCCCCTCTTTGCACAGCTGGCTTCTTCCCATCTTTCAGGCCTCAGCCTGGGTGTCAGCTCCACTGCAGAGAGCCCTCCTAGAGCCCTGGTCTGAGTAGGCTCTCTCCTGCTCATGGCCACTCAGACATCTGCTTCCTTGTTTGCTGTCTGCCTTCCCCACTAGAACTGCAAAGACAGGGAGACATCGGTTATCTTCACCAACACAGACCTTGCTTCTACTAGAGTAGCTGGCACATAGCAGACACTTCACATTTGTTAAATGAATAAAGAAATGTCCCAGGTCCTCATGGTTAGCAAATGGCAAAGCCAGGATTCGCACCCAGGTCTGCCTGACGTGAGGCTTGTTCTCAGCACTGGCACTGTGCTAAAACTCAGAAACAGCATGTTGCTGCCCCAGTGCATGCCATGAGAAAGCATGAGTGCCCCAGCATGACTAACTCCTAAAGCCCATGCTCTCTCCATTATGTCGTTGGGATGGACATTGCAGCTGGAAGGATGAGTGGCTCACACGAGCAGCCTCTTGCAGTCAGCTGAGAACGTGGAGGGGATAAACGAATGAGGAGACTGCAAAACCTCCAGACTTGAAGAGGAAAAGAAAGTTGCCAGTGACCAGAGGAATACCAGAAAAAAATCAGCTGAGCCCATGATTTCTACTGTGGCCAGCTCAGAAATGAGGGGTGGGGGCTCCCCTAGGCAAACAGTATTCTAGGAAGGAGGTCTAAAGAAGCAGCCAGAGACAGCAGAAAAACTCAAAGGCACAACCATGCAGGGGGACAGAGGGCTGAGGCTGCAGGAACTGCACATTCAGGGCCCTCGGGGTGGGCAGCATTGAGTTGACTCCAAGGCTGGGACTGGAGAGGGAGGTCCCAGGCTCTGACTTAGCTGGCCTTCCCACAGAGGGGACAGCTGGAGTGGGCCACAGGACTATTTTGGCAATGCTGCCACCTTGTGGCTGTGGAATGCCCAGCCCACAGGAAAACAAATCTACACATAGGTCAGTTTGTGGGTTCATTCTTCACTTATTGAAAGCACCTAATATGGGCGACATGGCTCCAACCTTCGAGGACCTCACCCCTTATATCCAGGCAGTGACCAAACTCTCCTCTTTTCACCACTATGTCCCCACCCCTGACCCCAAACAAGACTGTGAGGGCAAGGATGGTATCTTACTCATCTCTGAAGCTACGGTACGCGGCATAGGGCCTGGCACATGAGACTAATAACAGCAGCTACTACTTAGTATTGTGCTCAGTGCTTTTAAGTACATTAGCGCATCGGATTCTTGAATTGCACCTATGAGACCTCCAAATGGAGATGTCAAGGAGGGCTTTATTTCAATATGAGCCCGGAGTTCTTGGAGAGGTCAAGGATGGAGAAATAAAGGTGGGCGTCGCCGGCATACAGATGGTGTTTTTTTAAAGACCAGTGCCTCTCAAAGTTTTACGTGCATATGGCTCACCAGGGAGTTGTGCTAAAATGCAGACTCCAGTGATTCTGTAGTCTGAAATGGGGAGGAGATTCTGTTTTACCAGACTCCCAGGTGGTGCGAATACTGCTGGTTCACAAACCACACTTTGAGTGGTAAAAATCTGGAACAGAGGTTAACAAACTATGGCCAGCTGGACCTCTATTTGTACAATCAGCAAACCAAGAGTGATATTTTCATTTTCACAGGGGTTGAGAAAAAGAAGAAGGAAGGAGAAGGCAGAAAAGGCAGAAGAAGAAGGGGTTGGGAAGGAAGATGGGAGGAAAAGAAGAAGAGGAGACAGAGACCATTTGTGCCTCACAAGGCCTAAAATATTGACTCTTTGGTTTTTGACAGAAAAAGTTTGACAATCCTGACCTCAAATATCACCCAGGGAAAAGCTATGCAGCTAAACAAGGGAGCAACCGGGCCCTGAAGCAAACCGCTGCGACTTCCAAATCCCCATCCCTAGTTTTGGTAGGAAAAGCAGGAGCGAAAGGCACCGCATGTACAGTCGGCCCTCCGTATTGTGGGTTCCATATCTGTGGATTCAACCAAATGAAGAATAAAAATACTTAAAAAAAGAAGGACATTGCGTCTGTATTGAATACGTACAGACTTTTCTTGTCATTATTACCTAAAAAACATGGTATAATAACTATTTACATAGCATTTACATTGTAGCAGGCAGGAGATGTGCTTAGGGTACATGCAAATACTACACCATTTTATATCAGGGACTTGAGCATCCACAGATTTTAGTATCCAAGGAGAGTCCTGGAACCAATCCCCAGTGGATACTGAGGGATGACTTATATACCAAGAAGGCAGGAAGGCCAGGGGCAGCGGCTCATGCCTGTAACTGTAATCCCAGCACTTTGGATCACCTGAGATCAGGAGTTCGAGACCAGCCTGGCCAACATGGTGAAACCCCATCTCTATTAAAAATACAAAAATTAGCTGGGCGTGGTGGTGTGTGCCTGTAAATCCCAGCTACTCGGGAGGCTGAGGCAGGAAAACCACTTGAACCTGGGAGGCGGAGGTTGCAGTGAGCCAAGAACGTGCCATTGCACTCCAGTCTGGGTGACAAGAGCAAAACTCCATCTCAAAAAAAAAAAAAAAAAGGGGCAGGAAAAGAAAAGATGAACTAACATCTGAGGCTCCCAGGTGGGTGGGGGTGGCCCTGGAGACACCTGGGGTTCTGAGTGGGAACAAGGACTTGTGGTGGGCCAATAACCCACTGCCTCTTTCAGTGCTTATCTTGGGAAAAACAATAGAAACAGAAAGGGCGAGCAGGGACTACCTCCACTTGTGTGCAATGCCACAGAAGGACTGGGAAAATAAAAAGGACAGCCTGTGAATTCCACAGGGTTCATCTGTCGGGCAGAACCTTCTGAATTTTGGCCAAGGGTGGGGAGGGTGGGTAGAGGGATTTCGGAAGGTGAGGGAAAGGGTGTGGCAGTAAAATAATAGCCCCTAGAGCCTGCAATGCAGGGGGCCACCCCAAGTTGTGTTTGGCCACGGTGCCTTCTGTCATTCTTCTGCCGCCCTGTGCTGAGGAATACATTTGCTTAAACGTCACTGCCTGAGAAAGGAAATACAGCTGTCCATTTCCATCAACTTGCACCAATTAATCTGGCTTTTGCTCAATGGAAGACAAGGCTGTTTTGCATTAAGTCATGAAAGGTTTGCTTGTCTCACCATGAAGTGTTCACATATTTCCAAAGGACAACAATAGCACCCTTTCATGGAGGGCAGAAAAGAATATCTATCAAAAGACTGTGGGGCAAGATATCTGCAAAGCCAGACCGCTCTTAAATGCTGGAGGGCAAACAAGAAGACAGAAGGATATGACAAAGTCACCATGTGCTGTAAAACAAATTCCAGAATTTGCTGGTTGGAAGGAATCTTTAAGGTCAACCAGTCTCACTCATGTTTCCAACAAAGCTGCCTACAAAATCTAACCATCTTGAGAAAAAATGCACATGTCACACCTGGCTTTTGGCATGGAATATTCTTTTTAATAAATTAAGAAATGCTTGCAATGAAAAACAAATCTCTGCCTTTTAACCCACGAGTTCTTGCCCTTCTCTCCCATCCCCCTTGATCTCACTAGTTGTCTCTCCCACCAGAAAGTAGGTTCCTTCAGGGAAGTGACTGATTTTTGCAGCACCAGACACACTGGCCGGCCCACAGAATGAGTATGGTGAGCAAGACCCCAGTCTACTGAAAAACCTTAGCTTTCCCGCCACCTACTGGCTGTGTGATTTTGGACAAGTTATTTAACCTTTCAAAAACCGGTTTCCTCATTCGTAAAGTCCTCCTTACAAGAGGGCTGTTTTGAGGATTAACTGTGTTAATACATGTAGATACAATAGTAAGGATTTCCTAAGTGTTGTTGACAATTTTTATCATTCAATTAGTAGATTAATCTATTATTCTGGCTGGGCACGGTGGCTCACACCTGTAATCCCAGCACTTTGGGAGGCCAAGACGGGTGGATCACGAGGTCAGGAGTTCAAGACCAGCCTGGCCATGATGGAAACCCTGACTCTACTAAAAATACAAAAATTAGCCAGGCGTGGTGGTGGGCGCCTGTAATCCCAGCTGCTCGGGAGGCTGAGGCAGGAGAATTGCTTGAACCTGTGAGGCGGAGGTTGCAGCGAGCCGAGATCGCGCCACTGCACTCTAGCCTGGGCAACAGAGCAAGACTCCATCTCAAAAAATATATATATATTATTCTATCCCATGAATCACACTCTCTCCCTAAAACATACTACACTACAACAAGGTTTCTCTTTTTTTTTTTTTTTTTTGAGATAGGGTTTTGTTCCATCACCCAGGCTGGAGTACAGTGGCACAATCTCAGCTCATTGTAACCTCTGCCTCCTGGGTTCAAGCGAGTCTCCCACCTCAGCCTCCCAAGTAGCCAGGATTACAGGTGAACGCCACCATGCCCAGCTAAATTTTGTATTTTTAGTAGAGATGAGGTTTCACCATGTTGGCCGAGAGTCTGGTCTTGAACTCCTGACCTCAGGTGATCTGCCCGCCGTGGCCTCCCAAAGTGCTGGGATTACAGGTGTGGGCCACCATGCCTGGCCAGGTTTCTGAGTTTCAGCACTATTGACATTACTTTGCTGTGGGAGCCTGTCCTGTACATTGTAAGGTGTTTAGCAGCATTCTTGATCTCCACCCACTAGATGCCAGAAGCAACACCCCACCACCACCCCCGATTCTGACAATCAAAAATGTCTTCACCGATGGCCAAATGTCCCCTAGGGAAGTAATCTCCCTATTGTACTAGAATATGCAAATCGGGTATAGAGAGTCTGGTCACCATACCACCTAATTTCCCACCATCCCATTCTCCCTCCATACAGCCACCCTGGCCACCTCTTGCTCACCATTCAGTTGTCTTGGAGGGAACAAGTGATAGGTGCTGTAGATATCATTGGAGAACTGCAACTGGAGCTCAGGGCTGCCCGTCAGGAGCTGAGCCACCTGTTCCACCTGAAATGGCGTCTTCTCCAGGATCACAACGGCATCCTCTCCATCCCCATCCCCAGAGGCCTCATTCACCTGTGGGCAGAGGCATCATCAGTGGGCTCAAGGGCAGAACCACGATGAGACTCTGGAGAGCAAGACAGAAGCTCCCAGGGCCTTTGAATTCCCAATACTTGGGATTTCCTTCCCTGAAGTCTTCCCTCTGGGGAAGTCTAGCCAATGGCACTCACATTTCACATTTCTTTTCTCAGAGAAGGCATCTTTTTTTTTTTGAGATGGAGTGTTGCTCTGTTGCCCGGATTGGAGTGCAATGGCGCGATCTTGGCTCACTGCAACCTCCACCTCCTGGGCTCAAACAATTCTCCCGCCACAGCCTCCTGAGTAGCTGGGATTACAGGCGCATGCCACCACATCTGGCTAATTTTTGTATTTTTAGTAGAGATGGGGTTTCACCATGTTGGCCAGGCTGGTCTTGAACTCCCGATCTCAAATGATATGCCTGCCTCAGCCTCCCAAAGTGCTGGGATTACAGGTGTGAGCCACCATGCCCAGCCAGAGAAGGCATCTCCACCCAAATCCTTGTGGCAGTTCTCACACCTTTCTTCCCCAGAATACAAGGCTTCTCAGTTGTCTTCCATTTTAGGCTTACAAGACCTCTGTCAAGTTCTCCCCATTTCAGAAGATGAAAAACAGACCTTGAGTGACTTGCCCAAGGTCACATGAACAGTCAGCATTGAAACAGAAACCAGAACCTAGGTCTCCCAAGTGACTCCTAGCTCGAAGGCTCTCATGACTAACACCTTCAACAGGTGCTGCACACTGAAGACAGCTGGGCTGAGAGAACCAGACAGAATCGCATACAAAAAAACAGAAAACAAGAAACAAAAACAAACAAACAAACAAACAAAAAACAACAAAAAACAAGGCCCAGCGCAGTCGCTCATGCCTATAATCCCAGCACTTTGGGAGGCAGAGGTGGGTGGATCACCTGAGGTCAGGAGTTCAAGACCAGCCTGGCCAACATGGTGAAACCCTGTCTCTACTAAAAATACGAAAATTAGCTGGGCATGGTGGCAGATGCCTGTAATCCCAGCTACTTGGGAGGCTGAGGCAGGAGAATCACTTGAATCCAGAAAGTGGAGGTTGCAGTGAGCCAAGATAGTGCCATTGCACTCCAGCCTGGACAAGAAGAGTGAAACTCCATCTCAAAAAAAAAAAAAAAAAAAAAAAAGGCGGGTGCGGTGGCTCACGCCTGTAATCCCAGCACTTTGGGAGGCAGAGGCAGGCGGATCACCTGAGGTCAGGAGTTCGAGACCAGCCTGGCCAACATGGTGAAACCCCCATCTCTACTAAAAATACAAAAATTAGCTGGGCATGGTGGCGGGGGCCTGTAATCCCAGCTATTGGGCAGGCTGAGGCAGGTAGAATAGCTTGAACTCGGGAGGCAGAGGTTGCAGTGAGCCGAGATCACATCACTGCACTCTAGCCTGGGTGACAGAGAGGAGAGACTCCGTCTCAAAAATAAATAAATAAATAAATAAAAATTTAAAAACCAGATACACACAGAGGCATGGAAGCCTAGGCCAAGGTTCCCTGATCCTCCCAAAGGTGAGAGTTCCTGCTAGTAGTTCTAGGGAACCCCCTTATCTGCCCTGGCTAGGCCTCCTCACTAGTTTCTGGGGAACCCCCATATCTGCTCTGGCTAGGCCTCCTCACTAGTTCCTGGAATGGTCTCCATCTCTCCTCAGCCCCTGCCAGATTGCTGAGCACGTTGGTATTGGAGCAAGCTGTGTGTATCTGTCTCGCCAGAAATATTCCGTAGTCCTGAAGATCAGGGATGGTAACTTTCGTCTCCACATCCCCAGTACCTAGTTTAGTGTCTGGCATGCATGAAAGTGCGTGCGTAGAACTGAATTAACAATTATAATATATTGTTCTCCTGTTACGGCTGAAGTCGCGTAAGGCAGAGATCACATCTCCTACAGTCTCATGTCGTTTCCACGGACAGGGATGAGCGAGACATCTAACATTGACTGGGTTCCTAGTCCCTGTATACATAAATGGATGATGAATGGCTTGGGGAATGTAACATGTGATCTTTAATCTGCAATGCACTCTCCCAGTAGATATTTCTAGTGGAGACATTAGAAAAATTAGAGCTAGATGTGTTCATTGCCTTAATTTCAAAGGCAATCTTGCCGCCTTTCACCGCCCCTCTATGCATTCTAGTGGCGCACTCCCGCCTCCCCGGAGTGATAATGATTGGTATTTTCCAGCCGAGATCCGAAAAAAAAAAATCTGCCTCCGAGGCGATGATTGGTTCACTGCTTCCCGCATCCCACCTCAGGGTTGCCTCCTGGTACCTTCCCGTGTAGGAAAATGATTTTGTCCCGCGCAGACTCCCTCAGCACCTTCTGCAGTCTGAAGCCGGAGAACGGTAAGCGGACAGGAGCACAGGTACCATTTCCAACTCCTGCCTCCTTTTCCTCTGTGCTGGCGGCGTGGGCCTCCTCCACGTCCAATTCGCGCTTCCTCTTGCCTAGTTGAGGAGCTGCGTCCGCCATGCTGCCGCGGAGGCGGTGTGCGCCTGCGCCCCCTGCGCTGGCCCCGCCCCTAGCCCGAGTCCAGCGGCCTGGCTGGGCTGCTAACTCCCGGCCTACCCTGCTCTGGCACCCGCTCCTGCGGGATGCGTGCCGCGCATGGCGGAGCCCGCTGACCTGTCCCAGGGCGCGCCTTTCAACCGAGTTACTGCCTTTGGCCCCGTTGTGGTGCCGGCCGGCCCTCAGGGAAGGGAAAAGAAGGCTGAGAGTCCCGAAAGCGGCGGGCTAGAGGTGGCTGCGCAGTGAAGAGGGACCCCCAGGCCCACGCCCCGGGGTGGGAGCCGAAGACGCCCTTGGGCCACGGTAGTGTTGGAGCCCTTGTTTGAATACTGACATTTTAATCATAGTTACACCGACGTTGACCAATTATCGGGGAAGCAACGTTTCTGACGCAAATCCGTGAGCCCATTTGATTCCTTGGTCGATTTTTTATACCGAGTATTTAAGCCATTTCCATTTTTCTCCCATTTTAATTACTTTGCAGAAATTTTCATCGTGGTCAGTTTTTTACTTTGTAGACTCAGTACTTTTCTGCTGACAAAAAAGGTAAACGAATATGGCCAGAAGAACCATCTCCACCACCCACTTATTTCCGGGCTAGAGGCATCCCCCTCCTCTCTATTTTGTTTACCTGTATTTCTGCCCTGCTACCCAGGGATATGATTTGCAGTATGATTCGTCTCCCAGGGTTTCGTTTCTCTTTTTTTTTTTTTTTTTTTTTTTTTTTGCCATATAAAATTATTACTTGTAACTTCTGCTGTTGAGGGTTTCTTTGGTGACCATTGTTTCTGGTTAGCCCGTTTTTCACTGGTGTTATTTAACAGATCTAAATTTTGTGAAGAGTTGGTACTTACGGACAGGCGCGGTGGCTCACGCCTGTAATTCCAGCACTTCGAGAGGTCGAGGTGGACGGATCACGAGGTTAAGATACCGAGACCATCCTGGCCAACATGGTGAAACCCCGTCTCTACTAAAAATACAAAAATTACCCGGGCGTGGTGGCCCGCGCCTGTAGTCCCAGCTACTCGGGAGGCTGAGGCAGGAAAATCGCTTGAACGCGGGCGGAGTATTGTAGTGAGCCGAGATCGCACCACTGCACTCCACCCTGGCGACAGAGCGAGACTACGTCTCAAAGAAAAAAAAAAAGAGTTGGTACTTACATCGCTTCAGTCAGCCACACATTTATTTTGCCAGTGATTTGAGTTTAGGTTTTCAGACAGATCTCATGGGTGTGGGACAGTTTTTGCCATTCTCAACGTTAGCAACAAGATGCAATTTACAGTCAGTTTTTGGTCAATAACAAAGTGTACCATGTGTTAGTTTGATTTTTGGATTACTTCTACCAGAAATATAGATTAGGAGTTGGATAAAAGACTACTTTAGGCCAGGCGCGGTGGCTCATGCCTGTAATCCCAGCACTTTGGGAGGCCGAGGTGGGCGGATCACGAGGTCAGGAGATCGAGACCATCCTGGCTAACGTGGTGAAACTCCGTCTCTACTAAAGATACAAAAAAATTAGCCAGGCGTGGTGGCGGGCGCCTGTAGTCCCAGCTACTTGGGAGGCTGAGGCAGGAGAATGGCGTGAACCCGGGAGGCGGAGCTTGCAGTTAGCTGAGATCGCGCCACTGCACTCCAGCCTGGGTGACAGAGCGAGACTCCATCTCAAAAAAAAAAAAAAAAAAAAAGGACTACTTTGTGTGTGTGTGTGTGTGTGTGTGTGATGCAGAAAGCATTATTAGGAGAGACTTAGGATCTGTCCCCCAGGCTGGAGTGCAATGGCGCGATCTCGGCTCACTGCAACCTCTGCCTCCAGGTTCAAGCGATTCTCCTGCCTCAACTTCCTGAGTAGCTGGTATTACAGGCGGCTGCTACCACTCCCGGCTAATTTTTTGTATTTTTAGTAGAGTCAGGGTTTCACCATGTTGGCCAGGCTGGTCTCGAACTCCTGACCTCGTGATCCGCCCGCCTGGGCCTCCCAAAGAGCTGGCATTACAGGCGTGAGCCACCGCACCCTGCCAAAGTAGCTATGTTTTAACAAAAAGAGCCCATAATTGAGAGCCATGAAGTCGGGCCCCAACACTGACTAGCTGTGCAACTTTGGAAAAGTCTCTTAACCTTTCCAGGTCTCCATTTTCCATGTGCCAGCGGCTATTAGTTCTAAGCAAGACAACGAGGCCTCTTCTTTCATAAAATGTATATTCAAATGGGGTACATGAGGTAAACAAGATAATGATTAAGAACTGTTTTTTGTTTTTTGTTTTTTGTTTTTTTTTGAGACGGAGTCTCCCTCTGTCGCCCAGGCTGGAGTGCAGTGGTGCGATCTCGGCTCACTGCAAGCTCCACCTCCCAGGTTCACGCCATTCTCCTGCCTCAGCCTCCCAAGTAGCTGGGACTACAGGGGCCTACCACCACGCCTGGCTAATTTTTTGTATTTTTAGTAGAGACGGGGTTTCACCGTGTTAGCCAGGATGGTCTCAATTTCCTGACCTCGTGATCTGCCCGCCTCAGCCTCCCAAAGTGCTGGGATTACAGGCGTGAGCCACCGTGCCCGGCCAAGTACTGTTAATAGGACAAAACTGGACAGTGTGAAAGAGCCTGGGGATAGGAGCCCCCCCCCCCCGCCCTTTTTTTTCTTTCTTTGAGACAGAGTCTCACTCTGTCACCCAGGCTGGAGTACAGTGGTGCAATCTTGGCTCACTGCAACCTTCACCTCCCAGGTTCAAGCGACTCTTCTGCCTCAGCCTTCTAAGTAGCTGGGATTACAGGCGTACACTAGCACACCTGGCCAATTTTTGTATTTTTAGTAGAGATGGGGTTTTGCCATGTTGGCCAGGCTGGTCTCAAACTCCTGACCTCAGGTGACCTGCCCATCTCCCAAAGTGTTGGGATTACAGGCATGAGCCACCATGCTCGGCCAAGCTCTTTAGATAAGATGATCATGGACAGCCTCTCAAAAGGTGACATTTGAGCTGAGACTTGAATGATGAGAAGGAACCAGCCATATCAGCCATATGAAGAGCCCAGGCACAGTAAATATTAGCTGTCAAAGGCCCTAGAGCAGTAATGTGCTTGACATTTTTAAAAAATAGGAATGACCGTGGGGCATGGTGGCTTACACCTGTAATCCCAGCACTTTGGGAGGCTGAGGTGGGCGGATCACTTCAGATCAGGAGCTCGAGACCAGCCTGGCCAACATGGTGAAACATAGTCTGTACTAAAAATACAAAAATTAGCTGGGTGTGGTGGTGTGCGCCTGTAATCCCAGCTACCTGGGAGGCTGAGGCAGGAGAATCACTTGAACTCAGGAGGTGCAGGTTGCAGTGAGCCAAGGTCGCGCCACTGCACTTCAACCTGGGTGACAGAGCAAGACTCTGTCTCAAAAGGAATGACCTGTGTAGCTAAAATATAATGAGCAAAATAGAAACATTTGAAATGAAATAGTAGAGAAATGTATTCATTAGCGGCAAAATTAATCAATATGGGTATAATTTTGATTAAAATATAAAACCAGAATTCTACTCTTCAAAAAGGCCTGGCTCATGCCCCACGTGGTGGCTCATACCTGTAGTCCCAGCTACTTAGGAGGCTGAGGTGGGAGGACCACTTGAGCCCAGAAGTTTGAGGCTGCAGTGAGCTATAATCACACCACTGCCCTCCAGCCTGGGCAAGAGAGCGAGGCTTTGTCTCTTAAAAAAAAAGAATGCCAAGGAAAGGATGAGCTCATAGGAAGCCTCAGCTACCAGAGGTTCTATTAAATACCAGACCTCAGTGTGAAAGGAATCTTTATGGTAGTAGTTAAAATTCATTTCCTCAGTTACACTAGCCACTTTGCAAGTGCTTGATATCCACTTGTGGCTATCGTATGAGCACAGATGGAGAACATTTTCATTATCAAAGGAAGTTCTACTAGACAATGCTGTATTAGCTTACTCATTTATTATAAAGCCCTGTTCAATTGTTTTTCAGAAATCTTAAAATTTCTCCCACGCAAGGTGCGGTGGCTCACGCCTGTAATCCCAGCACTTTGGGAGGCCAAGGCGGGTGGATCACTTGAGGTCAGGAGTTTGAGACTAGCCTGGCTAACATGGCGAAACCCCATCTCTATTAAAAATACAAAAATTAGCTGAGTGTGGCAGCAGGCACCTATAATTCCAGCTACTCGGGAGGCTGAGGCAGGAGAATGGCTTGAACCTGGAGGCGGAGGTTGTAATGAGCCAAGATTGCACCACTGTGCTCCAGCCTGAGTGACAGAGCGAGACTCTGTCTCAAAAAAAAAAAAAAAAAAAAACCTCCCAAATCTTTTCTTTTTTAGTCTAAAGAAGGATTGGATACTTCCCAGTTCCATTTCAGGGATTATAACAGACTAAACTGAAAACAAGTCAGCTACAAAATACCCGAACATTCTGGATGTAAAATTTAAAACATTCTTTTAGTTACGTTGCTGAGCTCTCAAAAAAGTAAAATTTGCAGGAACCAAAAATGATGTGGGAGTTTGAATCTATAGAGTGGTAAGGGGATTTTTAAGGTGGAAGCTATTTTAAGGGCCATTGCTGATCTCTAGACGTCTAGGACCCGATTCAAGGGACAAGAGACAAGACCTGAGCTTATGTAAAGAGGAATTAAGATACAGAACTTTCTATAGAGCTAAGAACCCTGAAGGTCCACTAGCTCAATGAAGGGGCCAACAATTTTTTTTTTTTTTTTTTTTTTTTGGATACGGAGTCTCACTCTGTCGCCCAGGCTGGAGTACAGTGGCGCGATCTCAGCTCACTGCAACCTCCGCTGCCTGGATTCAAGCGATTCTCATGCATCAGCCTCCTGAGTAGCTGGGATTACAGGCACCCACCACCACGCATAGCTAATTTTTTTGTATTTTTAGTAGAGACGGAGTTTCGCCACGTTGGTCAGGCTGGTCTCGAACTCCTGACCTTGGGTGATCTGCTCGCCTTGGCCTCCCAAAGTGCTAGGATTATAGGCGTGAGCCACCATGCCTGGCCAGGCCAACTATTTATAAAAAAGAAAAATGCTGCCCTACTAAAGGAGAGAAGGTGATTAGGAAACTTGCCTGCTTCAACCGTTGTTCCAGAGGGAAGAAGGAAAAAACCTCCTAAGAATTTATAACCACAGATGATTCTTCATGCAGACAGACTTCACATTCATGATTGTGTACATGATCCAGGACACTCAAACTGAAAAATCTACTTAAACTGGTCTTGTAGTCTTTATTGACTGTTTGTACCAAATTGACTCCAGGAGAAATGGAAAATCTAATTAGATCTATAACTCTTCAAGACATTGAAATTACAGCTTTAAATTTTACAATAAAGAATATTCTGGCCAGGCATGGTGGCTCACGCGTGTAATCCCACTGCACTCCGGCCTGGGCAATAGGGCAAGACTCCGTCTCAAAAAAACCAGAATATTCTAGGCTCAAATGGTATTACAGATGAGTCTACCAAACATTCAAGGAGCAATTAATTCCAATCTTAAATTCTTCAAATAATAATTAAAAAAAGGCTGGGTGCAGTGGCTCATGCCTGTAATTCCAGCACTTTGGGAGCCCGAGGTGGGTGGATCATGAGGTCAGGAGATCGAGACCCTCCTGGCTAACACGGTGAAACCCTATCGCTACTAAAAATACAAAAAATTATCTGGGTGTGGTGACACGCACCTGTAGTCCCAGCTACTTGGGAGGCTGAGGCAGGAGAATCGCTTGAACCTGGGAGGCAAAGGTTGCAGTGAGCCAAGGTTGCGCCACTGCACTCCAGCCTGGGCGACAGAGCAAGACTAAAAAAAAAAAAAAAAGAAAAAATTATGTATCAGAAAACCTACAACGCACACATTTAGTGGAGAAATGTGTGAAGCATTCCTTCTAAGGAATGAGACAAGGATGGCTGCTATTGTCACTTTGTTTTATTGGAGGCCTTAGGAACCACACAAGGAACTAAAGTTTTTGTTTTCTTTTGCAAATTGTATGACTGTTTATAGAAAATTCAACAAGACAGGTGTGGTGGCTCACACCTGTCATCCCAGCTCTTTGGGAAGACCAGGCAGGCAGATGGCTTGAACCCAAGAGTTCAAGACTAGCCTGGGCAACATGGCAAAACCCCATCTCTACAAAAAGTACAGAAAAATTAGTCAGGAGTGGTGGCACAGGCCTGTGGTCCCAGCTACTCAGAGGGCTGAGATAGGAGAATCATTGCTTGGGCCCAGGAGGTCGAGGCAGTGGTGAGCCATGATCACACCACTGCACTCCAGCCTGGGCAACAGCAAGTCCCTGCAAAGTTTATAGTCATATAGAATTAAGTAATTCAGCATGCTGCTTAATACTAGATCAATATGTGAAATAAATTACAATTCTTTATATCAGTAATAGATAAAAATGTAAAATTACCCTTTACAACAGCAACAGAAAATATGAAATGCTAGGGAATAATTCTAATAAAAAGAGGAGCTGACCAATGTGGAAAAGATAGAAAGCTTTACTGAAATACACTTAAAGACATAAGTAAATGGAGACATACTATTTTTATGAATAGGAAGACTCATAAAAATATCTGTTTTTTCAAAATCTACAAATTCCATGTAAGTCCAATGAAAATACTAACAGGCTTTTTCCTGGAACCTGATGGTTGAATAAACAATTTATATGGAAGAGTAAAGGAACAAGAAAAGTTAAAGTGATTTTTGATGGATAAGAAGAGCAGGAAGAATTGACATACAAATGGTGCAGGCTTATTAAAAACATCAGTGAACGAGGCAGTGTGGCACCAGCACAGGGATACACAAACAGATAAAGTAAAGGGAGGAGACTGGAGAACCCAGTAACAGCCCCCCACGTATGACAATATGTGACAGCAGTGACATCATAATCAGTAGGGGTGGGGTAAGGATGGACTAGTCAGTCAATGATGGTTATTTAAATAGAAAAAAGAATTGGATCTTTGACTAAAGAACAACAAAAACCCAAACAAAAAATCCAGGTGGATTAAAGACCTAAATATGAAAAGAAATACAGAAGAAAACAGATGTAGGGGAGGACTTCCTGAGTAAAACACAAAAAGCACAAAGTAAAAGGTAAAATATTATTTCAGGCTGGGCGTGGTGCTTCACGCCTGTAATCCCAGCACTTTGGGAGGCCGAGGCAGGTGGATCACCTGAAGTCAGAAGTTCAAGACTAGCCTGGCCAATATGGTGAAACCCCATCTCTACTAAAAATACAAAAATTAGCCGGGTGTGGTGGTGCATGCCTGTAATCCCAGACTTAGGCAGGAGAATCACTTGAACCTGGGAGACAGAGGTTGCAGTGAGCCAAGATTGCGCCATTGCACTCCAGCCTGGGCAACAAGAGTGAAATTCCGTTTCAGAAAAACAAAAAACAAAACCAAAAAAATTTTAATAAGTTAGAGATGCATACTTAAATATTTAGGAATAAAGTGATTTCTGAGGTTTGCTTCAAATGATCTTGTGGGGAGTGAGAGATATGAGTAGGGTATTATTGATAAAAGAGTAGCTCAGAGTTGGTAATTGTTGAAGCTAGCTGACAGGCACATAGGGATTCATCAAACTTCTTCCTTTCAGTATATGCTTGATTTTTTTTTTCATAAAAATGATGAAAAGGAAAAAAAATAACAATAGTTTACCAGTTTTCATCCACCAGATTAGCAAACATTTAAAAATATGATAACTCTGAACGTTAGCAAGAACATGAAAAAGTGGGAACTCTTAAACACAAATTGTAGGAACTTAAATTGGTACAGCCAATTTGGAAGAAACTGTGGCATCTTCTAGAAAAATAGTATGTATATTCTTTTTTTTTTTTTTTTTGAGATGGAGTCTCGCTCTGTCACCCAGGCTAGAGTGCAGTGGTGCGATATCTCAGCTCACTGCAACCTCTGCCTCCCAGGCTCAAGCAATTCTCCTGCCTCAGCCTCCCAAGTAGCTGGGATTACAGGCGTGCACCACCATGCCTGGCTAATTTTTGTATTTTTAGTAAAGACAGGGTTTCACTATGTTGGCCAGGCTGGTCTCAAACTCCTGGCCTCAAGTGATGCGCTCGCCTCGGCCTCCCAAAGTGTTAGGATTACAGGCATGAGCCACCACACCCAGCCCCAGCAGGATTTTCTAGGCTAAATCCTAGAAAATCTTGCTTGTGAAAATGTACAAAAAAGTTCAGAGGCTCATTGTTTTTAATAGCAAAAACCTAGGAACACCAAATACCCATTTGGAGAAGAATGTGTAACTAAATGGTGGCATATTTACATCGTGGGATGAAAGTGTATTATTAATAACTGGCATGTCATCCATCCGCATGGATAAATCTCACATTTGGTGAACAAGGAAAGGAATCTGCAGAATACAAACGCTGTAACGCTGTTTACATAAAATATAAAACCATGTAAAACTACACAGTATGCTGGTGGAGGTGCATACATATGTAGTAAATGTATAGAGAAAAGCTAAAAGCAAGAAGTTCAAAATTCAAAATGCTGGTTATTTCTGGTGGGGGAAGGGGAGACTGCAATTCAGGGCACAAAGGGACCACTATAAGGGATGATAAGGTTTTGCTTCTTAAACTGGGTGGTAGGCACATGAGTGGACATATTATTTGTTAATCCTTTTGTGCATAATAAAATAATTTTTTTTTCTTTTTTTTGAGATGGAGTCTCACTCTGTCACCCAGGCTGGAGTGCGGTGGTGCAATATCGGCTCACTGCAACTTCTGCCTCCCAGGTTCAAGCAATTCTCCTGCCTCAGCCTCCCGAGTAGCTGGGACTACAGGCCCACGCCACCACACCCAGCTAATTTTTGTATTTTTAGTAGAGATGGGGTTTCACCATGTTGGCCAGGATGGTCTTGATCTCTTGACCTTGTATTCTGCCCACCTCAGCCTCCCAAAGTACTAGGATTACAGGCATGAGCCACCATGCCTGGCCTTTTTTTTTTGAGACAGAGTCTCGCTCAGTTGCCCAGGCTCGAGTGCAGTGGCGTGATTTCAGCTCACTGCAATCTCCACCTCCCAGGTTCAAGCAATTCTCCTGCCTCAACCTCCCGAGTAGTTGAGACTACAGGCCCCCGCCACCACACCCAGCTGATTTTTTTTGTTTTTTTAGTAGAGACAGGGTTTCACCATATTGGCCAGGCTAGTCTTGAACTCCTGACCTCAGGTGATCCACCTGCCTCGGCCTCCCAAAGTGCTGAGATTACAGGTGTGAGCCATGGCGCCTGGCAAAATAGTTTATAATTTAAAAAATAAATTTTCTCTTTCTAGAACTAGAGATAGAAAAAATAATAAAAATTTTTTTCAGCAAAAGAGGGGTCATGATAGGGAGAAGTGAGAGGGGGGCACAAAAGTACACATTGGAGGAAATAATGAAATTCATTTCAGTTCAACAACAAACTTACTGAGAACAGATGAATGAAACCTTGCCTGTCCTATAAGGAATACAGTCATCTGCCAGAAGAAAAATGGTGATTCTTCCCAGTCCAAAGGTGAAGATGGTGACTGTGAAAGTATCAGCTTTAGCCAGACCACTGATGAAGCTCCCAGATGTCACAGCATCCATGGGCTTGTGATCTCAGGTGAAGGCATTGAACCCTGAGCCCTGGATTCCCATCTCTTCACTTGCTCCCTCCACCACCCCACCCCCATATTCAGAATGGCCTCTAGGCTTCTAGGTTTGTGTCTTTAATGGCACCTAGGCAATAAATAAAAAATACAGTGCAGTGCTGACTGCATCTTCCCTACAGCTCTTTGAAGTGAATCGATGTCTCTGGGAAGAGGAACAGAGTAGTGTGAGTGTGAAGGACTGGATTCTTGTTGCTTTCTCCTGATGCCCATTCCAGGGTTTCCCCAGGCAACTAGGAAGACCATCCATGGTGAGGCCTGCAATCTAGGCTTCTTGCTGATCAGTCAGGTGAGTCACTTCTTTAGGAGGGATACCAGTGTACGCCAGTGCCCAGTTCCAGGGGAAGACAGAAGTGGGTGCCAGGCTTCCTGTCCAGTTAGGCAGGAGATGAGTCCTGCTGGCCATCATTGATCAGTACCACTTCCTACCACCTCCAATTTCTGGCTTCCTCATGGCCTTCTTGGGGAGTCCCCAGCTTCCTCATGGCTTTCCTAGGGGGAATCCCCAGCTTCACGGCCTTCCTGGGGGAGTCCCCAAGCTCTCCATGGTCTTCTTAGGGAGCCCACAGTAATGGAAGCCTGATGGGTGCTCTGATCCCAGGGTCACGAGCAAAGCGCTGTGACTCACTCCCTATACCTCTTGTCACATTTGTGGGAATCCGAGGCCCTGCATGGGTTTTCTGTTTCTAGCTTCACTCCAATTTCCGGGGTCCCATGATATAACAAGTGTCAACTGAGTGTCTGCAGATCTGAAAGAGACCAATCACAGCGTTGTCACACCTCCCAAACCCAGCATCTGTTTTCCCCAACAGGTCCTGCCTCTTCTATCTTTTTATCTATTACACTTCCAAACCTACTGCAATAGCATGGCCCTCCCCAGATACACTTATATGCACTTCTTTCCTATTATTTTGCATCATTTTGCCTTACTAAACCAATGTCCCTCCTGGCACCTTCCCAGCTCTTGATGGACATCTCCAGCCTGATCTCAGAGAAACCTAATGCTATTACTGTTACTACTACTAGCTATTAACTTGAGGACCTGATTTGTGCTAGGCGCTGCCTGTTATGAATACATGTGCTAGGCCATGTTCTGAGCCCTTCGTGTATATACTGTTCTCATTTCATAGCAATGGAAACCTGTTGGTCAGTGAGGAAACCAAGGCACAGAGCGGGTGAGTAACTTGGCCAAGTTACTTTTTATGGGTTAATAAGTGCAGGAGCCAGGATACAAACCCCGACAGCCTTTTCCAGAAGCTGCGCTTTGAACTACTAGGCTACAGGGCTGTCTCCTAAAAGTCAAAGTAGATCAGATACTGTAGCTGAATCCCGTTCCCCTTCTCCCTCCTGTAGTAGCTTACAACGCATGACAGCTTCTTTGACTTGACGAAAGCCACCATCAGGGCCCCTGCCATCGACGTAGTACATGAATCGGAGCTCAGGTGGGTAGGCAGCTCTGCTGAGGCCCGACAGCAGGGGGATGGTGCAGCCCTCGGCCCCTGGAGCCTCGGTCAGGGCCTGCAGCATCTGGTACTTGCACCAGGGGTCCTGAAGGAAGCCCGGCGTGATGAGCAGCACCCGGCAGTGACTACTGCTCAGTGCCTGGCACAGCTCGGACACTATAGCGCCGCCTGGGGTTGCATCCCGGAGTTGCAGGAAGCAGCGCAGGCTGGCAGTGCTGCCTTCCAAGTAGGAGACCAGGTCCTGGGCGGCCACCAGGTCTTCCTCACTGTGGCACACGCAGACGTCATAGTCTTTGCTCCAGCGACTACTGCCACTGTCACTCGCATGTGTGGGTGGCAGGCTGGGAGACGTGACTGAGCTGAGGCTTGGGGGTAGTGGGCTGTCCTGTGAGGTAGGCTGTGAAGCATCGCTGGAGGTGCTTTCTGGGGAGTTGGGCCTCTTCTTGGGCTTCTTCAGCAGGGTCTGCCTGAACCAGTCTGTGGGGGAGAAACACTGCTCAGGCCTGTGTGTTACCAGGTGCCCTCTCACTGCCCACACAGGGAGGAGCCCCACCTCACAGGGAGGACAGACAGACTGCAGCCCACCTCCCTGCACTGGGAAACATCTTATTCTCAGAGACCTGTTGCTCCACTATTTTTTTTTTTTTTTTTTGAGGCAGAGTCTCACTCTCACCCAGGCTGGAGTACAGTGGTGCGATCTTGGCTCACTGCAACTTCTGCCTCCCAGGTTCAAGCGATTCTCCTGCCTCAGCCTCCTGAGTAGCTGGGATTACAGGCATGCACCACCACACCTGGCTAATTTTTGTATTTTTAGTAGAGACGGGGTTTCACCATGTTGGTCAGGCTGGTCTTGAACTTCTGACCTCATGATCTGCCCGCCTCAGCCTCCCAAAGTGCTGGGATTACAGGCGTGAGCCACTGTGCCCAGCACTCTGCTATTTTTGTTTATCTTTTGGGACTTGCCTAAAAGTGCCCTCTAAAGGTAAAGGTTTTGGACGTGTCAGAACTCTGGAATCCTTATGTGAGAGTGTTCCACCAGCCTGGTTAAGAGAAATGGCCTTGCACTACTCCAGGCCCTTTGATATCTGGTACCCCCAGCCCAGCCCACCTTAAGCAGAACTTCCCACTAGAGCTGACTAGTCAACCACCGGGAGTCTGCAGGCAGAGCTACGTTATGCTAGCAAGGATCCATCAGTCCCAAAGCCCACTTTCAGCACTGAGGGGAGGTGGACTTAGATTAGGAAGGGCTACGTATACAGGAAGGAAGGGGTACGGAGGACTGGCATCTGTTTGGCCCCAAGAAATCCTAGATTGTCGCTAAATGGGGAAGAGGCTACTGCTCAGAGTTGCTGAGGAGCAGAGAGCTTCGTGATTCAGAACCCACACTCTGGAGTCAGGGACACGGCTTTGACTGTGGACTTGTGGACCTGTCTTAGTTGCTGAAAGTTAACTGAGATAATGCAGTGTCAGGTATGTCAGGGAGCCGGGCCTCTTCTTGGGCTTCTTCAGCAGGGTCTGCCTGAACCAGTCTGTGGGGGAGAAACACTGCTCAGGTCTGTGTTTGGAGTATGGGACTCCATAAGGAGATGAAAACAGCTTCCCCAGCCTTTGATAAGGACAGATAGTTGTGGTGGGGATTGATTCATTTTCTCTCTCTGCTTGGCTTCTCCTCTAAATGGTTCTGGAACAAAGATTTGGACGACAAGAGACAGTGTTAAGCACTCAGCACAGTGGTTTCCAGGCTAGGAAAGCTAGCTGAGCAGGCCTGGAAAACCTTTGAGCCAAAAGGATAAAGATCTGGCTGAGCTGACGCAGGCCTCCCCTCCTCACTCTCCACAAAGCATCCAGGCCCTGAATTCAGGTCAGGAGTTCCCCACGTCAGCCTTCCTGCGTCTCTCTGAGTTTGGACCAGGCAGGCCTCCCACCGCGCCCTATGGAGGCTGAGCACTACACTCAGGAACACAGCAGAGTCGCGAGTCCGGTTCCACTCACCAGCCATCTTGCCTAGAGGCTTCTTAGGCCGAGAGCCAGGAGCTGGGAGGGAGGTCGATGATGCCATAGCGTGGGGGTCAAAACTAGCCCCGTGAGACCAGGCATTGGTGAAGGGGGAGGAGGGAGGAGACCCAGTCTTGACCTCATGGAGCAGCCATCCTACAGAGGGTAGAGAGAGAGAATCACAAAGGCTGCACTTACCCTGCTCTCATTCCCCATGGATGAGCTCTGCGAAGTTCTGTTTCTCTCCTAATGCCTGACAGAGGCTTCTTCTCTAAATGGGTCTTTCATTCCTCATGAGATTAGGGCCAGACACGACTGTGATTGGAGCTGGATTCTAGATAAAGCCAAAGCTGTGTAGTGTGGTCAGACTTACAGGGTATGAGCTCAGCATGACCAGCTGAGGAACTGTTCTCTGCTCCACCTGGCCAGGAGGATATTCGGGATCTGGGGAAGGGCAGCTGGCAGGCAGCTCTTTAGAAGGACTTCCTATGTAAGGCCTGAAATGGCAGAAGAAGGACAGTTGCTATTTGGACAAATAATTATGTATCCAGATAGACAGAAGCTGAACAGTAGAGAGAGAGCACATGCAGGAAATCTTGGGAGACTTTTCCTCCAAGTCTGCCTCCCCCTGAATAACTCCATCCATAGACCCATCGCCCCTGCAGCCGTCAGCTCAGGAAGGTCATGTCAAAAAGTGGTACAGACTGCAGACTGCAGGTAGAGTGCCTGATTCTCATCTCTGGTTAACCGTGACCTTTGGCCACCTTGCTAAACTCGTTTCTCCATCCGTGAAATGGAAGTACTAGAGCCTCCTTCTCAGCATTATTGTGAAGATTAAATGAAATCATTTATGTAAAGTCCTAATGGTGCCTGGCATGTAATAAATGCTTAGAAAATGTGGGCTACTATGTATATAAAATAATCTAGATATTGGAGGGGTATATTATGTTCATGGTTTATTAAACTTGTAATGTTAACGTTTCCCAAACTGATCATTAATTCAGTGCTGTTCCAAAGTCTAGAAGATTTTTGTTTTTTAGGTTTTTTGGTGGGGAGGTTGTCAGACTGCTTCTAAATTTATATGGAAATACAAAGGCCCAAGAATCCCTTAGAAAGGCAACCTGCCATGTTCTTTTCCCACCGTAGTGACAGAGGATGTCCCTGATGGCGGACACTCTTTCAGCCTTAAGTTTCTGTGGAGCAGAGCCTGTGGGGGCTGTAGTATTCTAGTGACACTTCTCCTGTGAAAGGCTGGCAGAGCAACTGGCACAGGGCTGCTTTCTCTTTGGTGGATCTGTGAGATCAAAACAAACCTGAGAACTCATGGAAGCAAGTATTATTAGACACACTAAAATAAAAGGTTTCAAAATTTAAAGAATGTGGCCAGGCACAATGGCTCACGCCTGTAATCCTAGCATTTTGGGAGGCCAAGGCGGCGGATCACCTGAAGTCAGGAGTTCAAGCCTAGCCTGGCCAACATGGTAAAACCCCTGTCTCTACTGAAAATACAAAAATTAGCTGGGCATGGTGGCAGGCGCCTATAATCCCAGCTACTTGGGAGGCTGAGGCAGAAGAATCTCTTGAACCTGGAGGCGGAGGTTGCAGTGAGCTGAGATTATACCACTGCACTCCAGCCTGGGCAACAAGAGCGAAACTCCATCTCAATAAAAAAAATTAAAGAATGTCATTCTATGCTGCACATTAATGCTTTGTTCACTGATGCGTAGAAGACAAGGGATGCTGAGGATTTGTGATCATATATCAAAGTTCAAAAAAGAAGTAGAACTTAAACCATAGCAGCAAAGGAGGCAGAGCAAAGGGTTGGAATGGGTACAGGAACCAGAGAAGACATCTGAAAAAGCAACACAGCTAAATGTGAAGCCACCAAAACGGCACTGGACGTTGACTATGAGTATGTATATGAGTTTCTTTTCTTTCCTAATATGCTTGGGATTTCAGACAGCCTAAGTGGTAGGCTGCAGCTAGGGCCGTTCAGGATGCCTTTTTGCCCCCAGTAGTAAACATGATGTCACTTGGTTTTTGCATTTTTTAAATATTTTTTCAATTCTGTTTTAATTTTAATATTAATTATTTGGCCTTGGTGCACTTGTAAACTAGAGCATCATTTGATTTGTAAATATTCTAAAGGTTAAAAATTAACATAATATGTTAATCTACTTAATATATGTAGATTTTAAAGTTTCAGTTTCTCATTTTATGAAATGACTTGCCCTTTTGGCAACGCATGCTAATTGGGGGAAATTGCTTTTCCATTGCTTGGTTAAGAAGAAATCCAGTTGTCCAGCAGTATATGCCACCAGAAGTGCGGTGGTATAAGCCCTCATGAGAAACATGGAAACGTTTTAAAGAGAAAAATAACAGCACCTTTGACAGGATAATTGAGCAAGATGGCAGGTAAATTCCAGTAACCATACACACTGCCTACTTCCTGGAATCCAAGACGCCATGCACCTTCCCTGTTCCTTTTCAGTTCTTTTGTAGCTGGAGCTGTGGAACTGTCACATATTCAAACACGTGTTAATCTTTCCAAGACCTGGTAACTGTCATCATATCTTGAGATGTGGTTGACAAGTAGGTAAGGTAATGAACCCAAATCTCCAACTGGAAGCTCTACTCACTAGCTCTGCCTATTCTCTGATTTGCTGTGTGGTCTAATACGCAGTCGCTTTCTTTGTGCTTTGAAAAAATTCATAAAGTAGAATCATACCAAAAATACCCACTTTGTAAGAACTATGACTTGATAGAAAATTAGTAAAGGGAACGGGCTCAGTGGCTCATGCCTGTAATCCCAGCACTTTGGGAGGCCGAGGTGGGCAGATCATGTGAGCTCAGGAGTTCCAGACCAGCCTGTCAAAACCCCTTCTCTACTAAAAATACAAAATTTAGCCGGGTGTGCTGGTGCTCCCCTGTAATCCCAGCACTTTGGGAGGCCGAGGTGGGCAGATCATGTGAGCTCAGGAGTTCAAGACCAGCCTGGCCGACAGGTCGAAACCCTGTCTCTACTAAAAATACAAAAATTAGCCAGGCATGGTGTCGCACACCTGTAATCCTAGCTACTTGGGTGGCTGAGGCTGGATAATCCCTTGAACCTGGGAGGCAGAGGTTGCAGTGAGCCGAGATTGCACCACTGTGCTCCAGCCTGGGTGACAGAGCGAGACTCGATCTCAAAAAAATAAAGAAAAGAAAATTAGTAAAGAATTTCTTCAGAAAAGAAGTAGCACAATACCTTTAGTGCTTTCTAGAATGCTTTTCCAATATTATGTGCAGAAACTGATGTAAAGGAAACATTATGGAGTTTTGCTGTATAAAATCCAAAGTGGGCTGGGCACAGTGGCTCATGCCTGTAATCCCAGCACTTTGGGAGGCCGAGGTGGGCGGATCATGAGGTCAGGAATTTGAGATCAGCCTGGCCAACATGGTGAAACCCTGTCTCTACTAAAAATACAAAAATTAGCTAAGCGTGGTGGTGCGTGCCTGTAATCCCAGCTGCTCAGGAGGCTGAGGCAGGAGAATCACTTGAACCCGGGAGGTGGAGGTTGCAGTGAGCCGAGATCATGCCACTGCACTCCAGCCTGGGCAACAGAGCAAGACTCAAGTCTCAAAAATAAAAAAAAAAAAATCCAAAGTGTATTTAGTATCCAATATCAAACTGGTCTCCAATTTCTATTATATAGGGAATGTACTGGAGCCTGTGAAGGCATATAATTAGAATATGTATCTCTTAGAGTTCATATTCGATTTCTGTTAAGCAGGAATCACTATCTGGGGTAGACAGAATAGTGGCCCACAAAGAGGCCCACATCCTAATCCCCGGAACTGAGAATATGTTACCTTCCGTGGCAAAAGGGGATTCGGCAGCTGTGATTAAGAACCTTGTGATGGGGAGGGATTCCTGGATTACCCAGGTGAGTTTAATGTAACCACAAAGATCCTTTCAAGAGGGAGGCAGGAAGGTCTGAGGCAGACGAAAGAGCTGTGCCAAGGGAAGCAGGCGGCAGTGGGATGCAGGTGGCCTCTAGAAGCTGGAAAAGGCAAGTCCATGGGTTCTTTCCTGGAGCCTTCAGAAGGAGCACGGCCTTGCTGACCCATCTTAGAACGGCAGGATAATCAATGTGTGTTGTTTGAGGCCACTAAGTTTGTGGCAATTTGTTACAGCAGCAATAGGAAACTACTACACTGTGTCTGATTAGATCAGGCCAATGAATGGAGAAAGTATTGGATTTCAGTTGAGTGCTAAAACCTGGTCTGTTTAAAGGTTCAAATTGTTTGAAACAGTTTTTACATCTTTAAATAAATAAATTACCATCTATACTTCACCTGACTTTGACTTTACATTTAAAAGAATTTTGGTTTCAAAGGCTGTTTTGTTCTCAAACACTTGCTAAAACGTTTGGGTAGGATTAATTATGGTTTGCAGGACAATGTCACTTAAAGTCCTGAATATAATTCATTTATAGCTTGATAGACACAACACAGTGTTCTCAAAGAGGTTTGTAGACTATGGTGCAGACCTAGGGTGGCCCCCTGTGTTCACACCTGGGACTGTGAGAAGGACCCATGACTTTCTTTTTTTTTCAGACAGACTCATTCCATTACCCAGGCTGGAGTGCAGTGGCACAATCTCAGCTCACTGCAACCTCTGCCTCCTGGGTTCAAGTGATTCTTGTGCCTCAGCCTCCTGAGTAGCTGGGACTACAGGTGCTCGCCACCACATCCAGCTAATTTTTGTATTTTTAGTAGACACGAGGTTTTACCATGTTGACCAGGCTGGTCTGGAACTCATGACCTCAAGTGATTGGCCCACCTCAACCTCCCAAAGTGCTGGGATTACATACAGGCATGAGCCACCACACCCGACCTTTTTTTTTTTTTTTTTTTTTTTTCCAGAGAGGGTCTTGCTCTGTCACCCAGGCTGGAGTGCAGTGTTGTGATTACAGCTCACTGCAGCCTCAACCTCCAAGGCTCAAGCAGTCTTCCATCTCAACCTCTAGAGTAGCTGGAATTAAAGACGTGAGCCACCACACCTACCTAATTTATTTTTTTCATTTTTTAATTTTTCTTGGTACAGACAGGATCTTGCTTTGTTGGCCAAGCTGGTCTCCTAACTCGTGGCCTCAAGTGATCCGCCCACCTCAGCCTCCCAAAGTGCTGGGATTACAGGCATGAGCCACCATGCCCAGCTTTAATTTTACTTTTATCTGAGTCTTCTTGCTAGGGAAGATTTTTTAAAAACCAGACTCAAATAATACAACTATAAGGGGAAAAAATGATAAAATAAAAAACATTAGAATGAAGAACTTCTGTTCATCAAAAGACATAAATAGGAGAGTGAAAAGGCAATCTCCCGAGGGTTAAAATGTTTAAAAATATATATCCAGGGCTGGGCACAGTGGCTCACACCTGTAATCCCGGCACTTTGGGAGGCCGAGGCGGGCGGATAACTAGGTCAGGAGTTCAAGATCAGCCTGGCCAACATGGTGAAACCCCATCTCTACTAAAAATACAAAAATTAGCTGGGTGTGGTGGCAGGTGCCTGTAATCCCAGCTACTCGGGAGGCTAAAGCAGGAGAATCGCTTGAACCTGGGAGACGGAGGTTGCAGTGAGCTGAGACTGCGCCATTGCACTGCAGCCTGGGTGACAGAGACTCCGTCTCAAAAATCAAATAAAATATATATTATATATATATATATATACACACACACACATATATCCAATAAATGTCTTATATCACAAATATTTCAAGGACTCAATGGAACTAGTAAGACGACAGAAAAATGAGCAGAAGAATTGAGCAGGCACTTCACAAAAGGAATATTCAAATGAGCAATAGACATCAAAACAGTTCATTAGTCATCAGAGAAATGCAAACTAAAACCTCAATGCATCACTGCTGGGCACTCAGCCAAATGGCTACAGAGAAAAAGACTATCAAGTAGTGGTAAGAGTGTGCAGGGATGGGAACTCGAACACTGCCGGTGGAGAAGTGTTTGGCCATAGACTAAGATGAGCATACACACATCAGCAATTTCAGTCCTACGAATATACTCAAACAGCAGTGCTTACATATTTTTTTTTTTTTTTTTGAGACGGAGTCTCCCTCTGTCGCCCGGGCTGGAGTGCAGTGGCATAATCTCGGCTCCCTGCAACCTCTGCCTCCCACGTTCAAGCGATTCTCCTGCCTCAACCTCCCAAATAGCTGGGACTACCGACACCCGCCATCACGCCTGGCTGATTTTTGTATTTTTAGTAGAGACGGGGTTTCACCATATTGACTAGGCTGGTCTCGAACTCCTGACCTCGTAATCTGCCTGCCTCAGCCTCCCAAAGTGCTGGGATTACAGGTGTGAGCCACTGTTCCCCGCCTGCTTACAGATGTTTACCAAAAGACATTCACAAGAATGTCTGTAGCAGCAAGATACAAAATAACCCCACAGTGGAAACGACTGTCCATCAACCCGTGTCCAGTAGAATGGATAAATAAATTGTGGTCTAGCCATACAATGGAATATTATATACCAACAAGAATAAACTGCTAACTAAACATGGGTGAATATCACAAAACATACTGAATGTCAGACGTCACACACGTAAGAGTACATGAAGGGCTGGGCGCAGTGGTTCACGCCTGTAATCCCAGCACTCTGGAAGGCTGAGGCAGGCGGATCACCTGAGTTCAGGAGTTCGAGACCACCCTGGCCAATATGGCGAAACCCCGTCGCTACTGAAAATGCAACAATTAGCCGGGCGTGGTGGCAGGCGCCTGTAATCCCAGCTACTCGGGAGGAGGCAGGAGAATCGCTTGAACCCACAAGGCGGAGGCTGCAGTGAACCGAGATTGCGCCACTGCACTCCAGCCCAGAGGACAAAGGCGAAACTCCATCTCAAAAAAAAAAAAAAAAAAAAGAAGTACATGATATATGATTCCATGGATGGAAAATCCAAAACAGGCAAACCTATTTTATGGCGTTAGAAGCCAGGGATGTAGTCATGTTTTATTGATTGCTCTGAATCAGGAAATGTGCGTGTTGTGGAAAATGGTTGAGCTGTACACTTAGGATTTGTGTGCCTACGTATCAACTCTTTTAAATCTAAAAACTAACTAGATGTGGTTCCCTCTGAGTCATTCCTGATCCTGGTGTCCCCTAGGTTTGGTGTTTCAACGGGAGTTCTCCACACTTCCCCCTCTCTGTTGCACTTCTAGGGTATGCTGTGATTCTAGCGTACCTGTCTGTCCCCTGGGGACCAGAAGACTGGATCTGTCTGGTCCACCGCGGTCACCCTAGTCGTTGGCACAGTGGCTGCCCAGCCCGTGTGTAGCTGCCCATGACTGTGGTGTAATGCCTCGATAGGTCCCTGACCCTAACTAATGTTATGCACTTGCTGAATCACTGCCACAATGACAACCCGAAGAGCAGAGGAAGAGGCTGTGACCGGAGCAGAGAAGAACGTGAGGAGAAACGATATCCACAACGCACTGAGCGCCAGGCTCTTCCAGCGAGGCAAGCGAAAGGGGAGCCGCCCCGCGCGAGCTTCTTTGCGACAGAAAAGGTGACATTCTCCTCGGAGGGCCCTTTCATGCCGCTTGCGTGTTGCGGGTGCCAGAAAGGTGAAGAAGGGAAGCGGATGTGCCGCCAGCAGGGCAAGGCCGGACCAGAGGCGGCGCGCACCCCTGCGGCTCTCGGTGGGGCCGGGACTCTGGGGCCCAGGCCGGCCGCGCTCCGTCGCCCACCCCACGGAGCCCCGCCGCGCCTCCCGGTCCCCCGCGACCCCGCCCCGGGCTCACCTGCGCGCGGGCCCAGTTGCGATGAGGGCTGCGCGGACTGCGCGGGCTCCGCGGGGAAGAGCAGCGCGCAGGCCCCGCTCTCCGGAAGCGCCGCCCGCCGCACTGCCCCTCCCACGCCGCCAGGCCCAGTCCAGACCCGGGAGACTCTCGGGCACAATCCGGCTGCGGGAGACGCGGGACGGGGCAGCCCCTGTGTCCACTGCGGCCCGAGCCCCTGCCAGCCTGGCTTCTGCATGACTCCGGGCTCCCGTCCTCTCCGCTTGCGTTGGGGCGGTCCGCAGCAACTCGGAGAGGAGCCCGTGGCCAGGGTCCCCCGGCGCCCACCGTGACAACCTGAAACCTGGGTTTTGTTCTAGGCGGGGGAGAAGGAAAAAAAAACACCCTATTCCGCCCATTTAATCTTCCTAACACCCTGCAAGGGGGGTGTTCATACCTTTTTCCTTTTATACAAATGAGAAACATGAAGCTTGGAGAGATGGAACTTTTCCAAAGGTCACACACAGCGAGGGGTGTACGGGGCTGCAGTGTGGGAGGGGCAGACCCGGGCGGCAGCTGGGAAGCCAGGCCGCAGCGGCCGCCAGTTCCCGTCCCAGACACTGGTTGATGCCGAGGAGGGTGGAAACCCCGTCTTCTGCCAAAGTGCTTTCTTTGCTTCTCTAAGCGGTGATCCCACATGGGCGTTATGAACAGCGCTGCAGTATGCTGCAGAGCCGCTGCAAACAGCGTGGTGTAGGCAAGATGCTGGAAGTCCTGGGTGAAAGAGATGCCTTTGCCTCCCACTTCTGAGAGCTCTTCAGATGTTCGTGAGCGCTGTGAAGCACCTTGGGGAGAAGGGAACGGAGCATTCCCCACACTTGTTTCACTCTACAAGAAATGTGAATGTCTTCCTGAGCGTCTTGCTCCAGGCCATGCCAGTTTGGGAAACCCTATCCTAAAACTATGTGCACGAAATGCTGGAGAGTGGAGGTAGTTTAATTAGGCCATGTAAGATTCATGATCTCCCCCTCCAATTTGATTTCCTCCTTTTCTCACCAGCCCGCCAAAGCGGATGAGCTGCCCATCCTGGGAGGGCTCTGGAGTCAACTGCCTGGGTTCACAACCAGCGCTCATCGCTTACTAGTTGTGTGGCCTTGGTGAAGTCACGCAACTTTTCTAGGCTTGCTTCCTTCATCACATTATGGTATCTGGTTGCTGGTGTTCTTGCAAGGATTAGTCTACATAAAGTAGATCAGGCACTTGGCACTGCACCCAAATGCCCAGTTTGCTTTGACTCTACCTGACTCTACCAAGTACACCTCCGCCCAGGGCCCTCCTTTTCCCCAGCTCCGCTCTGCAAAACGCCCTTCTTCTAGCAAGGCCTATTTTTGGGGTTTTTTTGTTTCCTTTTTCTTTTTTTTCCCATCACACGGGTAACAACCCTTAACAAGGTTTAAGGGAGGCACACCTCACACATGTGCGTGAACACCCAGTCATCTTGCTTATGAGCTACAAAGGGATCAAGGCCCATTTTTGCAGCTTATTCAGGAAAGCTTTGCTTAACCCAGCCCTTCCCACCTCCATCCCTCAAAGGCCATAGTGCTTTTCATTGTAAAGAGCCTGTGCTCTGCTGCTTATCTCCCACTTTAGAGTAAAAATTCCCCGAGGCCAGGGATGGTTCTTCAGGCTCCAGCCAGAGCAGAAGGACACTCGAGGAACACTCAGATAAACAGGCCTTGACGGCGCCAAGTATGGGCCAAGTGTTGGGGCAGCTGAGTGTCAGGCAAGGATGAAGAAGGCTTGGTCCCAGCTCTGCACAGCTCAGGGGGGAAGACAGATGCACGGAGGCGATGGTAAGGGCTTGCCCACAGCTTGAAGTACAGCCCTGTGGGAGGACAGGAGAGTTGCTCAGTGCTTTTTTTTTTTTTTTGAGATGGAGTTTCACTCTTGTTGCCCAGGCTGGAGTGCAATGGCGCAATCTCAGCTCACTGCAACCTCCGCCTCCAGGGTTCAAGCAATTCTCCTGCCTCTGCCTCCTGAGTAGCTGGAATTACAGGCACACGCCACCATGCCCGGCTAATTTTGTATTTTTACTAGAGACAGGAGTTCTCCGTGTTGGTCAGGCTGGTCTCGAACTCCTGACCTGAGGTGATCTGCCCACCTCCGCCTCCCAAAGTGCTGGGATTACAGGCCTCAGTGCTTCTTAATAAACATAGTACTCAGTGTGTGGAAGGGAGCAGCTTCTGGGTGAGAAACACTTGAAGGCCTTTTCCCTTTTGCCCTGAGATTGGAATGTCCGTGCTGAAGGGAGCAACTGGCTGGCACCTAGGGGAACTTCACAGGGTCAACCCGGATGTCAGCTTGTCCCTCCTGCGTATCCCTGGCAAGTTCCTTCCTGTCTTTCAGCACCGCCTTCTTCCTCTTCTGGCTTCCGCCTTAGGCCTGGCCCCCTCACCCCAACCTCAGGGGCTTCTGCTGTTACCTCACTGGTAGCACATCTCCTCCCCTGCCATTAGTAAAGCCCACCTCCATCATTTCTTCCCTCCCTTTCATCCTTCTCCACAAAGGCCACTTTTTCTGTTGTCGTTTTTTGTTTTTGAGATAGGGTCTTACTCCTTCACCCAGGCTGGAGTGCAGTGGTGCCTCACAGCTCACTGCAGCCTCAACCTCCAAGGCTCAAGTGATCCTCCTGCCTCAGCCTCCCACGTATTAATAGCTGGGACTACAGGTGCATGCCACCACGCTTGGCTAATTTTTGTATTTTTTGTAGAGACAGGATTTTGCCATGTTGCCCAAGCTGGTCTCGAACTCGTAGGCTCAAGCGATCTTCCCACCTCGGCCTCCCAGAGTCCTGGGATTACAACTGTGAGCCACCGCGCCCGATCCCAAAGGCCACTTTCAAGGCGGAGTGGGCAGTTTACCAGCTGTTTCTATTCCCATTCACTTCTCCTGTGCAAGTGTCCAGACCTTAAATTCCACTGAAACTGCTCTTCTCGAGTGAGGCCACCACTGACCTACTTGGGACCGAATCCAGCAGGCACCGTGATCACTTCCTCCTTAGCTTCACGACACCACACTCTCCTGGCTTTTCTCCTGTCTCTGTGGGCACCTCTTCAGTGTCCCCTTCTCTGGTCTGTCCCTTAAATGTTGGTGGGGTCCCTCCAGCTTCCCTCCTTGGCCCCCTACTCTACCCTCTGGGGTGATGCCATCCTGTTCCATGATGTCCACATCACTATCTACAGCCCAGATCATCCCCCAAGGACCATGCCAATCAGCCCAACCCCCTATTTGAGGGATGTCCTACAGGTACCCTCATTCACCACATCCCAGACTGCACCATTCACTCTGTCCCTCACTCCGCTCCTCCCTGGTGCTCCTCATCTCTGGGAGGGGTAGAACCTCCATCCAGAAACCTGGCCATGCGACTTAACCCACTTCTTGTTGCTGGCGTCACCCTGGGATCCATCTGATTCTTGCCATGATGGTTCAGGCACTCCCTGTCCCTGCCACACAGACTGCAACCACAGCCTCCATCTGGCCTCCTTGCTGCCTGCCTTGACATCCTCATCTGCTCTCCACAGGGTCACCCAGGTGATTCTTCTAAAAGGAAAATCCGATCGTGTTGCTCCTGTTTAAAACCCCTCAGTGGCTCTAGTTCCTCTTCTCGCACTCCACGATCCAGGCAGAAACAGTCACACTGAATCCTGCTGTGGTCTGAATGTTGGTGTCCTCCCTAAAGTCCTATGTTGGAACCTGATACCCAATGTGATAGTGTTAAGAGGCGGGGCTTTTGGGGACGTGATTAAGTCATGTGGACTCTACCCTCATGAAAGGGACGAGTGTTCTTAGAAGAGGTTGAAAGAAGTTGCCTTACCCCTTCTGCCATGTGAGGATGCAGTGAGAAAGCACCATCTTCGAAGCAGAAAGCAGGCCTTTACTAGACATTGAATCTGCTGGTGCCTTGATCTTGGACTTCCCAGTGTCTAGAACTGTGAGCAATACATCTCTATTATTTATAAATTACCCAGTCTAGGATATGTTGTGATAGCTGCCCAAGTGGACTAGGACAAATCCCTGAATCGTATTAATTCTTGTCTCTGGACCTTTACATATGGTTTGCCCTCAGCCTGGATCCTCCCTTAGCCACCTTGCATTCACTTCACTAAATGCCCATCCTTTAGGTTCAGCTCAGAGGTCAACTTCCCTCGAGGAGCTTCATGGAGAAACCCCTTTGCCACCCTCTTAGTCCCACCCTGGGTGAGGTGTCTGTGTTGTGTGCTTATGCCAGCACTGTGGGGGTCACACTGTATCTGATCTAGGGGTGAAGGGCTAGGAGGTGCAGGGCTATGAAAGTTCCAGCAAAGACATGACTATGTTTTGCTTGCTGGTGTATCTCAACATGTGACCCTGACCCTGGCCAACAGCTGGGCTGAATAAATTTTGGTAGAATAGATGGACAAACCCATCCCTCTTCTTTACAACCAAACTCCCTGCAGGAACTCAGGAATGGGAGGCACTTGCTTACAAGCAAGTGCCTACCACCTAGGATCTAAGAAGGACTCTGTCTGCCATCTTGGAGCCTGTGGAGGCTTGCTGGGAACAGGAAGGCTGTGGTCCAAGGCCATTTTTGCTGGCTGTACATGGGGTTTCCAGAACCAAAGGGGGCACACAGCTCTTCTTAAAATTTCAGCATTTATGCCTGGGATAAACTGAATTCTATTTGGGCAAGAGATGTGCTCATGTACACAAAGCAAAGAACCACACAGCGACTTCTGGTGGCACACCAAACAAAACCAGAGTAATCTGGGAAAAAGTAACTTGGGTTCACGGAAACAGTGGCATGGTTTATGCCAAATTCCCAATCTTCCTGCTAAGACTACAGACACACAATCTGTGTGATACTGCACCGCTCAAGGATTTAACTAATGAAAGGTGGGTTTGTGCTCGTGTTTTGTTTTTTTTTAAAAAAACTCCCTGTACTGGTATAAGGCTAATGGGGTGCTTCAAAAGCTCCTGCTGTACAATGAAAAGAAGAGACAGAAGACTGGAGGGAAGGAGTTAATTACATGTATTGATTAATGGATAGGGTAAACAGACGAAAATCAATAAACCTGAGCCAGGCTGCCCCAGAGTGCTCCCATGCCTGGGCTCTGTCTGCTAAGAGGGTCAGAGGCAGTCTTTCCTGGTCAGTGCCAGGATGAAGCCAGTCCTGGGCCAGGGTGCTCAGGCCTCCAGATGGATTGCCCTGGTGGGTGACATCAGCATGGGCTACAGATCAGTCCTAGGATCCCGCTCATCACTCGCTATTGGCCTCGGCCTCACTGCCTGTGCCTGCCCAGCCATATGGGTGCAATGGCCTGCCTGAGAGGAGAGGACACTGGGGAGGGGGAGAAGGCCTGGCACAGTACTGGGGAAGATGGAAGCAGCAAACAAGGCTGTGAACACAGCCAGGATGCAAGCCAGTGGAGCCAGTGCAGAGCACACATGCTCAGATGATGTTGTTCTCCTGGATCTTCTCTCCCAAGTAAAAGCGGGTAAAGAGGAAGGGGCTCAGGTCGATGGTCTGGAACCTGCCCTTCAGTACCATCTCTGCTACAGCTCGCCCAATGCCAGGGGCCTGCTGGAGCCCGTGACCACTGAAGCCAGTAGCAAAGTACATGTTGACAACTAGCGGGTGGGGGCCCACCACGCCATTCTGGTCAAAGGTGTTGTAGTCGTAATAGCCGGCCCAGGCGCTCTGAACCTGCGGGTGCACAAAACACTGGGGTTCTCGGGAAGGCTGTAGCCACACTCCATCCTCACTCCCCTCAGGGCTCAGCACAGAGTACCCTCTACCTGCTGCTGAGGGGTCTATGGGATGGGATGTGTCCAAGAAATTCCTTAGCAGTTGTGACATGGAGGGACTACGGCAGTCACGGGTCCGAGGGGACCAATGTGCTCCACTGTCATCTGTCCCATCCAATGTCCAAAAATAAAAAGGAAAACCAGCCCTTGCCAGTTACCTTCAGAGTCTCAAAAGCTGGGACCCTCAGGGCCAAATGGGGCCACACCTTGTCCTGGAAGAAATCATGGTCCACTTCCAGGTTCGCCGGGTCCGGTTCTTCCTGCTGGAGTGAGAGGTGGGGACAACGCTTACATTGCCTGGGACACAAGGACAGGCCCAGACTTGTTTAACAATCCCTGTGCAGGTAGGGGATGGGGAGAAATGGTCCCAGTTCAAATCTGGAGGGGGCTCTAATATCAATTAACACAGCACACAGCCCCCCAAAAAAGGCTGATTCTTTTTCTTTTTTTTTTTTTTGAGATGGAGTTTTGCTCTTGTTGCCCAGGCTGGAGTGCAATGGCGCAATCTTGGCTCACTGCAACCTCAGCCTCCCGGGTTCCAGTGATTCTCCTGCCTCAGCCTCCCAAGTAGCTGGGATTACAGGCGCCCAGCACCACGCCCAGCTAAGTTTTGTATTTTTAGTAGAGACGGGGTTTTGCCATGTTGGTCAGGCTGGTCTCAAACTCCTAACCTCAGGTGATCCACCTGCCTTGGCCTCCCAAAATGCCAAGATTACAGGCATGAGCTACTGTGCCTGGCCAAAAGCCTGATTGTTTCGTGACAATTATTCTATGTCTCCTTGCCAGCATGTCCCACCCCACTCAGCTTACCTCAGTGGGGCTACGACCACCTAGGTAGTTGCTACCTAATCCTTCCCGGCGAAAATAGGCTCCACTGGTGTCTGCAACAAGCGGAGTCTCTAGGCCTGGTCCCTGGGGGCAGTGCCACACATACACATACCTGCCACAACCAGTGCGGTTACGAACTGCAGAAACAGCATGGCCGGCAACCCTCCCCAACCCTGTCCACCCCACACCCCACACACACACACACACACACACACACACGCTATCCAACTTCGATGTCATTTCTTTCTTTCTCACCAACCTCCTCAGCTGTCCGGAGGGCAGTTACCTTTTCCTCGGCTCCACAGGTAGCTTGGTGCCCTGCAGGGTGCCAGGCGGCCCCTCTCCAACACCAGCCAGTGCTGCGATTTGCGCAGACCAGGCTCCGGCTGCGTTGATCACAATGGCGCATTCCACAGGCTGGTACTCCAGGCTGCGGTCCATCTTCACCTGCAGACACCAGAGGGTGAGGAGTGGGAAGGCCCGGACCACACACCAGGCACCCTGAGAGATGCACTGCTTCCTGAGCCTTAGTTTACCCATACTGGAAAGTGGGTCAAAGAAAACCAAAACAAGGAGAGTCACTACCTTCCCTGTCCCTCCATTTTGGTAAAGGACATCACAGACTAGAAACTTACATGGACTTCATGGATCCTTTTCAAGACCACCGCTTTGTCATCTGTGGTCAACATGCGTTGAGATGAAGAGACAAAACCTGCAGAGAAGAAAATGAAAAATAGGCCGTAGAGGTGCTGAAGAGGAATGAAATGGGGATTTCACTGGTTTCTTAAGGAAAGAAAGCTGGAAGGATGGGAGCTTTCCCACAGACACTGAAGCAAACAGAGATGAGGGAGCTGGCATGAGCTTGGCCACACTCTGACAGGACAGTGCTCAGGTGCAATCATCAAGCAGATCACAAGTCACAACGCAGATCAGTGAGGAGCCCAGGTCAAGATGCCTAGGACCTGCTCTCAGGGAGACCCCTTTCCCCCTCCAGCCCTTGCTTAGCTTGTGAGTGAGAAGATAAGACCTAGTCTAGGCCTATGCCCCGGTTGCTAGAGGAAACAAGCTCAGACTCACGTGTCACCTCTCCCTGGCAGAAAAGGACTCCCAAGGACTGGACCTTTCGCCGAAGCCCCTGGAGCAGACACCAGGGGTCAAACCAACCTTCGTCCTCCATCCCTGTGATAAGAAAAAGAGAACTCACAAAGAGGGATGAGGACTTCTGCTCTTGGATTGTATTTCCTGTGCCCCCCAACCCCTCTCTAGGGCTTGTAAGCCGGGGAAGGTCATCTTAACCAACTGAACCACAGAGACAAAGCCTGATGAAGGACAGAGAACTACCACGGCCCAGGGCAGTTCCCGTGACACAGGAGGGAAGTGTTCCTCCTTCAGCTTGGCTGTGGAGTACCGAGACTCCCAACGTGTAGCACCCCTTAGTCTCCATCTTCAGGAAAAAAGCTGTCCCCTCTGCAAGCAAGCCTCACCATAAGACGCCAAAGCCACTCCCTCTGTGTTTATCCAGGGAAACTTGTTCCGAAGCTGATCAGGAGACATCAGAGAAACTTTGGCTCCCTCCTGCCTGAGATAAACGTGTGGGTCGGTGTATGTGTGTCAGAGAGGGGAGTGTGCAGGGGGATGATGTATGGACCCCAACTCCACAAGTGGGGAGTCCAGCTCAGTCATGTCACTTCTCTGCCCCAAATGCCCCTATTTTTCCTCATTGCTGAGCGGCTGAAGACCAAGCCTCCTAGTCAGGCTCTTCAGCCTTGACTGCCTTTCCTTCCCTACTCCCTTGTCTCCCTTCAGCACACAGAGCTCCCTGCTATCCCAGTCTATTCCATGACTTCTTTTTTTTTTTTTCAATGAGTCTGGCTCTGTCACCCAGGCTGGAGTGCAGTGGCGCGATCTTGGCTCACTGCAACCTCCTCCTCCCGGGTTCAAGCGATTCTCCTGCTTCAGCCTCTGGAGTAGCTGGGACTACAGGCACACGCCACCACACCCAGCTAATTTTTGTATTTTTAGTAGAGATGAGGTTTCACCAGTTGGCCAGGCTGGTCTCGAACTCCTGACCTCAGGTGTTCCATCTGCCGTGGCCTCCCAAAATGCTGGGATTACAGGCATGAGACACTGCACCCAGCCTATTCCATGAACTTTCACAACAAGGTGGTAACCTTGTTCCCTCCACTCCTGCCTGGATCCACCTCCTCTCCACTCCTTGTACAATCCTGTTCCTGAGCACAGGTATCTCCTCTGGGACACTGTCCCTCAAAGGCAGCATAGCGGACACACCAACAGAACACTCACAAGCCAGACTGCTGGCTTCAAATAAGATCCTACCGCCACCACTTACTAGCGCCTTATGCCTCAGTTTCCTCATATGTAAAATGGGGATGTTCTGATGATTAAATGAGTTAATATCTGTACAGCATTTAGGATATTAATTGATGTCACTCTGAGACTTGGGTGTTTGTTAAATAAACATACAAATAAAGCCTCTGGCCATATTGCATCACAAACATGCCCACCCTCACCTGACCATGAGAATCACTTAGAGCAGGGGTTGCCAAATCCGACCTGCTGCCTGTTTTCATAAATGAGCCACACTCCTTCATTTGCACTTTTGTCTATGGCTGCTTTCATGCTGTGATAGCAAAGTGGTTGGAATAGAGACTGTATGGCCAGCAAAACCTAAAATATATACTATCTGGCCCTTTACAGAAAAAGTTTGCTAACTCCTGACTTAAGGTTCTTGTTAAAAACCCAGATTTGTGGGCTCCTTCCCTAGAGATTCTGGTTTATTAGGTCTGGGATGTGTTCCAGGTGGTTTTCATGATCTGACAAATTAGGAAGCACCTCGCAGTGTTTTGTCCATATCTGTGGTACAGCACTCCCAGGGCATTGCAGGTCTGTGTATTTTCTTCCTGACACACTGAGGTCCTAGACCGCAGGGATCTGTCTTATCAACTCCACTTTCTCGCTTCCTAACCTGGTGCAGGAGTCACCCAACACCTTTGGCTGCCAAGCAGCTAAGAGGCTGTGCCAGGCACCCACCTCTGCACTTTCACGTTGCTCTCCATGGCTGCAGCATCCTTTTCTGAAGCCAGCAAGAGGTAGCCCGAGGGGTTGAACCGGAGGTCCAGGGGAGGAGCATCGACTACGGCCAGGTACTCCTGTGTGCAGACAGAAGCTCCTGAAAGAAACTGACTTAAGGATGCCAGAAAGAGTTTTCCTGCCTTCTTCCCCCACAGCTCCCCAGGCTCAGTGCCCCAGACCTGCGGCACCACCACTAGGAAGAAGGCCAGGGCCCCCCTCTCCTAGTTGGCTGACCCATTCTTGCTCTCTGGCTACCTTGCTAGCTGGGCTGCTCCCCACTCTGGGCTAAAGGAGGGGTAACCACCCCAACATCCCGGATATCATTGCACCTACATTGATGTTCCGTAGAAAGCTGGCTGAAAAGAGGGAGAGCTGGATGTTCTCAGGCAATGAGAACTGCTGACAAATCCCACCTACTGAGAGCCCAGTGGAGGCCTGTGAATACTGTGGAAAGACAAGAAAAGTTGAGGTAGACCAGTACCCTATCACATGTGACTAGAATACTGCAATGAAAGCTTCGAGCTATACACCTAAAGTTGAAGGGGAGTCCTATTTGCAAGTCTATAATCTAAGACCCATGTGTAAGTCAACTTGAAGGCAATGGTGTTTAAAATCATTAGTAGTGGATGTGCAGAGCAGAGAGGGTCAGTCATCTGGAAAGAGCTGACACAGTGGTACAAAATGGTAATGGCCTGGAAGTCCAAGGGCAGGCGATTAACGTTTGACCTACCATTTGGGAAATGAAAGGTTATGATTGAAGTAAAGTAGCAAGACTCGTGGCTAGCTGGCAATGCAAACAGGAACACCTAAAGTGTAAAAACCAGCCGGGTGGGTGGCTCATGCCTGTAATCCCAGCACTTTGGGAGGCCGAGGCGGGCTGATTGCTTGAGTTCAGGAATCTGAGACCAGCTGGGCAACGTGGCAAAACCCCATTTCTACAAAAAATACAGAAATTAGCCAGGTGTGGTGGTGCATGCCTGTGGTCCCAGCTACTCTGGAGGCTAAGGTGGGAGGACCACTTGAGCCTGGGAGGTGGAGGTTATACCGTACTCCAGCCTGGGCAACAGAGCGAGACCCTGTCTCGAAATAAATAAATACAATAAAATGCAAAAAACCTCAGAAGTAACGGGACCCAAAAGAAGCAAGTTGAGGGCTGGGAATGGTGGCTCATGCCTGTAATCCCAGCACTTTGAGAAGCCAAGGCGGGCAGATCACTTGAGGTTCGGAGTTCAAGACCAGCCTAGGCAACATGGTGAAACCTCATCTCTACTAAAAATACAAAAAATAGCTGGGCATCAGGGTGTGTCCCTGTAATCTCAGCTACTCAGGGGGCGGAGGTGGGATAATCACTTGAACCTGGGAGGTGGAGGTTGCAGTGAGCTGAGATTGTGCCATTGCACTCCAGCCTGGGTGACAGAGCAAGACTCTGTCTCAAAAAAAAAAAAAAAAAGAGAAAATTGAGACACTTAATTATAGCTTGAATGCAGGCTCTCATGACCAGAGCTATGAGATCTCGAAAAATCCAATATGGTGATATCTGCTTTCAAAAGAACAAACCTTATTGCCAAGCTTCCTGGTTCGACTGAGGAAGATCCTAGGAAAATTTCTCAACAAAGTCCAAAGCACAATCTCTGTCCGTTGGACCCTCCGAGATTGAGGTCTTCCCCTCCTCTCCTTCCCTTGTCGCTAGAGTCCTTAATAAAATGAGTCATCTTTCTTGCCCCACTCATGACTCTGCCCTACCCCAGACCTCACCGTGTGGTCCCGTTCCACCACTAGCACTCGAATAGCACCTCGTCTGCTCTCCAGCTTCTTCAGCCAATAGGCCACAGACAAGCCAAGCACCCCACCTCCCACGATCACCACATCCGAGTGCTCGGGAGGCAGGTGGCTGGTGTCTTGCAGTAGATCACAGGACCTTCCAGGCAGGATCGACTTGATCTTCTTCTTAATCTCAGACACCTTTCCATCCCAGTCTGTGGGATGTAGTTAGGGTCAGAGGGCCAAACATTTCCTTCCCACATGGTTGGGGGGTTGGAGGATGGGCACAGGAAAAGGTGAGCTAAACAGACACATGAGTTGGCAGTCCCCACTGTCAGCCCATCTCATAAGGTCACCTTGCACCCAACAGTGTTGCCACAGTTTTCTGAATAGTCCACATGCCATCAGTCTCTTCATGCATTGTGCCAAGCACTGCAAGATTCAATTTCCTAAAATTAATTTTCTACATTACCTCCTGCATAGACCTCTCCTGATCCCAACTCACATATTCAACTGCACTGTCATCCCCACTTGGGTCTTCCAGGCCTTGGACCAAGAGGCCCTGGCACACCCCAAGTCACGGCACCCTCTGAAGCATGTCACCGCTAAGCGGTGCCATGCTTATCCTGGATATCCATCACCACCACCAAACCTACATTTATATCCTATCCATAATCAAGTTCTGCGGGCTCCGGCTTCCAAGTAACTCCTCAATCTGTCCCCTTTCTTCCTCTGCCACCATCATCCTAGGCCAAGCCACTATCATCTCTCAACTGGACAAATGCAAAAGCATCCTAACTGTTCCCACTGATTCCCCGCTTCCATCCTACCCCCTGCTGTGAACATGTTTACAATATAGCTAGAAATATCTTTTCAAAACACAAATTTAATCACAAACCCTCTTGCTTAAAACCCTCCAATGAGTTTTCCATTACTCTAAGAACCAAAGTCCAAAGACTTAAACACAGCCTGTAAGATACTGCACAATCTGGCTTCTGTTCATCTTATCCTCCCCTACACTCCAGGCCCTTTAGTTCCTTGATGGCACCTTATTTCCTCCCACCACAGGGAACCTACATATGCTCTCTGCTTTTAAACTGTGTCCACTTCCTTGCCTAGTTAATTCCTTGCTTGGGAAAGCCTTTCCTGACCCCCAGACCAGGTCAAACTCTACATGATCTCTTGGACACAACTGCAGTTTGTATTGTTACATACTCTAAAATCCATGAGGGGGGAGGCTGTGTTTACCTTCACCACTGAATCTCCAGCCTATCGCAACACCCGGCATATTCTAAGTGCTCAGTAAGTATCTTAAATAAATGAATCCTTTTGCCATTTCATACCTCACTCAAACTCTTCTCAGCAGCACTGGAATCTTTCTTTGGTCTGGCCTTAGCTTACCTGTCCACACTACATTTCATGCTACTACTCACACCGTCTATCTAGATGGCTTTTGCCAGTTCCTTGCATAAGAACAATATTTTTCTCCTAGTCTGCACTCAGTTATTTAGAGACTGGAACACACACCTTTCTTAAGCCAGTAAACATCCTCCAAGGCTGATCTCAGTTCCCACCTGCTCCATGTACTTCTACCGTTATACTAGCTAGCAGTGCAAAGCATTAAGTTGAGTTCTAGCTAATCTTTTTTTTTTTTTTTTTTTTTTTGAGACGGAGTTTCGCTAAGTCGCCCAGGCTGGAGTGCAATGGCATGATCTCGGCTCATTGCAACCTTCGCCTTCCGGGTTCAAGCGATTCTCCTGCCTCAGCCTCCCGAGTACCTGGGATTACAGGAGCCCACCACCACACCTAGCTAATTTTTGTATTTTTAGTAGAGACGGTGTTTCACCATGTTGGTCAGGTTGCTCTCGAACTCTTGAGCTCAGGTGATCCACCCGCCTCGACCTCCCAAAGTGCTAGGATTACAGGCCCCGCGCCCGGCCTCTATCCAGTCTTGAACTGGCCTACTGTCTATTGAAATTTTCCCTCTCTAGGTACACTCTAGCCATTTTCCAGAACATTCACTGAATCCCGTCTTCTCTTCACTCCTTTACCGCAACAGCACTAAGTACAGCATCCTGAACACGGGCAGGACTTAATGCACATCTGTGCCACCGATTATCAATCAGTCTGACTGTAAGCTTAAATGGAGAATGATGTGAGACCTGCCACCTGAAAAGGGCCGCCTTGGGAGCCATACACCTGCACAGCCCCTACAAGCTCTGGTAGGTAAGCTAACCCCCTTCCCCAAGCCGACCCACTGTCCTGCCAGTGTGGGCCATGGTTTCGGGTCCTGAAGGACACACAGTCGGAGGTTGGGGACAACCCAGAACCACAATACCCTCTGTCGTCCTCAACTTTACCCAGAGAAAAGCCTCCTCTGCGCGTGCCTGGCCTCCGGGTCAAGAGGCCCCGGCCCATGCCGTGCGGCAGAACCCTCCGAATCATAACCCCTCTGAGCCCGGACCCTCTGAAAGCTGCACTGCTGCCTCGCTATTATCGCAGCCGTCACTGCTCCGCGCCAAACGCCATTCAGACGAGCGCGCCAATTGGCCAGCGGCCCTCAGGGCTCTGCCCCGCCCAATGCTCTAGGTGGCCGTCTCCCCGTGACCTCTCCTGGAGCCCCACCCAGGCCCGCTCCCACCCGCCATTGGCTGGCCTTGCGATACGTCAGTCCTGCGCGCCCCCGGGCGGAGATGGGGAGGGCACCCGGCGTTCTGAGCGGAAGTACGGTTGAGCCGATTTCCGGGGCCACTGGTGTGACGTGTCCCGCGCTTGGCGCAGCAGGAAGCGGCGGCGAACGCGGCCTGAATTCCCGGCGCCGGCCCCAGCTCCTCTGCCGCTGCCGCCATGCTCGACTTCTTCACCATTTTCTCCAAGGGCGGGCTTGTGCTCTGGTGCTTCCAGGGCGTTAGCGACTCATGCACCGGACCCGTTAACGCGTTGATTCGTTCCGTGCTGCTGCAGGTACCGTCCCCGTGGGATCAGAACTCCAGGCTCTTCTTTCCTGACCCGATCCATGGTCCCCTTCGACTCTATTCCGCGCCTCCTCCCACCCTCCCCGCCCACCTCACACTGACCACTCACGCGTAACCCGGACTCCGCTTCGTTTTCTCGTCCCCTTCAGACTACCCCGCAACTTAATGACGGCCCCCGCCTCTGGTGTCTCAACTCTAGCCGAATTCCGGCGCCTTTGGGATTCTCCTCCGCTCCCTCTATTTATCCCCAGCAGCTTGGTTTTGTTGTTTCGAGCCTAGGTGAAATAACAGATGGGAAAACACCTTTACAAAACTAAATGGTGTATAGCTGCTAGTAATCTGATTGTTTACATGACTACTTCCCTTTTGGCTCCCATGTGTCTTGCTCTCTCTCTCATCTTTTTCCCCCAACTTGGTTATCTTATTTCTGGTGGAATGCCAGAGAGAAGTGCCCCAACATCCTCTTGTCCTGGGGACAGATTTGAGTTTGGGGGAAATGTTTGGCTCTTTCCCAAAGGTTATCCAAACCCAGGGCCCAAACCTGGGTTTTCTGGGGATAGTCTGAACACTGAGACATACTCTTTCTCCAGGAACGGGGAGGTAACAACTCCTTCACCCATGAGGCACTCACACTCAAGTATAAACTGGACAACCAGTTTGAGCTGGTGTTTGTGGTAAGTGGGGTGTTGTAGAGGGACGATTGCATTGTTAACATAGCCCTGATTTTTAAGAGAACTCTGATTAATTGCAGCCAGTGTATATGATGACGTAACTGAAAAAACTAGAAAGGTAGATGGGGGAAAACAGCAGCTACTGGGCCCAGGCAGGGAGCTTGGCTGCCTCTCAGGACAGGGAAACCGGCCAGGTAGCTGAACCTATCTCTGAAAGCCAGGGTTGAGTTGGCGTCCCTCCATTCTAGGCTAGTATGTAAGCAGATCTGTTGGCTGTTTCTTCCCCTAAACAGGTTGGTTTTCAGAAGATCCTGACACTGACATATGTAGACAAATTGATAGATGACGTGCATCGGCTGTTTCGGGACAAGTACCGCACAGAGATCCAACAGCAAAGTGCTTTAAGTTTATTAAATGGCACTTTTGATTTCCAAAATGACTTCCTGCGGCTCCTTCGGTGAGAGACCTGCCTTCTCTAAAATCAATTTATTTCCATGATTTGATGACCTCTCTGAAGGTGGTTCAAAGGTGGTAAATTGATGTGTTCAAAGACATTCCTAATTTGCTACCCAGTTCTCATTGTCCTCTTGGGTGTGAGAGTCCTTTCTCTGGACCGTTATTTTTCCTTCTGCATGGGGTAGAAAGATAAACCATTCTCCTTTTTGTTTAGTGAAGCAGAGGAGAGCAGTAAGATCCGTGCTCCCACTACCATGAAGAAATTTGAAGATTCTGAAAAGGCCAAGAAACCTGTGAGGTCCATGATTGAGACACGGGGGGAAAAGCCCAAGGAAAAAGCAAAGAATAGCAAAAAAAAGGGGGCCAAGAAGGAAGGCAAGTTTGAGTTCTTTGGATATACTGGGACATGAAAGGTGTTAACACGGTGCTAAGGACTGAGGTGGTCCTTCCTTTTGTCATTGCTTACCTGCTTCTCACTCAAATGGTCACCATCCTATAATCCCCAGGCCTTATGAACTCCAAGATGTTTGGTCCAAATTTCCTTTGAACAATTTGGAAGACTTTTAGCCATTGTCTAGTGGTTGGGATTGGTCTTCTTTTTTCTTCAGTGAGTTTTTTCCCCAACAGGTTCTGATGGTCCTTTGGCTACCAGCAAACCAGTCCCTGCAGAAAAGTCAGGTCTTCCAGTGGGTCCTGAGAACGGAGTAGAACTTTCCAAAGAGGAGCTGATCCGCAGGAAGCGCGAGGAGTTCATTCAGAAGCATGGGAGGGGTATGGAGAAGTCCAAGTGAGCACTCTTTCTCCAGTACTCTCAAAATACTGTTATCTAGACACAATGGGTGCAAGGGAGTTCTGGTCTCTGGCTCATGTTTCCTTTCCTACTTCTCCACCATAACTCTTTGTATCATAACCTGTTGCAGCAAGTCCACGAAGTCAGATGCTCCAAAGGAGAAGGGCAAAAAAGCACCCCGGGTGTGGGAACTGGGTGGCTGTGCTAACAAAGAAGTGTTGGATTACAGTACTCCCACCACCAATGGAACCCCTGAGGCTGCCTTGTCTGAGGACATCAACCTGGTAAGAGGTAACAGGGGTCAAAGTGATCTTTAACAACAAATTGGGAGGAAGTAGAGTGTGGGAACGTGATACTGGGATTTGAATGAGGGGTAAGTTATACTTGGAGCTTCCCAAAATGAAAGAGATAGAGCAATGTGGACGTTTTCCTCAGAGACCTTAGTGTTCCTGACCCCACATCCTTTCCCCGTATCTTCCAGATTCGAGGGACTGGGTCTGGGGGGCAGCTTCAGGATCTGGACTGCAGCAGCTCTGATGACGAAGGGGCTGCTCAAAACTCTACCAAACCTAGGTAGGGGAATTTCAGGTGGGGGTTGGTATATGCATCTGCAAAACTGGTAAGATACAACTCCTGCCTACTGGTTTTATGTGTATGTGTAATCTCCTGTCCCTGCAGTGCGACCAAGGGAACACTGGGTGGCATGTTTGGTATGCTGAAGGGCCTTGTGGGTTCAAAGAGCTTGAGTCGTGAAGACATGGAATCTGTGCTGGACAAGATGCGTGATCATCTCATTGGTAAGTTCTGAGGACCGGGCTGACTCATACTCGCGGGATAGGGGTAGTTGAGAGCAGAATCACCTAGCGTTTCTCACCTGTACCATAAAGATTGGTCATTGCTGACATGGAACTGACATACCTGTCCCCCTCTCCTCAGCTAAGAACGTGGCTGCAGACATTGCCGTCCAGCTCTGTGAATCTGTTGCCAACAAGTTGGAAGGGAAGGTGATGGGGACGTTCAGCAGTAAGTACTTACCTAAGTGAGAAAGTGCTTATGTGTAGGTTAAGTGCATAGACCTCAGTTCTTACTAGGTATGTGACTTTCGGCAAATTCCTTAACCTCTAAACCTCTGTAACCTAGATTTTAAGGGTTATTGAGAGGATTCAGTGAGTTAGTCCTTGTAATGTGCGTCTGTTCTGGATTTCTGGGACAAGAGTCTAATTTACTGTTTTAGTCCCCTTAGCTCAGAAAGGTGTTAGGCATTTTTGAGAGCATTCCTTGAGTTTCACAGCTGCAACCTCCTCCACCTCCCCTTTCAGCGGTGACTTCCACAGTAAAGCAAGCCCTACAGGAGTCCCTGGTGCAGATTCTGCAGCCACAGCGTCGTGTAGACATGCTCCGGGACATCATGGATGCCCAGCGTCGCCAGCGCCCTTATGTCGTCACCTTCTGCGGCGTTAATGGAGTGGGGAAATCTACTAATCTTGCCAAGGTCAGTGCAGTTCCCCAGCCTATCGCTGATATTTCTGTACTTCTTGTGTCTCAAAATCCTGGCTTTAGGTGACTTTTCTTACGTCTTTTTCACAGATTTCCTTCTGGTTGTTAGAGAATGGCTTCAGTGTCCTCATTGCTGCCTGTGATACATTTCGTGCTGGGGCCGTGGAGCAGCTGCGTACACACACCCGGCGTTTGAGTGCCCTACACCCTCCAGAGAAGCATGGTGGCCGCACCATGGTGCAGTTGTTTGAAAAGGGCTATGGCAAGGATGCTGCTGGCATTGCCATGGAAGCCATTGCTTTTGGTACAGTGCATGGGAAGTGTGGGGGCTTATTTGGGGTCCCTTTTTCTCCTTGGGTTCTCTTGGAATTTGCAGAAGATCAGGCTTGTGCTACTACAGACTCGTTGGTCAATTACAGTAAAAAGTCAGATCAGTTACTTGCCATGCTCTGCTTTTGGATAACAGATGTAGTTGCAGGCAAAGCTAATATACCTTAACCAGAGAAACCTGAATTTGGTCACCTTCATCCTGTTGTCCTCCTTTTCCTGAATATGTTTGGTGATGGCCAAGCATATAATCAAGTTTTTCTCACATTACCTTGGAACCAAATCCAGAGCCCAAGACAGTGAACAGGTAGTCAAACTAGGACTTTTTGAGAGGAAGCTGGGAACGAGCATGAGTGGTAGTCCAGGTGTTCAGAGTTGACTACTTTCTTTCTCTAGCACGTAACCAAGGCTTTGACGTGGTGCTGGTGGACACGGCAGGCCGCATGCAAGACAATGCCCCTCTGATGACTGCCCTGGCCAAACTCATTACTGTCAATACACCTGATTTGGTGCTGTTTGTAGGAGAAGCCTTAGTAGGCAATGAAGCCGTGGACCAGCTGGTGAGAGCGTGGGCCCAGTTCCCTTTACAACTTGAGCTTTGGTCAATTTAGATGGTTCTTACACTTCTATCACTTTTTCTTTCCAGGTCAAGTTCAACAGAGCCTTGGCTGACCATTCTATGGCTCAGACACCTCGGCTCATTGATGGCATTGTTCTTACCAAATTTGATACCATTGATGACAAGGTAAACGTGAGACTGGAGGCTGGAATGGGCGTCCTGCACAAAGGAGCTGAGGCTGCAAGGAAATCTTGGCTCCAGCGCTTCCTGTTCCTGAGAGGGTGAGTGAAAAGTGGGCTTGTGTTGATGGGCTGTCCTCTTTCTCCACTTAGGTGGGAGCTGCTATTTCTATGACGTACATCACAAGCAAACCCATCGTCTTTGTGGGCACCGGCCAGACCTACTGTGACCTACGCAGCCTCAATGCCAAGGCTGTGGTGGCTGCCCTCATGAAGGCTTAACGTGGCTCTTGCCCAATACCAAATCGCCGCTTTCCCCACAAGCCCTTCTTCCTGTATCAAGAATGTGCTTTAGAGTATGTGAGCAACCTGTCTTCAGTGTAGTACAAAGGCAGAGTGAGGGGGCTTGTGGCTCCTTCCAACCCCACTCCCCGTTCAGCACAGCCGCCATCTGCAAGGAAGGCCTAATCATGTTACAATCACTGCCCACTGACCCTCTCCCAGCGGGCCTCCCCCTTCCTACTCAGGCACCCCCTTCACTCTGCCTACAGACTCAGTCTTATTACAGCTTTGACCAATGGTTGGAACCCAACACCAGAGCTTTGCTAATAATTAGTGTGGTCAAGAGCCGTCTGAGCCTAATGAGTCCCAGCTGCATTAGGTTAAGAGACTCTTCCAGAGCCAGCGCCAGGTCTTGAATGGCACCTCTCCCTAGGATACACAGCCTGCAGGTCCCCAGGACCTGGATGACACCCGCCTCACTGTGGCAGTGTATTGCCTGTTAATTGCTGCTAATTCTAATTCTGATGATGACTCCTACTCCATTGTTTACCCCAAAGCATCAGCTAGGCTGGAGTGATTTGT